>NC_000014.9:100823713-101126714 GCF_000001405.40 Homo sapiens
ATACATTCAAATCAAGCAAAGTAGGACTGGAAGGCTCCTTAGGGACCATCTTGTCCAAGTCTTTCCTTTTTCCAGATGAGGAAGTAGGGGCCCACAGAGAGGGAGGGCCTGGACCTCAGCCTCCCAGCGCGGAGGGAGCAGAGCCGGGATTCAAACCCGTGGTGCTTTGTAGGAAACCCGTAATTTCCACGGTCTTTTTCCTTGGGCTGTCAGTAAGGCCCTGAAATAGGAGAGTGGGGTTTACTGTGAACCTCGAAGGAGCAGGCTCAAGAGCCAGGGGGCCCAGAATAGGGCAGAGGCTGGCTTCTCACTGGGAGGCTCAACTTCCCGCAGGGGCGCCAGGCCCTGACAGGAGAGACTGGACATTAGGTGTCTGGAAGTTTCTCCTTCTAGGGGCTCCAGGAGCATCCCACCTGAGGCCTGGGGCTCCCACCGGAACGTCAACTCATGCCCTTGTGGGGCTGCAGGGCTGACGCGGGCTGGCACTGTGTCTACGACAGCCTCCCGGGCCCCCGGGTGCGTGGCTGCGGATGCTCTCTGGCGGCCACCACAGTTCCCACGCGCGGCGGGTGAATGCGAGCCCCTTGTCAATGCGTGCCCCTCGCCTCTGCCCCCGAGAGGCTAGCAACCGGGCCTGCCGGCGTCTGATTGGCCGTGGGGGCCTGACGACAGGGGCTCCTGGTTGCTGATTGGCCCCGGCCAGCTCTGGCTGTTTCCTAGCTATTAATACTGTGGCTAATAAACGTTCTCCTGTTGACGCGGGTGCTCGGAGCCATGATTTTTTGAAGCGTTCTTGACGTCTGTGGCTGGTGCGGGCGTTTCTGCTGTGCAAGGCCTGCTTCCGGGGCTCTAGTCCCTGGGGCTCCTGGCAAGCTCCACAGGCTGTAAAGGGGGTGTTTTCTTTCTCCTTCGTGTTACCTGACATATTAAAGCAGCGCCCCATGAGGACCCCAACGTCCCACGTCTCTATCTCCCCAACAGTGCGCCTGTTTATGAAAAAACGAGCCCCCCACACGCCGTCCCAAGGCTCGGCGCCTCTAGTGACCTGACGGTCAATGTTCACCTCCCTAGTCATTAGCTGTGGACGTAGAAATAGCCTTTCTCCCTTCTTTTCAGCCCTGGAATCTCCCGTCTGCTTTACAGTCACCTTGTGGGATCGTTGGGCATGGGGGGCTCCCTCTGACGCCGCTTAAACCCCCCAAAGAAGTGCGGGGGAGCGATTCTGACTTGATGCCCTCGGCGGGGCCTCTCTGCTGTCCTCTTTGGGGCCCCTTGCTCATCCTCACCTGCTTTCTGTCACCGAGCACTCCATCCTTGTCCTCCTGGCTGCCACCCACCTGTCACCCTAAGATAGATCCTCGGTCCCTTTCAACAGCATTTTGACCTTTGCGAGAGGACATTTGATTGACGGCCCTGCACGCTCTGCCACTCAGAGCCGGGCAGAGCTGCCGAGGGCTCCCACCTGTTAGGGATTAACTCCCATGTGCCAGCTCCGGAGCCGAGGCCGCGGCAGGGCTCGGCGCAACATGTGTCGCTGCCTGTTTTTCGGGGCGCTGGGGCTCTTTCAAAGGGCATGTGTGTGGGGATCACCCCAACTTTGAGGGGTAGCTCAGGCATCTCCACATGGGACACAGTCCGCCCTCTAAAAGTACTTTCCTTAGAGGGCACGGCTCCTGTCTGGATTCTTATTACAACCCTGGTGTGTGTGGTGGGGGGTACCCCTGGTTAAGGTGGAGGAAGCGGACCCAGTGGAAGAGGAAGGGGCATAGCGGGTTCCGCGAACATGAGTTGTAAGCGGCAGAGCCCGGGACTCCACAGCCAGGGTTTTCTGACTCGGAGACGCGGAGCTCTGTCTCCCATGTCAAAGAGAACCAGTCAGAAACGCACGGGTGGGCTGGGAGGGGGTGACAGCCTCTGGCTTACATCTGGGAACCAGTTATGTCGCCCGGGCATTTTATTTTCCTGAACAATAAGAGAAAGCATGATTTTCTTTCGCTAAGCCCGCATCCTCCGATGGATGTTCCGAAACCGCCAGGTGTGGGATCTGCGCCCCGACAGCCCCACCTTGGCCATCGGCCGCCTGAGGACGGCCAGCCATCGGGGCGATTCCCCCCACACATTGTGCCTGAATTCACCCTGCCTGGCGAGCCGGGCTCACGCAGGGAAAAAGCACCCGCGACCACAGGGTGTTGGTCATGGCGGCCAGGGGCACTGCGGCAGAATTTTTTCCTCCCTTCTTTGCTGCAATCTGGGTGCGGCTAGAGCAATTTGTCATAGAATCTGGGGGGCTCATTTTTCCGGCCAATCACTTTTAGAGAAATGAGCGCATTGCAGCAGAATGCGCTGACGTCAGAGACCACCCCTTCTGCGCCTCCATATAAACCCCACCCAGCCAGCCCCTAGCGCAGACGGCGGAGAGCAGAGAGGGAGCGCGCCTTGGCTCGCTGGCCTTGGCGGCGGCTCCTCAGGAGAGCTGGGGCGCCCACGAGAGGATCCCTCACCCGGTGAGTGGTTGGCCATCCTTGCCGCAAAGGATGTGCAAAAGGAAGACGGCATCCGCTTCTGGGATGGGCTCTGTCCTCCTGGACATGCCGAGAGCCTGCCTGATCCTGGGTCCTGCTGCTGGAGGCGGCCACTTCGCCTGGTCCCCGAGCGTCCGCAACAAAATTTGTCAGAAAGAAAATCTTGAGGCACATTTCCCTGGGGGGAAGTCAGGGCTCCTCTCTGGAGGGTCCAGTCCTTAAGGGTGGGCTGGGTGGTAGGGACTTCAGTTCAGAGGAGCGGGAGGAATCAGATGGAACTCCTCTTGGATTCGGGTATACGGCAGTCACTGGGGGGCGAACCCCGGATTTCCTGTATTAGAAGCCGCCTCTAGAATCGCGTTAATAGTGGGAGATATGGCGGCGATGCCTTCTGCGTGCCCCATGAATTAGGGGGGGAAGCACCCGAATAGAAGGGTCTCCCGGGCATATTTGCCTCGCCAGCTGTTGGCCAGGTTTTTGGTGGATCGTGGGCGGGAGGAGTGGAGGTTCCTCTTCGCGAGGTTTTCCGAATCCAAATACACAGGTTTAGTGCAGTGTGGACCCCAGGCAAAATGTGGAGTAAAATTTCTACCCGATATCATCTGGTTCTGCCCTGATCAGCCACTTTCACAGTGGAGAGAGATGGCGCCCAAGTGCAAACCTGCCAGTAGCCCCCTAGGATCAGTCCTTGCCGAAGGGGGGTCGTGGGATTGGGGGCACTGGGAGAATAGATGCAGGGGGTGGGTTGGGGAGGAGAGAAGGCCGTGTCCTTGGGTCTGGGAAGAGGGAGGAGAGAAATGCAGAAAAGGGGGTGTGTTGCTGGGGTCTGGACGCTGGGAGCTGGGGATGGGGTGCCGCGGGGGTCTTCAGAGCGTTGCGTGGTGGTCGCTCGAAAATCCTGACATGTTGCAGTCTTGGACTTTTGGTCAAATCGCCTTTTGCCATTTCCTTTGTCAGAGTCAAGCCCCCCCAGGCCGCCCCCTCCCACCCTGGGCCGGCGGGCCTGGTGGGGGCGCAGGCGGGTGGCTACGTGGCAGGTTTCTGGAAGGTTTCCTGGCTGGCCGCGAGAGGGCGCTGGCGGCACTGCGGAATTTTGGGGGGCGGGGTGGGGAGGGGAGGTGGCCTTTGTTCTCCTGATGGAGGGGGTCGGGCGCGGGATCTACTGGAGGATCCTGGATTCGTTTACCCAAGAGGGAACAGTTTTGAGACCCCCCGGATTCACTGCGGAGTGGCCGCAGAGGCCGGGGTCGGCCTTTGCGCCGTGGCTTCGGGTGTTGTGGAGGCGCACAGAGGCACGTTAGTTGATTTCCAGTGGTTTTTGGTTTCGGGGGTCTTAGGAAGGTGTGGCTCATTTGAGCAGGATGGAGAGAGAGGCTGTGACAAGGTCAGTGAGGGGCCATCGTGCGGGGGCTAGAAATTGTTGTTGTGGCGAAGGAGGGAGGCACGACTTTGGAGGCGTGATGTTGATGCCTGGGGGCGAAGGCGGGGAGCGGCGTGGTGGCCCCCTTTGCGTTACTTTCCAGCGATGTCACAGGTTCTGTCTCTCGTTCCGAGACCACCCACATGCGTGACAGCGGTGCCTGGAGGACTGGGTCTTTCTGACTTTAGTGAACGTGTGTTTAATTGGATTGACGAAGGTGGGAGTCGGGATTTCTGCTTTTCCCTGTAGCAGGCGGAGCGGCGCTCCAGAGGGGCCTGGCGCAGGTCCGCTGGGTGGCCCACCTTCCTCTGGGGCTGGGGCCCGGTGGCTGGGGGCGCAGGAGGCGCCTGGTGCGGGCGGGAGGCGCTGCGCCGCAGCCACAGGTGGGCTCTGGCTGGTGGTGGCTGGAGAGGCGTCCAGGGGGCGTAGCGACCTGGCGCGGTGGCCTGGGGTGGGCTGTGGAGCCCTTCCTAGCCTGAGACCTGTTGGGCACCCCCTGTCCATCCAGGCCCGCCGGGCGCGGGCCGGGGCGCCGCAGGTGGCTGCTGCACTCCTGGGTTACGGGTGCGGGCCGCGCGCCCCCTAGCGGTGTGTGCCAGCCCCGCTACCTTGGGTTTTGAGTTGCGCACACGCACACAGCTAACACTTGTGACCTGTCAGTCAAATCATCCTTACCCCCTCCCACTCCTCTCCTCCACCTCCCATTTCTCCTCTCCCTCCACCCTTTCTCATTTCCTCGTCCCTCCTCCCCCTCCTATTTTTCTTCTCCCTCCTCCCTCTTTCCTCTTCCCTCCTCCCTCTTCCCCCCTCATTTTCCTCATCTCTCTTTTCCCCTCCCCTTCTCTCCTCCCCTCTCCCTGCCCCCCTCCTTCCTCCCTCCATACCCCTCCCTCTTCCCTCCCAGCCCCTCCCTACTGCCTTCCTCAGTCCTCCCCTTTGCCACTCCTCCCTGCCTTTCCCTCTGCCTGCCCCCTTTTGCTCTCTGCTGTTCCGGTGCTGGCCGTTAGAGGTCACGAAGATGGTTTCTAACCTGCCCCCCTCCCATGCCATAGGGTCTCTCCTCAGGGATGACATCATCCGTCCACCTCCTTGTCTTCAAGGACCACCTCCTCTCCATGCTGAGCTGCTGCCAAGGGGCCTGCTGCCCATCTACACCTCACGGTACTTCAACCCTCCTGCTATCATTTCATAACCAACGTGGCGGGCAGAATCTCCCAACCCCACCACCATCCTTGCACCACCCCCAGACCCACTAGCAATTAAAAGACAATTTTAAATTTTAACTAATCAGCTTTAATTGTAATTAATGAACTTAAACTGTAATTATGATCTAGGCTTGGGCTTTTAAGCAGGTTCTCTAACCTTTGATCAATTGCAGAGGGCACTAGGAGCACGGTTTCCTGGATCCCACCAACATACAAAGCAGCCACTCACTGACCCCCAGGACCAGGATGGCAAAGGATGAAGAGGACCGGAACTGACCAGCCAGCTGTCCCTCTTACCTAAAGACTTAAACCAATGCCCTAGTGAGGGGGCATTGGGCATTAAGCCCTGACCTTTGCTATGCTCATACTTTGACTCTATGAGTACTTTCCTATAAGTCTTTGCTTGTGTTCACCTGCTAGCAAACTGGAGTGTTTCCCTCCCCAAGGGGGTGTCAGTCTTTGTCGACTGACTCTGTCATCACCCTTATGATGTCCTGAATGGAAGGATCCCTTTGGGAAATTCTCAGGAGGGGGACCTGGGCCAAGGGCTTGGCCAGCATCCTGCTGGCAACTCCAAGGCCCTGGGTGGGCTTCTGGAATGAGCATGCTACTGAATCACCAAAGGCACGCCCGACCTCTCTGAAGATCTTCCTATCCTTTTCTGGGGGAATGGGGTCGATGAGAGCAACCTCCTAGGGTTGTTGTGAGAATTAAATGAGATAAAAGAGGCCTCAGGCAGGATCTGGCATAGAGGAGGTGATCAGCAAATGTTTGTTGAAAAGGTTTGACAGGTCAGTCCCTTCCCACCCCTCTTGCTTGTCTTACTTGTCTTATTTATTCTCCAACAGCACTCCAGGCAGCCCTTGTCCACGGGCTCTCCTTGCATCAGGTAGGGGCTTTGCAGAGACCATCGACGGGCTGACTTGAGTAAGAACACGAATTATGCATGTGGCCATTTCCAGAGCACTTTCTATGTGATATGAACATGTGATTTTTATGTAATATGTGTATGTAAACGAGGCAGCCTCATTTCCAGGTGAGGATGCATTTGGTAGTGTTGATTTTTGTAATTTAAAGAAGCTGAAAGGGAGAGAGGACCCGTGAGGACTGAACTCTCTGTCCCATGGGGTAGGGCTTACATTTACATTAAAGAAACAGAAACTTGCTGGGAGGTGTAAGTATTTGGTCACATTGCTGGCAACAGAAGGGGTTGGAGTTGGACCCAGGGTGCCACGCTAGCTGCCCTCACCCCTTCTTCCCCTCTGGCCCAGAGTTATACTAAGAGTCCTTTTATTTCAAACCAAATGTTTGACAATGGGACAGTCTGTTTGAAATCCCAGCTGCCTGGGGTGGTCTTGGGGGTCTGGGTGGCCCCAGTGCTGGTACCATGTGCTGGCTTCACCTTTTAATAACAGTGTGACCTTAAACAAGTCGCTTAACTACTCTAAGTTTCAGTTTCTTTCATGGTCTAAATGGAGATTAAAACACACACACACACACACACACACACACACACACACACACCCCCTCGTGTATCTACCCCACAGGGCGCTTTTGAAGACCAAATGCTGTAACTACTATGAAAGTGCTTTGTAAATTGCTGTGGAAAGTGTGAGCTACTCAAGCACCCGAGGCTGTCCCTCCTTGCTCACATGTCCAGCCCAATTCTCCCTTAGTGAGAACAGCACTCAGTAGGTGCTGTGTGTGTTTGTGTTCAATTAAGAAATTCCAGAATAAATAAAAATGAATTAATTCAACAAACATTTTCTGGGGCACCGACAATCTGCCCAGTGCACCAGGCTAGGTATCTGATACAAAGATAATGAAAACAGTCTCTTGGAACCTAATTGGGGTCCTCATTTGACCAGGAATTTCTTTCGTCCCGTTTTAAGCCAACCAGTTTTGTCCGGACAAGACAAAAACAACTTGGGCTGCTTTAGAGAAGCCCAGCTCAGTGTAGACAATAGCTGCCCAGCCTCTGAAAGGGGCTGATTGGATTATGTGGCAAATGGAGGTGCAAGGATGACTTGGACGGTGACAAATGAAGTGGGCGGAGACCTGCTTTGAGTTAATCCAGGCTATTAGGAGGGGACCTTTTGTCTTCCAGAGACTGGCAGGAGCTTTTACCAGTGGTTTTTACATCCTTAATGTTCAGGACGAATAATTTATGGTCAGTGAAAATCCAGGCCCCAGTGAGATTCGAGTGGGCTGTAAAATCGAGAGTCCTGCTCCCAGTGAGTAATGGTAGTGAATGTTTCTGTCACTTTTTGCAACCGTCCATTCATTTGATCCTCACAACTCCCTGTCCTGAGCCAGGACCGGCCACTGCCACTCCCAGGGAAACAGAGGCTGTCAAGAGGCTCCACAGATTGGGCCCCACTGGATCATTGAACCCCTGTTCCCTGAGTTCTAGAGGAAGAATTGTACCTGTCTCAGTCCCGGCCACCTCCAGAAGGCCTCCCTCTGCATTTCTGACTTTGCTGTGCCGGCAGCCTGGAGCCTCCCAGGTCCCTGCTGTCATCTTTTCTAGCCACTACAGTCTCTGTCTTTCCTTTCACAGCCAAGCTTCTTGAAAGGCCTGTCTACACTTGCTGTCTTCCTTCCTCACCTCCAATTTCCTCTTCAACCCACTGCTTCCTGACTCGCTCTACTCCGTGGAAGCACGCTCACAAAGGTAAAGACTTTTCTGTGGCTTAATCCTTGTCATGTTTTCGGCTCATGGACACAAGGACACATTTTCATGCCTTCTCTCACAGGGCTCTGCGTCTCCGGTTCACTTCTGTGTCTTTACACTCCCTTCACAGAGACACTTGCTCCCCCTTCTCTCGTTCTTAGCATCCCCTAGGAACTTGCACACCCAGGTCTCTCGACTTCTGGACCTGCTTCTTACCATGCCGTCTTAAGCAGTCAGGAGTCGCTGCCTGGGTTCGAGTCCTAGTTAAATTACTTAGTGCTGAGACCTTGGGGTAGGTAAACTTTTCCAAGCCAGGTTTATCTCAGTTTCAAAATAGGGTTAATCGTCTTTATCTGGCAGGTCAGGTGGGATGTCTCACAGGTAAGCACCAGATGCCATTTGAAAGGCTTGAAGCAAAGTCAATAAAGCATTCATGGGAAAATACAACTGGAGGCACCACTAGATTTTCGTATACATTAGGTTCCCACGGGGAGGACCGAAGAGAGAAGAAAGAAGTGGAAAGGGAGGAGCGTGCAGGAGAGACAGGAGAAGAGAATAACTAAACAAAGACATTAAAGACAAAAAAAAAGTAGGAAAGGGAGACTTAGAAAATATTAAAAGCCACCAAAAACACATCCAAAGACGGTTTCCCCTTACGTTAGTTGGGCTAAAAGAAAGCAAATGGGAAGAAGGTTTTAAATTGATTATCCCAGTGACAAATCCCAGGAAGCTTTCACATCAAATCACCCTATTCTGGGTTTTTAACTCCTTCCATCGAGTTTAACCTCTTTACCTCCCACATCCTGGTAAACCCTGCCCCCTCCCTACCGCCCCCTTTGCTGGTGATTAAATCCTGAAGGTACACGAAGTATTTCAGTGAATGAATGGCTAACAGAAAAGGGCCTCCCCTCCCCCTTACCCTGGCGGTGTTTTTCAGTTTTATTCCACTTTCCGCCCTTTTCCCTTAATGAACACAGGGCTAATCTCGGGCCTTGTCGAAGGAAGAGGCTGCAGACGTTAATGAGGTTAGCTGCTGGATTCCAGTATTCGTCGCATAAGGATCCTTCTTTGTCTGCGAAGGAAAAACACACTGATTATCATAATGAGGTGAACTGGCCACCGCCGGGCCGGGGCGATGTGGCTTCTTAAGCCACACTTCTAATTTTGGTGATGGAGCCGACATTTCTTTGGCTTCTCATTTAAGTCTTTGCCTCTGTCCCAGTGCGAAGTCCATTCAGCGGGGTTGAAAGTTGCAGGCAGCTTTGGGAAGGGGGGCGTCGGACAGGGTTGCATTGTAGAAAGTGGCTTTGTTCGATCCTTCGCACAGATGCAAATGGCCAGAGCATTCATTCCCTTTCTTCAAGAGCTGAGGACTGGGGGGGCCACTGGTGATCAGTTCCCAACTCTAGCTCTCCTCTGACTCATCTCAGGACCCATTGAGGACATCCAAAACTCACTCAAGATCACCAAGTGGTAGGAAAGTACTAACTCCTGGGCATAGCCCTAGGGGAGTGACTACAATGTGAATACTCATGGAATGCCTAGCCAGGTGAAGAAGTGAATGCATGTTGGCATCCCAGAGGGACCCCCCTTAAGAGGGCATAGTTTGGGGTTCAGATTTGACTCCAGCATACTGTTGAAATTGGGCACAGGGGGCTAGTGATTAGTCAGGATCAATCAGTGGAGAGGAGATTAAAACTCACATCTGGGAGTCCGGAATCAGAACTTGTAGTTCTTTTTTTTGAAATGGAGTCTCGCTCTGTCGCCCAGGCTGGAGTGCAGTGGCGTGATCTCGGCTCACTGCAACCTCTGCCTTCCGGGTTCAAGCAATTCTCCCACCTCAGCCTCCTGAGTAGCTGGGATTACAGGCGCCCACCACCACAGCCGGCTACTTTTTGTATTTTTAGGAGAGACGGGGTTTCACCATGTTGGTCAGGCTGGTCTTGAACTCCTGACCTCATGATCCACCTGCCTTAGCCTCCCAAAGTGCTGGGATTACAGGCGTGAGCCACCATGCCCAGCCCTATAGTAGTTCTTCTTTTGCCCCTTAATATCTTCACCCACATGTCCTGTACCCTGCCTGAACCCTCCTCCTCTTTTTGTTCTGATCTTTGAGCTCCCTAGAGCCCATAATTCTTTAGAGCAGGTATGTCCCGAGTCTGAAACATGCCCTTATTTGTCCCAAGCTCTGGACATTTCTCACCCCAAGGCGGATCAATCATGATTAAATCACTCCAATTAAACTTTAGGCTCCAGTCAGACCTTCAGCCAAATGGAAAAAAAAACTAGGGGATAAGGGAGGTAGTTGGAGCAAGAAAATGTTATTAGTTGAAACCTTACGGGACCTTCCTCCCTTAGTGAGTCTGTTGGCTAAAGGTTCTCTGGCTTCGTGAATTAGAATCGGATACTGTTTCCAAGTTAGCAAAACCAACTCTACCCCAGCACCCCACGAGGAAGAATGTGGAAGGATCTCCCATTGGCCGGTTGGGGCAAAAGCCTGAGGCAATCTTTCATCCCCTTTTGCCAAGGCGAGACTTTCCCAGTGACGGTGATGTAGTTGGCCACTCTGACTATGGGTGGACTCGGGTGTAGACCTCTGAAGCTGAGATCACACGAAAACCTGGCCTCCCCGCCATGTAGCTGTTGGAGAGTAGAAAAATAGAGCACGCCTGATGTTTCTAAATGAGAAGACTTTCAATAGTAATGAAGAATCCATGGCACTCTCCTCACCCTCAAACACATGGCAGTCATTCACATACAGGCCCCAAAGCCACTGTTAGTGCTGCAGTAGCTCCTGTGGACATTGGAAAGCCCGGAGAGGGCGTGGAAGAAATCAGCTGGCCCCCGGCAGGTTCTCTGGGGTTTTGTGCCCAAGGCTCCTGGAGCCCTAAAAACTTTCAAAAGTTAACTCCCCACGTCCCCATCCTGCTTGGGTTTCTGGACTTTTCTGAGGCACCGGCAGAGGGGTCTCGTTGCTCCCTTGAGTGTAGGGGCAGCCCTTTAACCTGGCTCCTTGAGTCCCTGCTTTTTCTGCTTCTGTTGCCTTCTTCCTCGTCTTCCTCTCTCTCAATATCTCCCTCTCTTTGTCCCTCCCCAGTTCCTGACCTGGCCATCCCGGGGTGCCCTTGACCAGCCCCGTGTCTCCTCAGGGTGTCCCAGCACCAGCCTGGCACAGAGTGGGGCTCAGTTAGAGTATGTGGGATGTTGGTTTCGCCAGGTGAGTGAATGAAAGGACTCGACCACCACAGCTGAGCCACTAGCTGGGCCATGCGAAGAGTTCTAGGTGCAAAGGCTGGAGGGTGGAATTCATTTTTGAGAGGTGTGTGAGCAGCTTCCGACCCCTGCCCCATTTGAACGGGGGCCTTGCTGGTCGCGTCCCTGCATTCACCCGCGCGGCCATCCCGTCATCCAACAGTTGATCCTAACTGAGCACGCCCACGGCCCTGGTCTGGCCTGGGCACCGGCCACCGTAGCCCATCCCTTGATGGCCTCTGTGTCCCCAGGAGGGCGGGCCGGGGGGTTGCCCAGGGGCTGGAGCAGTGGACTGTGGCTCCATAGAGGTAGGCCGGAGGGTGTGAGGGCAGATTCAAGCTATCCCCAGGGCTCTGCTCTGGTCGGAGCCAGCCCCTTCTCCCTCTCTGCCTTCCCCGCCCCATTCCTGATGCTGAACTGTTCTGGACCCCTGGCCCTGAGTCTCTCAGGACCAAAGTGGGCACGGGAACAGCTGTAGTGTGTGCCCCCCCGGGCTTTGGCCACAGGTCTCCCTCTCGAGGTGTGGTTGTGACTGCGACCCTTCCCTTGCCGTGATGCCTTCCTCCCCCGGGGCTTGGTCCAGCTCCTTCACTCTCTAGCAGCTGCTGGGGCCCACCTCCCATGCCGAGGACCAGCAGGGGAAACCTCCAGGGAGCATCTGCAGGCTCTGCTTCTGCCCGGCTGCTGGCTTGCTCTCCCTGGTGGCTCTCCAGCGGCCAGCTTCCTCACCCACCCGGCACTCCGCTTTGCTCTGTCTCCTGAGGTGGGCCTGACCAACCTCCCCTTCTCTGCCTCAGTCCCTGGGCTCCAGGGCTCAGCTCCACAGCCCTCTGCCTAGCAGGCTGGTTCTCCCTGCCAAGCCCATACCTGTGGTCACCTGGCCCTCCTGTGGTCTGAGTACCACTCCCCTGCCCCAGGAGCCACTCCCACTCCAGCTGCCTGTTTCCAGCAGGTTCCCAGTGCCCCCGACAAGCCCCTGCTGGTGTCTCCATCTCCTGCCAAGCATCCTCCAGTGCCTCCTCCTGTGGGCCTGGCCTCAGGGCTATGGACAGACTCCTGTCCCATCCCAGAGACCCCTCGTGATCGTGCCCTGGTGGGTGTTGCCCCCGCCTGCCTTTGCCTCCGCCGTGGCCCTGAGAGTCCTGGGCTCTGCCCCGCCCGGTCCCTTGCTCCCCACTCAGTTCTGGATTTGGGGCTGCCCCTAACCCAGCCCGTTGCTGCTTTGCACCTTTTCCTGTCATTGGGCATCCCCCAGTAGTCACCCCACTCCACCGAAAAGTAAACTGCAGGTGAGGCCGTGCCCCGAGTCTTTCTTCGGTGTGTTTGGCTTTTCCGGGGCGCTTGCCTTGCCATGATTCTAACTCTCTGCCCTTCCCCAAGGCACGTGGGCCGTGGCCCGGCTGGGTCGGCTGAAGAACTGCGGATGGAAGCTGCGGAAGAGGCCCTGATGGGGCCCACCATCCCGGACCCAAGTCTTCTTCCTGGCGGGCCTCTCGTCTCCTTCCTGGTTTGGGGTGAGTTTCTTGCTTTCTTGAGACCCAGGATTTTATTAGGGTCAGCTCATGTCTCTCCTCTCTGATCAACAAGAGTGTCAACATTTAATTTGGGGAGGAGGCACCCTGCCAAGGTGAATTCTCTTCACATCAGCCCCAGGGGTCTGGGGGCCGGAGAGCTGCCTGGAGTGGAGACCCTTGCTATACCCAGCAAGCATGTGTGGGGGTCCACCCTGGCTGATGGCATGCTGTGGGCCGGCGACGGTAGGTGGGGAGTGTCCACCTCCACTCTAGACCCCCGAGAGCGGCTCGGGCCAGGCACTCAGGAGCCCTCAGTACGGCTTTGCTGAACACATTGCAAAAGGGATCCAGGGGGCACTTGCCCTGCCCACACCCGGCCCAGGGACCCCTTCGGAGAGGAGGAAATGGGAATGCTTGCCTGCTCCTCAGCTAGGAAGACATTTCTTTCCACCAGCCATGGTAGCGTCACCCCCTGTGAGAACCGTGGTTTCTCACACATGAGGCTTTGATAATGTCCTTTAATCAAATAGTGGTTTTTGAGCAAGTTCTTCTCTTTCCTCCTTTCCTCACCCCTGAAATTGCAATGAGACGGGAATGTTTTTGTTTGTTTAAATAAAACAGCAATGGTAGAGAAGAAGAAAGCGGGATTGGAGCCACACAATTCACTCGAGGACCCATCATTTGTTTATTTGTGTTTTACTAATTCAAGATGCAGCCGGGAGCCGTCCAGGGCTCGGGCCTGGGGTTGTTCTGGGGCGCCTAAGGCTGGGCTTTGCACTAAGGACCAGAGGGTCTACTTGGGTGCCGTGGAGCACCCATGCAGCAAGGTGGCTTGCACAGCAGCCAGGCGAGGTGTCGTCGAGGGCGGGGGCTCAGGGTGGCATGCTGGACGGCCATGCCAGGCTGAAGTTTGGGCTGGCAGGAAGAGAGGAGGCTCAGCTGAGGCCACTTTCCTTTCTGGGGGTCCCAGGGACTGAGTCTGTGGCTCACTCAGGGCGATGGGGTGTTTTTAGAGCCACTGCCCTGGGAGGCAGTGTCAGGATCCTGGCACCCCTCATATATGACGCCCCTGGGGTGGCCATTGTGGTGAATGAGTGCAGTTAGACTTCCCAGAGAAGCTGGGTGGGCGCTGAGAAAGGTCTGAACCGTGGGGTGAGGCTGGCTCCATTCCCCCAGACATTTATGGAGGCTTGAGGGGGCCCTAGCACTGTCCTTGGCCCAGATGCCAATACTCCCCTCTGGACGCCCACGAATGGGGTCTCTGAGAAGGAAGTGGATGAACACAGCTGCACGCTGGGTGGGGCCCAGCCTCTAGTCCTCAGCCATGTGCACGCATCAGCCCTTGTGCAGGCCTCCGCCCTCCGCCACCCCCCACCCCCGGAGTGTCTCTGGTTTCCGACGCAGCCTCGTAATGCTCTTTAATCAAACAGAGGATTTGGAGACAGCTCTCCTGCAGCCCTGCACTTCTCCCCTGAAATTGAAATGGGATGGGGATATTATTTTTAAACAAAATCTGGCAGCGTAGGCAGAGGGGGCAGAGGCGCTCTAACCTGGGGCTGTTGCCTTTGTCTGCTTGTTTCTGCTCTCTGGAGAGCCCCAGAGCCTGGAGAGACGGGGAGGGGAGTGTGTGCCCAGGGCTAAACCCAGGGAGGGGGCCCAGGAAGGCTCTGCCCCGTGACATTTACTCCAAGGCTAGCATTTGCTGAGCCACCTGCAAACACAGTGATGTGGAGAAGAGGCCCGGGAGGGGAGGTTTGCACAGGGGCAGGCTGCTGGGGTCCTGGGGGGATCCTGTCCCAAGCTTACTAGAATGCATTCGAGTAACTGGTCTGAGCCAGATGCCCTCAGCTCTTGGACTGGTTTCTCACGGACATCTCAGGACTTTCCCAAGGTGGACTAAGCCCAGGGACAAAGTCAAAGTGAAGGCCAGGGGCACACAGGAGAGGCCCAGATAGGACCAAGCTTTGGCAGCCCCTGGCTCTCAGGGGTTGAAATGGAACCCTCTTTGCACTGAGTTGTATTTCAGGTACTCATGAGTGTTTCGGTCTCAGGCAAACACATATTTGGGGTTTTGTGTGTCATTAGGTATAAAATAGGTAAAATATGCCACGTTCTCAATGAAAGAAGTTGAAACGTGACTTACTACGTCAGCCTTGCTGGTGATCTTCTCGGGAACTGCCGAAAGGCCACTAGTAAGTGCTGAAAGACATGATCATTTTCAGGAAAATTCTATTTTGATGGATTGGCCAATGCCTGAGCCATAGCGGGTGGAGATGAGACCCTGACTGACTAGGCAGTGAGCCACAGAGGACCCTGTCACATCAGCGGAGGGCGGTGAGGGGTCTCTGGCCATTTGTCATCGTGCTGATTCCTAGGGGGCTGCCTCTAGTGGGACTCTTCTGGGTGGGTGCAAGTGTCAGGGTAAAGACGGCGGTCTGGTCTGGAAACTGGCTCTCCTCTCGCACCTGCCCGCCCTGGGTGGTTGGGAAAGGAAACCAAGAGGGTAGCTCAGGCCTGAGCTCGTGGAAAGGAAGAACATGACCCCTCATTCGCTCACTCGCCCCCACATTCTCTCACCTGCGAGTTGCTCATTGCTGCTTTCAGGGCCCCTGACCTCATGCCTCCTGAGTTGTGATTCAAACCCCAAATGAATTTCCAAGTACATTTCTCCAAATAATGTCAAAACCTGGCAAGACTTAAGGGCAACAGGATGCATGTGTTTCTTATTCATTCATTTACATAAAATAACTTAAGTGTGTTTTTTATGAGCAATCTGACTTCCAAAAAGAATGAAAAGGAAAATCTACCCATCTTTAATGAACTTGCTAATGAATTTTTCCTTGCAAAGAGGAAGGGAGCTTCCTACAGAAGGGGGTGTGGAGGGAGACAGATTCAGGTCCCAAAGGGTTAAAGGGCAGTGGACAATGCGGAAGCCAGCATTGTGAGCTGCAGTGGAAAAGCCCTGGGTCGCTGGGAGTGGCTTCTTTTTAGGAGACTGGAATTAATGAGTTGTGAAGTGTCCCAAGGACTGGTTCCCCCTCCCTGCTGTTTCTCTGAGCCCTGTCCCCTCTTCCAAAGGAGGAATAAGGAGGTCTAGCTTCGTCTCCCATCCCCGATTTGAGCAGATGGAAGAGTCTAGAAAAGAGGTGTACCTTTTGAAACGAGGCCTCAGATGTGGGGTTCCTGGTCTGGAAAGGGGAAGGATGAATCTGGGGTAGGAGAGGGTCTCGTATGGAGCCCCATTCAGACAGGGCAGTCCCACACCTGGGCTGCCCACAGGTTCTTGGGGGAGTCTAAGGAAAGGGGAGCCACAGAACAGGCTTGCCTCCTTGGCATGGATTGGGTCAGTGTTTCAGAGCCAGGAAAGGTGGGAGTGTGGGGGGCCCTCGGGGCTGATGAGGGCGTGCAGACCCTCCCCTCCCACCTCCTGTCCCAGGAGCCCTGCAGACACTGCAGCAGGAGGGCACTCTGCCAGAAGAGGGGTTCCAGCTCCAGCCGGATCCAGCAGACATGGAGAGACCCCTTATCTTTGCCAAGACGAGCTCTGCGGTGCCTGAGAGGCCCGTAGGTCTGGAATTCTAGGGCCTTCTGGGTTTGAGTCAGGTCCTGAGGCCAGGGCCTGGGCCCTGATCCTCACCATGGAAAACTGGTCACTTTACTCAGGATAAACTGTGATGAGGACTTGGGACATATCTCTGTCTGTCCTCTCAGCTCGCGTCACCCCTGAGCCCTTGGCGATCGTGGGCGGCCCGTGTACAGAGCAGGTGCTGGGTCACTGGGGCCGCCGTGGGCCTCCCAACATGAGGGACTGTGTGTGAGAGAGGAGTTCATTAAGGGAGAGGATGGTGGTGAAGGGTGTAGCCATGACTTTCTTAACTGCTCTCCAATTTCTTTGAGCTTAAAAATAAATCCAGATGGAGAGTTCTTAAGTCCCCTATCCTGGGAGAAAGGAAGGCTGCCCACCACCTTCGGCTTGCCTCGACTCTGAGCAGTGAATAGGGTCTTTGGCAGGGGCTTAAGGAGGAGACTCTTAGCCTGGGAGCTCCCAGGGCTGTTTCAGATGGAAACAAAGGCTCAGGCCGAGAGGAATGTGGGGGAGCCCCCCGTGGGGAACAGCCACCTGGGGATAATTGGGAGGGCTGAGCGCAGATGAGTTTTCCCAGGTTCTGTGAATGCGCCCTTTCAATGGAAGGTGCCTTTTTTTCCAGATGAAAAGAAGAAAACGTCAATTACCTTCCCCTGAAACGGAGTGTGTGTGTGTTCCCTCCCAGGGGTTGTGTGGGGCCCCTTGCCCTTGTGTGTGTGTCGGGAGCTCCAAGGCTGCACAATGACGCACTTAACCAGCCACTGGGTTCGCGCGACCCTGGGATGCTCACGCTCTTAGATTCTAGGGCTTGATTTTGAAAGTTTCTTAGCAAAGGGGAATCAGAGTGATTGAGCCTGTAAACAAAAATTTGATCAACCTGGGCCTGATGCCTGAAATATAGCCAAAGAGACAGAATGGGGCTGCGGGGAGAGAGGTCCAGGATGGAAAGTTGGGGAAGGAGGACAGTCGGGGGCCAAAGGCTGACCGCATGTCTGCGCCGGCCTCCGCGCTCACAGCTGGGCTGCTCCTTCTGCCACCCCAGCCCTTTCTCTGGGCCTTCCTGGCAGTGGACATAGAGTGATTCCCTACTCAGGAAGTTGGCGGTAGGGGGCTCAGAAATCCACAGGGCTGTTGTTTCACAGTTAGCCAGGAGAGGAGGGGGTCATGGTGGCCCGCAGGGATGGTGGGCAGCTGCGAGAGAGGGGACGCTTCAGGTTAGAGCGAAGCTGTTTGCACCACCACTGCCCCAGACTGCCGTAAGGGTAGGGCCACTCCAGAGGCACCAGGGACAAAGTCCCTGCCGTGACAGGAGGGGGGCACAGGTCTCAGTCTTGGCTGGTCACTGACTTTGCTGCTGCTGGCTTCTGAGCCTCAGAGAGGTCAGCAGTCTTCCAGAGACCTGGTTAGAGCCTGTGCTCAGCCCTGACTATGGGTGTGACCTTGGCCCCTGTCTCCAGCCCCTTAGGCCTCAGTTTTCCCGTCTACGAAATGGGCGAGTGCAGGCCCATGGTCGTCCGAGTGGCTCGGGGTTTCTTCAGGCCTCCCTGGAGGTCATCTGTCGTTTGTTTGCTGGGTCTTTGGAGTTGTTGGGACTTTGGGGGTCACTGGTCCGCTGCCCCCTCTGCTTTAGAGGTGGGGAAACCAGCGATCCCAGAGGCCCGGAGCCTTGCCCGAGGTTGCACGGTGAGCCGGCAGCAGGCCCTGGAGGTGAAGCCCCTGCCAGTTGCCAGCTCCTGTGTGACCTGTGTGGTCGGGGGGGGTCACAGTCACCGGTCATTAGTGTGGGTCAGAGCTCTTGCCCAAAGAAGGTTCCAAGGGGCTGCCCCATGAGCTGGGATGCAGGGATCGTGTTTTATGGGGCATTATTCCAAACAGGCAGGCTGCTGGTCTGGTCTGGAACACCTTTTTGGTCTGTAGAGTGACTCTTGTTTAATGAGACTGGACTTGTGGCTTCAGAACCAGGAGATGTTCGTTCCCCCAACCCCCGTGGCTCACCTTGTGCCTTTTGGGTCCTGAGACCCTCGCCAGCGCCTCTGTTGGCACGGTGGCCCAGTCGGCTGAGAACTTCCTGAAAAAGCCAACAGGATGACAACTTCTGGAAAAGTGATCATCACCCGCCTGCACTGGCTGCCCATCTTAGACTCAGCTTTGCCAACATTCCCAGCTATCTCTGTGTGCTGCAGTGTGTAGTAATGAACAGCTCACAAAACCTCCGGCTGGGCCTGCACCTGGTTATTACCGTGGTGGGCTGCAGCTTTTGTTTTGTGACCTTGGTTGCTACAATACCTGCGAGCTGAAATGAGGAATCGAAAAATTGCCAGCTTCAATTAGACGGGCAGACTGCTTTCCCAAGGCTGCCTCCGCCACTCCATCCATTAACGGTAAACAGGCACCAAATAGGCCCTAATTCTCTCTAATTGCCCACTCCTGAAGCAAAGAGGTGAAATTCCAGGAAGAGGCGTATGTAAACATCCTCTGTAACCTGACCAAGTAAAATTAGAGGGCTGATGGGGGCCTGCGAGAGAGAGGGGACATGATTTCAAAAGATGTCCCAATTACCTCTCCTATTTTCATAAATGGGTCTGTAATGTCCAGGGCCCCGGCCTCACAAAGGTACAGGAAATTAGCTCTGCAAAGAGCTTGCATTTGTCAGGGGAAGTTGTAAGGGGGTGGTGTTTACTCAACAGGTAGGAAGTACGAGATCTGAGGCAAGACTGATTATTTGTGTAACGACGGGCTCTATTTCTTGAGATCAACATTTTAATAAAAGTCATCCTTTTAGGTCCTTTTGTGTTTGAAACAGCCATAAGTTGTTTATACCAAAGACATGCCAGATCAGTTAGGTGCTGTTTGCCTCCAGAAAAGAGGAACTTTTAAAATCCTAAGATGCAGAGCTAGAGTTTTCTAATCCCATTAAGCTGTGGAAGATGTTTTTGGAGTGTTCACCAATGCTTTCTGCGTGGGTCATGAGCTCACTGCACGCACTTATGAGGTCTTCCATCAAATGCTTGTGACAATTACTCCTCTGGACTCTATAAGGAGGCCTCGTGTTTTTCTTTGGTTCCAGACAGTGACTCATCTCTGCAGCTTTTCTGACATTTGTTAAGATTCTAGCCCAGCACTGCGTTATTAACACATCACAGCAAGCCCAGAGCTGGCACACGCAGCTTTTAAACCAAGGCACGAATTTGCTGGGGCTTCTCTGTAGCAGAGCAGCCTGCGGTCTGCACACAAGAGTTAATTAAGGACGGTCAGGGACTCTGAGGTTTCATGGGGTCCCTGGAGCAGAAGCAGGAAAAAACCCAGATGCTCCTTCCTGCTTCTGATTTCTCCGCTCCTATTAAAAACACAAAAAAGAACAAAACAAAAACAGCCAAACAAAGCACCCGCCTCTGATTCCTGCGGGAAATGGCAGTGCCTTTGGTCGCGCTGTGTGTTCTTGGCCTGAGTCTCGTTGCCACCTTAGGACGTGGCGATGGTGAGAGGCCACCCCAGCCACGCACAGTCTCGGAGGGAGGGTGGGAAACGGTCTCGAGTGGTGGTCAGTAGATAATGGGTGGTCTGGCAGCCTTTAGGTAACCGAAGTCGGCCCCTCAGTCACCCATGCACTGATCATTGCTTCACTAACACTTATTTTAAGACTTGTTGTTTCTTGGTTATCAAATTAACCAGTTATGGCAGAACAGGGTTTATGAAGGGCAAGGCCAGGGAAGGAGATTTTAGGAAGATTTGGAGGCAAGAAGTGTCCCCAGTGCCCTGGCCGGGTCTTGGACATCCTGGCTGGAGACATGACTAGGAATAGAGAGGCAGAGGCAGCAGGGGTGGCCCAGATGGCAGGGGTGGGTTGGAGAGATCCCTGAGAGGCCTGAGGACAGGCGGCAGTCTTGGGAGCCCCTGAAGACCTGCAGTGGGGCAGGCAGCTGGAGTCAGGTGTCTCCCGGGACCTGTTTTTTTTTTTTTTTTTTTTTTTTGAGACAGAGTCTTGTTCTGTTGTCCAGGCTGGAGGGTAGTGGCGCAATCTTGGCTCACTGTAATCTCTGCCTCCCACGTTCAAGCGATTCTCCTGTCTCAGCCTCCCGAGTAGCTGAGACCATAGGCACATACCACCACGCTGAGCTAGTTTTTAGTAGAGACGGGGTTTCATCATGTTGGTCAGGCTGGTCTCGAACTCCTGACCTCAGGCGATCCACCTGCCTCAGCCTCCCAAAGCGCTGGGATGACAGGCATGAGCCACCCCCCTGGGGCTGGTACCTGTGGTCTGTGGCTTCTGCCTGCCCTGGTGCCCCCACATCTCTCTCATGGCCTTTCTGTTTCCTGGGTGGCTTTGTGGGGGTGTCCCATGGTCTCCCCCTGGCTTCCTGTCTCCACCTGTGCCTAATCCAGGAAACGGTCCCCAGAGATGGTGTTTTCAAACAGACCTTGGCCCTGTCCTCCTGGCCCAGCCCCTGGCTGCCCTATCACCTAGCTTGCTGCGTTGGTGGGACCTCAGCTGTCACAGGCTACCTTTCTATGACGCCTCCTCACCTTAAGTAGACTCTGAACAGATTTTAAAAGCCATTCATTCAACACATTTTTTAAATGAATAAACTTTTTTTCTGTGTAGTTTTCAGTTTACAGAAACATTGGTGGGAAAGTACAGAGAATTCCCAGATCCCGTCCCCACCATCTCCCCTGTCATTCACACGTTGCCTCCGTGTGGTGTGGTCTGTTTGTTCCGATCGATGGAACGACTCTGATACATGATTAACTAGAGGCCTTGGTTCACATCATTAGGGCTCACTCTTTGTGGCGCACATCCTGTGGGTCTTGACAAATGTGTCATGATACGTGTCTGACATTGCTGAAGTCACCTTTTCTTAAAGCTTAACATTTTGGGAGTATTCTGAACTATGTTTGGCCCAGCCTGCTGCCCGATTTTTATAAAAAAGAAAAAACAAAACAAAACAAAAAAACAAGTTAAAACGTAAGGCAGATCTTGACACTGAAGACTCGATGTGCCTGGCCATGGTGCTTCCCGGGGCCTACTGCACTGTGAACAAAATTGCCACAGTGGAGTTGTCTGTCCAGGCACACAACGTGTGTGCCATGGTTTTGGGAAACGCTGCCCATTAATAGCCCTGCAGCCCTCTGTGGGCTGCCCTCCCGGCCACACCCCGCTTCCCTGGTCTCCTCCAGGGCCAGCCATCCTGCTCGCCGACCTGGGCACCTTGCTTCTGCCAGAGCACAGGTTCATGCCCTGTCTTCAGGGCCTGGGCCACCCCCGTTTCTCATCTATGCAGGGTCCTAAGCCTTTGGGTCCCACAGAGCACGACTTCGCTCCGTGAACAGCACCAACCCAAGTCTGTTCCATGTCTCCACACCTGCCCCTTCCGCTCCATAGGCAGCTGGTGGGTGAGTGGAGTCAGGAGAGAAATGCGTGGCTTCTCCAATTCCACACTTGCTGGAGGTTGGGGAGTCTCTGCTCCAGGCCACCCCTGCCCGCCCCCCAGAGCTGTTGTCCTCATCCGCCCTCCTCCTCCTCGCCGGCCTGAGTGAGGTTCTACTCTGTGACCTAGTGCCTTCTTGTTACAGCGGAAGCCATCACCTGGATGCCTACGTGGGAAGGGACCTCGAATGTGGGACCCCAGCCCCTCTCCAGCTCGAAATCGTAAGTGGCTGGAGTGTAAAGAACACACATGTGGCCTTGCTGCTGAGGGTGGGGCCAGCTGCCCGGAGCACACCGCCAGGCGGACCTCGTGGAGGGGCTGGCGGGCACTGGCCGGGGGTCTGTGCACCGGGAGGTGGGTGCCCATCGAGTCAAGCCAAGTGCAGACCTGGGGGCTCCTGTTTTCTAAGACAGGAGCCCCCTGCCTCCTTGTGTTGTCTCTGTGGCAAAAGAATTCTATAGGCGGGCTTCAAATGTCGGACCCCAAAAGAATTTCTTCTTTTTCACTCTTCTAAATGAATGGCTCTTTCATTATTGAGTCTCCCTTTGGCTCTTGTGCCGCAGGGCAGACTAGGATGGAAGTGCCCTGTGAGCTGGGGGGCCCTTCAAAGGGCCAAGGAGAAAACGCAGGCCGAGGGACCAGCCTTCCAAATGGGCTTCAAGCTCCAATGACCTCCGCTCGCCCCCTCGAAATGTCTGGAAAACATAATGGGCAGATTTTCTGTCTTCAAAGTTTCCGGCTAAACCTCTTCAAGTTCTTTATTGTTTGGGACTGAGACACTCAGCCATGTTAATGGGTAGTTTCTTTTGTATTTGCCTTGAAAGGCCAAAATATTTTTATATTGCCACAGACAAAGCCACCTATTTAAAAATGAACTCCATGTCCGTCGTTTCCCACCAGGAGACTATGTACCATGTGTGTGTCTCTATGTATTCTGGGGTCTTGAAACAGGTTTCTCATGGGGATGGTCATTCACCACGGTCCAGAGGGGCAGAACAGGCGGCGCTTGCCTTGCCCAGGGGGCCTGGGGAACGTGGGCCCTCATCTCAGATCTGCCCCCAGTATGTTTAGGACGCGAGCCCCAGAAGGATCTGGGAGTAAACTTAACATTCACTGTGTCTCTGCTCTGCATCCGCCATTTGTGTGTGTTTCTGGACTGTGGGCTGTGTGTACCTTGGTTGGTGACTCAGTGAGAAGAAGCAGGAATGCCAAAGATACTGTGAATGTTCTGAGTTTTGTTGCTGTTGTTGTTGAGAGGTTGTTTCACTGGTATCTATTGCATTGTATAATAAATGACCAGATGAATGAATGAGTGAAGCAAGAGAGAATGAATAAACAAGTAAATAGGTAAAGAAGTAAGCAAGCCAGGATGAGAGTGTGTGTACACAAGACCATGGTTCATCCGCTTTGATGGCTAGGCAATCAATATATAAATAGAAAAAAACCAGTGAATCACTAAGTAATAGGGCAACACACAAAGCGATATCAGGTGATTATGGACTAAGGGGTATGTGTAACTCAAATATATGCCTCTGACATTTGACAATGAAAAAGAACCTAAATGAAAGAAAGAATGGATGTATGAGTAGTGAAGTGCAGAATGAGACATAGATTTTGAGGCCCGTCAAAATGAAAAGATGCAAGTTAGGGAACAAGTGATCAAAAGGGAGAAGGGAAAGGTTTTTTTTAAAAAACCAAAACAACAAAGAAAGGTTAAAAAAAAAAACAGACTAGAGGATGAGTAATGAGTAACTCTGTAAGGAGGACCATGTCAGACTATTGTAAGCTAAGCATTAGGACTGATACAAATAATATATGCTCCTGGCATAGAAAAATAAACCACAGAGAACGAGTTCAAAGAATAGCAAAGAAAGAAAGAGGACCCAGTGGGCGAAAGATGAGAGTGTACTTTTACCAAAA
Organism: Homo sapiens; assembly: GCF_000001405.40. Classification (NCBI taxonomy): domain Eukaryota; kingdom Metazoa; phylum Chordata; class Mammalia; order Primates; family Hominidae; genus Homo; species Homo sapiens. Next base: position 100,847,233 of record NC_000014.9, read on the forward strand.
GTTATCTAAGCCTGAGCACTTGAAGTCTGCACATAAATAAATAAATGACAAAAGAAAGAAAAAAAGGCCAAAAAGTCTACATTGCGTGTGTGGATGGATGAATGAGCAGTGGGAGTGCAGCGCCAGGTGACAAGATGTTGTGAGGGGTTTTGAGTCATCCAGTCCTGGGCACTGAGGTCTGTTAGATGAAAGGATATGAGAAAGGTAATATTGGTAAATAAAGAAATAGGAAACAATGTAACAAATGTTAAGTACAGAAATACATTAATGGGTGGTAAATAAAGATGTAAAAGAAGGCAATGCGATCGATGGTGGCAAAAGATCATCACAGATTAAGGGCTATGGCTGGTCCACTTCTAGAAAACCACAGGCTGTCCATTAAATAATGAACATCTAAGTGAACAAGTCAGTGAGTACCTAAATAGACAAGGATGAGGTGAATGAGAAGACATGGCCCCATGGGTCCTCCTGATGAGGGTGTTGGGGTCCCCCCTGGGCACCCCAGCTGCATGAAAATGAAGGACAGGAGGTATGGAAAGCTATGACAGAAGAGAGAAAGGAACGGTAAAAAGAAATAACAACCAAATGGATAAATGGGTAGATCCACGAGAAGAGTTAGGCTAGGACTTGTCATAAGGGCACCTGACTCCACTAATAGAGGAATAAATGCCTAATAAAAAGAGAGCAAGCAGGAAGGAAGGATGCTATGAATGCAGGAAGGAAGTAATGAGTGAGACGTGGAACCGCACGGCCAAGGATGGACGTTTGCGGGTGGCTTTTTGATGCGTACAGCCAAGCCACTCCATGGCAATGAGCTCCGAAGACAAAGTGCAAGAGAGAATGAGTGAGAGAGTGAGAGAGAGAGAAACAATAAAAAATGGGAAGAAATGTAAAAAGGAAGAAAGGAAGAGAGGTAATATATTAAGGAATAAATACATGCATGCAGATTTAAGACAGAGCCATGCTAGAACAGGAATGAAAGGCTGTGTGAACCAAGCAGACCGCTTAATTGGCACCAGTGCTGCTGGTATGGTCAATCACCTACTCAACTAAGGAACGGCTCAAAGCATACACATGGGAGGGAGGAGTGGGGCCACAGAGAGAGGGCCCATTAGTTGCAGATTACGATGTATCCAGTTAGGTGCACCTGCCTTCGAGAAGTGTAAAAATAAGTATTTACATAGAAAGAAAGACTGAATGGATGCACGGTGAATGCATGAATGATTGAACGACAGAAAAGATTTGCATTGACCGATGAGGAGGGCATTGTAGACAGGGATGAGGGTCATTGATCCTGGGTGCAGATCTCCAAAAGAATGACAGAAAGAAAGAGGGAGTGGTGGAAAGAAACAATAGGATGGGAAAAAATGAAAATAGAAAAAAGGAAGTGAAAGAGATAATAAATAATTAGATCAAATAAGTTGATGAAAGGGGACTGGTTTAGCACAAGCCATCCACATTAATTCAAACCTGTGGCTCTGAAGTTTGTTTTTTAAATGACCACAAGTGTAAGACTGAATGAAAGAATAAATGCGTGCATTCCATAGGATGCAAGAAAAGGAGTGAGGAATGGGAAAATTGGAAGAACGAGAGAGGGAGAGATGTAAGAAAAGAAAGGAAAAGTGAAGTAGGCATATGAAAGAAAAGGCACTTCTTGGACAAGCACTGAAATATAATGAGACAGTTTTACCCATTAAATATAATAAACAGTAAACGTTGAGGTTCATCAATAAAAGCACAGATACCTGAATAGAGGAGTGACCTGAATAGAATTCGTTCAGCCGAACGAATGAGAATGGATGATTTTCACTATCCTGTGCACTCAAGGCCCAAAAGAGAAAGCAAGAGAGGAGAGAATATGGAAACGTATGACAGGATGTATATAAGCAATACAAACATATTGAATGAATAAATAAAGACATAAATATGTGGGAGAGTGGACCACGCAAGGACAAAAAGAGGAGAGAAGGCAGCAAGAATTATGACTAATTCAAAACTGGGTTCCTGAGATAGTTAAATAAATCCTGCACCAAATCCCCAGGGGGAGAAATTAACAAACAAAAGACAGCCCCACACGGACCAGTGTGCAGAAGGCTCCAGGAACCGCAGATTATGGTTAATCCAATTCTGTGCACCTGAGGTCCATAAATAAAAGAATAAGTATTGAAATGAAAGAATGACAGAAAGAATGAATGGACACATGAACGACTGAATTAGAAATGGAAATGCCTGGCACAGCCAGGAAGGAGCTGCCCATGGGATTGTCATTCATCTCACTCTGGGCACCTGAGGTCCATAAGCGTGAAAAGAGGCAGGAAGAGAAGTGTCAGGGAGTCAAAGATAGAGCTAAGGAAAGGCAAAAATGAAACTAAATGAAAGCGAAAGGGAAAATAAAGAAAAACCAATAAAAAAGAGAACGAATACGTGGGTGTATCTGTAAGAGTAGGATCTGTTAGGATTAGTCATAAGACTGTCAGTAATCCTGAAGATGGATGAGATAATCCAGGCCCAGGTTCCCAGGGGGAGGGAAAATGGAGAAAATATAAAAAGATGTGAAAAAGGAAAAAGGAAAGGTAATAAACAAACAACCAAAGTGATAAATGGATAGTTAAGGGAGGTTGTCTGAACAGGGATTATAATTAGTTTACATACATACTCCTTAAACAGATAAATACATTACACCTTTCAAAGAATAAATGAAAAATAGAGAGACATACCTGGCTCCAAAACAAGGCTGTATCTTCTGCCACTGTAATAAAATAGATGCAATTGAGGTTCATAAATAAAAGAATAAATACTTAAACGTGAAAGGTGACTAAATGCGGGGAAGAAAGATTGCAAATAAATACATGGGCCAAAGATGTTTGGTTTGCCCATGGAGTTTTAATTAAAAAAATTAATAAGGAAAACAAATACCCAAAATAAGGAAGACTGACAAATGAGTGAGTGGATGAGAGAGTGAATGGTGCTTGACGTAGGAGCAGTAGTGCTTTAGGGACCAGCATGAAGGTGGTGACCGGGAGCCCTGATTCATGGGATTCTGTCCACCTGACTTTATAAGAACCAAGAATGGCTGGGAATGGTGGCTCACGCCTGTAATCCCAGCACTTTGGGAGGCCGAGGTGGGCGGATCATGAGGTCAGGAGTTTGAGACCAGCCAGTTTGAGATCAGCCTGGCCAACATGGTGAAATTCCATCTCTACTAAAAAAATACAAAAATTATGGGCGTGGTGGCACCTGTCTGTAATCCTAGCTACTCGGGAGGCTGAGAGAGGAGAATTGCTTGAACCCGGGAGGTGGAGGTTGTAGTGAGCCAAGATTGCACCACTGCACTCCAGCCTGGGCTACAGAGCAAGACACTATCTTAGATCAAAAAAGAAAAAAAAAAAAAGAAGGAGAAAGAACCAGAGAAACATAAGGAAGAGTGAGAGGAAGAAAGAAAGATGCAATTTGGGAAGAAATGAAAAAGAAATGAATAAAGAATAAAATAATGTAACGGTCAATAAATAGGACTTGTGAATGGAGGCCTTTAGGCCAAAGGCTATGATTAATTTCAAGCTATGTTACTGAAGTCCATAAACAAAGGACTCAGATCTAAATGGATGAACGAATGACTGGAAGAAAGGGTGGTAGGAAGGTAGGAAGAAAGGAAGGAGGGAAAAAGGGAAGAGAGGAAGGAACCTTCTTTCCAGTCCTGTGTTCTAGACAGTGGAATGAAGTGGTCCCCAGGGAGGGTGGCTGTAGGCATGTCATGTGCTTGTCACATGCACTTGCCCTGGCAGGGAGGAGCTGGCTCAGGAAGACCCTGGTCTTGGGGTGCTGTTGCCCTATCTTGGCTGTGTGGGCCATTTCACTGCATCTGTCTCTTCCTCAGTTTCCCCATCTGTAAACCTGGAGTGGCACCAGCTGCCTACTAGAGTTGATCTTATGTGTCTCTGTTGATGGTACCCCATCTATGGCCTGGATAGGCAGGAAGGGCTTGGACCCTGAGCCCCGCAGAAGGTTGCATGAACGAGTGGTGTGAAGCCTGTTGGGTAGCTTGGCCACTCCCGCGGCATGGGTCACCTGCACAGGAGGTTTTGCCCACCAGGGGGCAGCAGAGGGTCAGGGAGCAATAGGCCCTGGGTGGAGCATGGGCCCCGCCTGCTGTGTGCCACCCTGGGTGTGGCACCTACTCACATCCAGGGGTTGGTGCAGGGAAAGGCCAGAAGGTGGCCAGGCGCACCTGAGAAGGGGGACCCAGAAGCCCCGGGACCCAGGAGCCCTGGGCAAGCCACCAGAAACCTTGTTCTTGCAACTCTCTGCAGTGTGCCCAGGCCACCCTCTGGCCTGGTCTTCCATGGGGCAGGGCGCCCACCCTTCTCAACTCAGGTTTCCCTGGGCAGCAGGTGCACCTCAGCACCCCTGGGGTTGCAGAAGTGGTCCGGGGACCCTGGCTTCCTTGACATGCCATCCCCAGAGCCTGGTTCAAGGCCTCTCTGTCTTCTCGGCTGTTTCACGACGTGTTTTGTAACTTGGCGGGATTGCGTTTCGCTGTGTCGAGGTTGTCTCTTCTCTGACTCGCCCTCCGGGGGACTGCCGGGGTAAATCTGGAGAGTTGCTCGTGCTGACAGTCCTCCCCCAGGGCCTCCCCGGTTCTGTTGAGTCTCCTTTCTCTGTAGTGGAGGAAATGTGTGTAGTTTTGTGTTGTGTGCCTGTGTTTGTCTGTAAAAGCAAGGACCAAAGTCTCCCTTGTTGACCTCTCAATTCCTATTTGGGACATATAAAAACACTGGATTCTTAACAAGCGCCCGGAGCAGTAGGAGCACAGCTTGGATGGACTCAGGACTTGTGGCAGGGAGCACGTGGGAGGCAGGGGAGTGGGGTGGGGCCAGGCCATCTGGAGTGGGAGGCGTCATGCTCAGAGTGACTCTGTAGACGCTGGGTGGGATGGGGAGTGCGGGCGCAGGCATGGATGGGGCTGTTAGCTAGTGTGATGCTTGAGGTCTGAGCTGATGGCAGCAAAGTGGGGTGCTCAGGAATCAAAGCTATGGGGTTATAGACAGGATATGAAGGAGGGAGGGAGGCAAGAAGAAGGGGGTGGTTCCCACGCTTCTAGCTCCGGCCGAGTGGATGGCAACAGCATTTGGAAGGCGGAGGACATGGAATTCATGTGTCAGGAGCCACCTTCCGAGCCTCCAGTACCACGTGTCAGGGCCACATGAGCTGGGCCTCGTGGGCCTGATGTGGTGCTGGGGCCTCAGGGGTCTGCTCTTCTTCTCTTTCAGAATCTGGGGCTCCAGGCTATGCCTTGGCTGGACTGAGGTCTGGGGGTGCACTTATTATCCCTGGGGACACCTGCTGAAGCTTCTCCCTGACAAGCTGTGTCACTGTTGGATGAGGATGGGGCGGGAGGGGTTCAGGGCAGAAGAAGACCGGGAGGGTCTTTCAAAAGAACTCATGTACGGCTGTTAAAAAAAGTCAGCAGAGGCTCAGGAAGACTTAAAGTGTGCAGAAGGCGGGGAAGGGAGGGCCCATTGCATGCACCAAGAGGAAATTGGAAGGAACAAGCGACGTTGGCTGCTAGGAGAGCCTGCTCCCAACATCTAGGGGCTGTCCTGACGGGTCACAGTGGGTCGAACTGAGCCAATGAGAGCAGCTCTGGGGAGACCCACTGGTGCCCTGGAGGCTGGGTGGGTTTGGGTTGGATGAATTCTGTGTGTCCTTTTGGAAATGTGGAGGCCATGAGGGGGGATCAGGGCTCTTAGGGTTTTGACCCTTAAGAGTTTTGTATCTGTAATTCAAAGGTTCTTTAGTTCTGGGATGCTGAGATTCGGGATAGGGTTCCTAATGGCACAAAAGCCAGAGATAAAACATCCTTCACGTGCTCCCTACCCGGTTCTTTCTGTACCAGACCCACAAGGTCCGAGTTGGGATCCTAGTGCTCCTGTCTGGTCAGGGCCTATCTTTATGTGTTCGTTAAACTTTTAACAATGAGAATTAATTCTGTCTCTTGACATTGTCATTTGCATGCTCCCCACACACAAATCCTTTCCTGGTGACACCAGGAGCTACAACTCTCCTTGGCCTCCTCTTGTGACTCCCAACTCCCTCCTTGGGAAGCTTGGCCTCAGGACCTCTGGGATAGACAGGCCACGAATCCTGCTGTGTCCCGTTGTGTTCCTAATATAAATGGTGTGGATGGCACTTGACCTAGAGCAGTGGGAAATGCATGCACCACTCAACATTCTGACATGTCACCCATTTTACATTCTTACAGGCATACTTTTTTTAAAAAAAGAGTGTCTATTCTTTAATGAGCATCCCTTCTTTAAAAAAACCTAATTGCCATTATTCACCACATACACTTTTTTTTTTTTGTATCCTGCCTCTTCTATTTAATTTTCTGTCATCAACATTTTCCCTTGTTCCATGAATCTTCATAACCTCACTTGCTGCGTTGTGCCTTGTTGAGTGGCTATGGCATCATTCACAGAACCATTCTGTTATTCTTATGTATAACCACCTTTTAAAAATATTATGAATAATGCCACAACTAACTGCTTAAAACACCCTTTTTTTCATTCTTAAGAATTATGTTCTTCCACCCAGAAATTATCATTGCTTCACTACAGATCAGTTTCCCCTGCTAGACTGTGAGCCCCATAAGGGCAAGGAGCTTATTGAATTGGCCTTTGTATCTCTGATGCCCAACATGTTGTAGACTATAAATAAATGATGAATGAGTGGATGGAAGAATGGAGGAAGGAGCGAGTGAGTGAGTGTTTGGCTGATGGATAAGAGGGTGGAAGGATAGGCGGAAGGATGGATTGGTGAATGAATGAATGAATTTCCTTTGGTTAAGTCTCTTGAAAGAAAGGCTATGGATCTTTGTATGGATGTTGAATAATTTCAGTAAGCTTACAGCATTTTACAATGTTCAGCAATGTATGACCACTTAATTAAGATATGGCTAGTTTGTCTCTGTTATAAAGTACTTTTGCATTACTTTAACTTGCATTGCTTTAATTACTAATGATGGGTGAACACTTTGACCTATGTTTGTTAACAAATTGTATTTTATCTTCTGTGAACTGTTTGTCCAAGTCCTTTGGGTCATGGCTTTCTGAAGAGACTGGTCCCAGATGTCCTTGGGATGTAGGGAGCCCATAGCTCACTGGAGGCATTCAAGGAACCAGCCAGGCAGCCCTCAGAGAAAGTAGTGTTTAGGAGATTCTCATGGTGTGGGGTTGGCCTAGGTGGCCTTTCAGGTCTGTTTGATGTTAGGATTTGCTTCTCCCTGGGAAGTGGGTGATGGGGAAAAAGACACCTTCCATTGGCAGGTGTAGACACTGCAGGCTGGACCTCCTGGGTGTGCTTGTGGACTCCGATCTTGCCCTTGATAAAACCCCTGTGGGACAGGAATAGCTCTTTGAACCTCCAAGGTCCAGACAGCCACATCCTAGCACCCTGTACAATCAGTTAGTGGCCTTCCCACCAGCGCAGTCACTCATTCCTATTAGATCCCGATGAAGCCAGGCCCTGGGGTTTCCATTTTCCCACCTCTTAGGGGAATTGGGTTCCCCGCGTCCTGTGATATGTCAGCAAATGTCCTCAGCCCTGGCCTGCACATGTGGCCTCAGTGGTGGTCTTTGGGGTTTAACTGACGAATGGAACATTTTGGATCAGGACTGATGGGAGAATCTCCTTTCATTTTTCTTCACCTGGGGCAATTACATTCTAAGGAGCGGAATAAAGGGCATGTTCTGCCCAAAGCATCAGGGCTCACAGGTCAGTCACAGCCATTTAGGGAGGGCATGTCACCCAAGGAGGGCTCGCCCTTCTTTCCAGAGCATCCTCCGCTCTCAGCAGAGCTGCTTCTGCCCACCCATCCCTCTACTATAGCACTGAGCACTGTTTGCCCGTGTCAGAATCCCTCACCCACATGTTTAGCTTGGTATCCGAGTTTGGGAGGCCGGCAATGACTTTCAACATGAATTGCTCCATCTACCCATCCATGCATTTGGCCTACTTATCTTGACCCCGTGCTTTTGGCCTTTTCTTCTCCTGAAAGCAAACCCTTTCATTTTGGGTGGGCTGTGTAGCGCCATGGGCTGTGGTTATGAAGCAAACACCCTTTCTTGTAGCTGCCTCCTCCGGGGTTACTGCCCTGAGCACGTCCCAGCTGGATCTCGTCTGCCACTGTCACCCATAGCTTCTTCCCCATGGTGCTTTCCATGTGTCACACACCACGACTGTGACCCAGGGTCGGGGTCAAGAGTAGCCTGGGGCCAAGCCCTCCCACCCATGAGCGGAGAAGTCCTCCCCAGGCCTCACCTTGCCTGGCGCATGGTCCCTCCCATGAGCTTTGCTTTCAGCCTTTCAGCTTCCTCCACAGGGTGGCAGTGGTTGTAACTCATCCATTCATCCCTTCATCCCTTCATTCATTCACTCACAGCCAACAGACGTTTTTAAAAAATTAGCCAGTGCTATACTAGAGCTGGCTCCCAAGGACCCGCTGCCGCATTGCCTTTTGAAACAAAACAATGAACACGTTGGTAAAGGGGCCGTGCTTGTGTGTCGGTGACAAGGCGAGATCCCTGAGTCAGGTCAGGCTTGTAGATTCGAGTTCTGTTGCGAGTTTGATTGCCCCTCTGACTTTGTCCCCTGTACAACTAGGTTGATTAGGAATCAGCCAACTGTGTTCCCTGGGTGCTCAGAAATCACAGCCCATATCCTCGAGAGGCCAAAATGAGAGCCAGGGGGTTCCAAGATGAGTGGCTGCTTCTGGCCGGGAGCAGGTTTTCAAGTCATTAGAACACTCTGGCCTTTCCTGGAGGTGATCTTGGAGCCATTCCTGCCCCTTTCAAGAGGAGTTAATGCCCAGCTCTGTTTAGAGAAAATTGGGGGAGATGATTGCTCATGTGGGTGATAAGAATCACCTCCCGTGCAGGGGTCTGCATAGAACACTCCATAGGCAAACCTGGGTGTCCAAGGCACGTGGCATTTTGCAAACTCTGGGTGCAGCTCCGAGCTGTCCTGCAGGTCCCAGACCAGGTGAGAACTCCCTGAGTTCCTGCTGCCTGGGTCGGGGGTGAGGCATAGGTCTTGGGGGTTCAACCTGGAATTCTGAATGTCATTCATTGCATTGGAGAGGAAGGAGAGTAGGCAAAGCCAAGACCCTGGAACTGGACAAACTCGTGTGGTTTAAAGTCACTGTGAGAGCTGGAGTTGAGTCTGCCTACGGGGGAGGACTGCGGCACCTACCTCGCAGGGCTGTTGTGAGGAGCAATGTAACCGTGATTTTGAACTGTGATTCTGGAAGGGCGGTGTGCGTGTCCCCGGGGGTGTGCCAGGGGAGTGAGGAGAAAAGGCCAGGGAGACAGCCTCACTCAGGCAGCTGAGTGGGAGAGCATTTATCTCTAAACCTGGAGGGGTATATGGTGGGACAGGAGGAATTTGGGCAGGAACTTTCATGCTAGGGGTTTGGGGGACTCGCTGGACAATGCCCCTGGACCCCCCGGGGGTACGCGTTCACGCTCACCTCTGAGAGGCTGGAAACGCCTGGCTGTGCTTTCTGAATGCTGTGTGCTTCCTGCCTCTGTGCCTGGCCTGTGTGCAGCACCTACTTGTGTCCGCCTTCAAAAGGCCCTTCTGGGTGGCGTCCTTTTCCCCAAAATATTAGGCACCAGCCATCAAAGATACTGCATTGTTGCCTCCCCCACCCCTCCCCCCAACTGACAACATTTGGGCTCAAATGCAGCAGGCTGGGTGCCCAACACAGTGCCTGGCGAGTGGTAGCGCTTACGTTTCTTTTCTGTTGAATGGATGGATAGCTAATGAAATTGTAACCAATGACAAGCCTTGATGTTTATAACCTTTACTAAGAGATTATTATTTTGCTCTTCATGGACCTGTTAACAACCACCATATTGTATCTTACGGACGTTTGTATGCCACGTTTGAAGAGCAGGAGCCTTGTTTCGGCGTCATGTTGATGGAACTTGAGCTGTCTGATGCGAATCTGTGTTTTATGTTAGAAAGCGCGTAGCCTTAGGATCTGGCAGACCCAGGGGCCACTTAATTAACCCTTTGCCTCTTTGACCCTCAATCTCCTTTTCTCTAAGCCATAGGTCACCTGAAAGCCTACCTCACAGGGCTGTTGTGAGGGCCGAGGGTGGGTGTGTTTCAACAGTGTGCAGATGCTGGCTTTCCCTGGGAATGGGCATATGTTGGGATTTGTCTTGAAAGCATGAGTGATGGCTTTACTAGTCCTAAGTGAATAAAAAGTCAGCCCTGACCTTACGCTGGGATTGCATTTCCCACAGTCAGTGGCATGTGCAGACCACTGGCAGAGCAGCCTGCAGGTGCTTAGCGATGTGGGCCCAGAGTAAATATTTGTTTGATTGATGAGTGATGGCTTTTTCCTTCCTCAGAGTTTGCCCTGCCCCCCATTCCAACGTGGGCTGCTGCTTCTCCCCAGCGGGTTGTAGCTGGCAGGGCCGTTGTGCTTTGGGGTTTGCTGTACCTGTCGCTGCCGTGAGGGGACGATCTGTCTGCCCGGAGGGGTTTCTGCAAACATTCATGTATGCCCCTGCTTTCGTTTGTTAGGGAGAAGGAGTGGGGTGACCTAGAGAGAGGATGAGGAAGGGGTTCTGGGTGGCATCCTTGGGGTACCAACCCTGCTTCCATCCTGCGCTCTGAATTTCCTCACAGCCCTTTTCTGTCTCTGGTAGAAGGTGCAGAAGGTAGGCTTTGCCACCTTCCCTGGGCCTGGCACCAAGCTCGGGGGTCTTGTACACACTTTCCCTTCTCTAACTGGGGTGTGGGCCCATTTCCTAGATGAGCTTGCTGAGAATCAGGACAGCTGGTATCAGAGCCAGGACTTCCCAGTCTTGCACAAACAACCTGTGCATTTTTGAGTCCACCAAATAAGGCCTCCTGCCTGGTCCGGCTCACCCCTGCCAGCCCCCAGCAAATGCAGCCTGGTGCGTCCCCACCCCTGCCAAGAGCCCAGGAGTGCTCTGGCAGAGAAGTGCAGGGATGAGGAAGGAGGCTGTGCCCTCCAGGGGACTCAGCTGCGTTAGAGGAGGTGCTGCTGCAGTGGCAGGGGTCTCCAGACATCCCACGCAGGGGTCCTTTCAGATCAGGCATCTCTTCACCAGACCACCGTATTCCTTTTTCAGCCCTCGTCTCTTGCACGTGGGGGTGCAGTGTTTGGCTCTCACATCCCCACATTCCAGCTGGTGGGGGTTTGAGCTGGGTGTTCCTTCTGCTCCCCACTCCCCACTCACGGCCCCCACCCCACGCAAGCCTCCCTTGCCCCCACTCTTTGTCTCCAGCTTTCACAGCCTTGGCGGGCAGGCTGCTGCGCCTGTTGCTGCCCCGGCTCTCTTCCACCCGCCTCTTCTTTCTCAGCCTGAGCTTTACCGTGAGGTCTGGGCGCCACACCTTGGCCCCTGCCATGCCTGCTCCCAGAAGCACCCACGTGGGTCCCCTGATTCTCTCCTCCCCTGGGCTTTGCTAAGGAGCCCTTTCATTGTGGCCTTTGGTGTCTGCCTCATGCCCATCCCCTGTTCTTGAGAACTTGGAAGCAGAGGGGGCCCCTCCTATTGCTCCCAAGAGGCTCCACAGTAGGGAGCCCCTCCCAGGAGATTCTGAGTCTGTGTTTAGGTGTCGATTCCTGGGTGGGCCTTGGGGTCCCCTCAGGCCAGGCCTGTGTGTGACCTAAGGCTGGGGGGCTCTGTCAGGCACCTAGTGTCCCTTGGAGGTGGGCGGGGCTGGGTCCTGGTCTCCTGAGGACGGGTGGGGAGACAGGCTCAGGGAGATTTCCACGAAGCTGCCCTTGAACCCCTCCTCTGAGGCCCACACTGCCCTGGCCCTTTACACCCTGCCTCCTGCACTAGTAGGCACATAATAGATGCTCGCCACCTGTGGAGGGCAGGGTTTAAATGGCTGGAAAGAGCTGAGTGGGCTGTTTGGCTAGCGTACGCGCATTTGTTTAAAAGGAAAGGGTGTGTTTCTTGGCAAAGACTCTTCGGAGGAAACGCTGAACTGGGGATGGGTCTCTACCTGTTCTGGGGCCTCACTGCCCTTCCTGCCGGGGACAGGCAGTCACTGGTGGGTTTCCCCCCAGTGGAAACACAATATTTTGGAAATATTTGTATCTAGGATAAAACTTCATCTGGACCAACATGTCTTTGTTGGTGTTGTGGCCCAGGTGATTTTGAGAATGTAGAATACATTTGGCAATTTCCAAACGGAGTGATGACCTGCTCCTCCGCCCCCCATGCCCTCCCTGAGGCTGGAGGCTTCAGAAGCCCCTGCCTTGGGAGGAGGCTGTTCTACCTGAGAAGTCTTTGTCCCCACCGTTGGTGACAATCAGCATTGACCTGTGAGGCACCTGCCAGGTTCGGGACGCAGCTTTAGACATCCAGAAAACCGGGGGTGGAGGGGTGGGGTGGGGGCTTAAGACCCCAGAGCTTGATTCCTTTTAACTGTCTCATCCCCAAAGAATGGTACATGGGTACCAGGTAGGTTACTTGAATCACCCTGAGCCTCGATTTTCCCACCCGTTAGAAACAGGGTAATTCATGACAGTGTCCGCTTGGGAGACGGCTGTGACCCCTGAGAATTCTCGCTGCATGCCGTGGGCTGGCTCGTGAGACTCAAGGTCTGGGTTCGAGGCCCCCGCAACCCCTTCTGACTGTGTGGCCTGGGCGAGTTTGTTGTTTGTAACCTGGAAAGCGTCACACCTGCCTGGCACGGTTATTGTGGGCTTCAATGAGATTGTTTGTGTGAAATAAACGCTTTGTGACTGGCACACAGGCGCTCTCATCCCGGCTCTCCTGGTGGGCCCGGACCGCTGGGTGCTGGCTGCGGAGGCCCTGTGCTCCCTGGAACTGTCTGCGCTGGTCCCAGGGACTCTTGGGCAGAGTGGAGGGCAAGGGGGAAAGCACCAGCCTGCTCTGGGGAGACAGTGGCAGAGGGAAGTGTTTGCTTTTAAATACACTCAGCAGGTTCAGACAGGAGAGGATCCGAGGGGAAATGTTTAGAGCCCTCAGGAGGAGGAAGAGACCGAGTTTTAGGAAAAACATCAAAGCTGGATAGGTTGGGCAGAAGAGCTGGGGATAGCATTTAGAGAGGCTGAGAGTCCTGGGTTCTGGGTTATCAAGGTGAGAGAAACCAGAGGTTGCCAGTTGTAGGTGGGCGTCAGGACTAGAGTGATGCTTCCAGAAGTTTCTGCAAGTGGGCCGAGTCTAAGGTAGGGCAGGGTACGCCAGAAGTTGAGGGGCACTAGGTAGACAGGCCGAGCTGGTGGCTGGGTGCTCCCCTCACCCTCCATGCTGCTAGGAGCCCGTGAGCAGGGACTTGCTCTCCTCTCCCTCCCTCCTGGGGCCTGCCTGTCTGTCTGTGAACTCTTGTCGGCCAGCGAGGCCGGGAGCAGGTGGCCTTCATCTGCAACTGTGTCTCTCTCAGCCTCCACAGCCACGGGGACACCCTGCACCTATTCCCACGGGACAGGCTGGACCCAGAGACTCTGGACCCGGGGCCTCCCCTTGAGTAGAGACCCGCCCTCTGACTGATGGACGCCGCTGACCTGGGGTCAGACCCGTGGGCTGGACCCCTGCCCACCCCGCAGGAACCCTGAGGCCTAGGGGAGCTGTTGAGCCTTCAGTGTCTGCATGTGGGAAGTGGGCTCCTTCACCTACCTCACAGGGCTGTTGTGAGGGGCGCTGTGATGCGGTTCCAAAGCACAGGGCTTGGCGCACCCCACTGTGCTCTCAATAAATGTGTTTCCTGTCTTAACAAAAACTGATGGATGTGCTACTAATATAAGGAGGGGCGAGTGTTGGGCATCCTGTCTCGCTGGGTAGTGTGATGGGTGGGAGGGCGGGGGCCGACTTGAACCCCACACACCTGCCAGCACCCTACCCTGCCCACTGGGCTCTCAAAGGGGAGGGTGGCTCTTGGAGGTCCGGAGGTTGACACGTGCTTGGATGAACTAACATCTCTCTGGTCCCCTCCTTCTACTGATCGTGGGATGCCAGGCTTCTTTCCAGAAGGGACTGTACAGGAGGAGGTGGTGGTGGAGAGGGGTTCTGAGTTGAGCTCACTGCGTGAGTTCCTGGAGCCCCAGAGAGGAAGCTCCCCTGGGGCTCTGAGTCTTCCTCCTCCTCTTCTCACATTCCCCAGGGCTGGGCTGAGTGGTCATCATGCTTGAACTGATGTTGAGCGATGGCCAAGATGGCCCAGCCAGGCTGTGGCTAAACTCATTCCTCAAAATGGCTCCTGAGCAAGGCTCTGTGTGTAGGCTCCTGAGCAGGGCTGCAAAGGTGGAGCCTCAGACCCATCCCTGCCCGCGGCAGCAATGCCGGCTGAGCTGGGGAGGTGAGCCTTGCACCCCTCAGAGTGGCTTTCTGTGAGCAGCTTGTGGCTGGGCTGAGCGGGGGCACTGAGGGGCAAGGGGCCAAAGGGCACTAGACCCAAGTCAAGACGGATCCTGAGTCTGCACACCTGGCTTTGCTGCAGCGGATCATAAGGACATGCTCCCTATGGGGAAGGAGAGACCGACTGCTTTTGCTGCCACAGCCACCACGGCCATCACAGCTACCACGGCCGCCACTGCCACTGCCACTACCACCACCATCACAACCATGGCCGCCACTGCCACTGCCACCTCCTCCCTCTTCTCCTTGCTCTCCTCCTCCTCCTCTTCTTCCTCCTCTTCCTCCCTCTTTTCCTTCCGTCTCCTCCTCCCTCCTCTTCCTCCTCCTCTTCCTCCTCCTCTTCCTCCCACCTTCTCTTCTTCCTCTTCCTCCTCCTCCTTCTTCCTCCTCTTCCTTCCTCTTCTTCTTTCTCCTTCCTCCTTCTCCCTCCCCCTCTTTCTCCCTCTTCGCCTTCCTTTCCTGCCTTCTTCTCCTCTTCCTTTTCCTCCTTCCTTTTTCCTTTCCTTCTCCCTCCTCCTCCTCTTTCTCCCTCTTCTTCCTTTTTGTCCTCCTCCTTCCTTCCTTTCATTTGTTTCTCCCTCCTCCCCCTCCCCCTCTCTCTTTTTCTTCTCCTTCTTTCTCCTCCTCCTCCTGCTTCTCCTCCTCCTCTCCCTCACAGGGAGGTACCTCAAGAGAACTGCAGGCAAGTCCAGCCGTAAGTGCACAGGACTGAGCATGGCCCCTTTGCTGAGAGAAACAACCGCCTTGGGGATCATGGCCATGACCTGGCAAAGGAGACCTGACCCCAGCCCCTGATGGAGATGGTGACATGGATGGCGCTGAGTCAGCAGTGAGAAGAGGAGGAGATGGCCTTCAGAGTGCACCCCACCTAGATGAGTCAGTCTGTGCTCAGCCAAGACCAGGCTGAGAGTCCAGGAGAGTCCTGTGTGGTGAGCAGAGTATCAGCCTTTGATGAAGCTCAGGTGTCCAGAGCAAGCCACCCACTGATGTTCCAGAGCCAAGACCCCAGCTCCAGCCTCTGTTGAACCTTGGGCATTCAGAATGAGCCACCCAACTTTTGACGTCCCAGAGCTAAGACTCAGTTCCAGCCTCCAATGAAACCCAGATGTTCAGAAAGAGGGACCTCCTTGATGTTCTAGAGCCAGGACTCCAGATCTAGCATCAGGTGATGCTCAGAGGTCTAGAAAGAGGAACCTGCTTAATGTTCTAGAGCCAAGACTCCAGATCCAGCATCTGATGCTCAGATATTCAGAAACAGGGACCTCCTTGATATTCTAGAGCCGGGACTCCAGATCCAGTGTCTGATGCTCAGATATCCAGAAAGAGGGACCTCCTTGATTTTCTAGAGCCAGGACTCCAGATCCAGCATCCGATGATGCTGAGATGTCCAGAAAGAGAGACCTTGATGTTCTAGAGCCAGGATTCCAGATCCAGTGTCTGAAGAAGCTCAGAGGTCCAGAAAGAGGGACCTCCTTGATGTTCTAGAGCCAGGACTCCAGTTCCAGCCTCCAGTGAAGCTCAGATGTCCAGAAAGAGGGACTACCTTGATGTTTTAGAGCCAGGACTCCAGCTCCAGCCTCCGATAAAGCTCGGATGTTCAGAATGAAGGACGTCCTTGATGTTCTAGAGCCAAGACCCAGCTGTAGCACTTAACAAAGCTCAAGTGTCCAGAAAGAAGTGCCTCTTTGATGTTCCAAAGCCAAGATAACACCTCTATCATTTGATAAAGATCAAGTGTACAGGAAGAGGGACCTCCTTGATGTCCCTCTTCAGCCAGGACTTCAGCTCTAGCTTTCGAAGAAGCGCAGATGTCCAGAAAGAGGGACCTCTTTGATGTTCTAGGGCTGGGACCCAGTTCCAACATCTGACAAAGCCCAGATTTCCAGAAAGAGGGGTCTCCTTGATGTTCCAGAGCTGAGGGACCTCCGTGATGTTCCAAAGCTAGGACTTTAGCTTTAGTTTTTGATGAAGCTCAGATGTGCAGAAAGAGGGACTTCCTTGATGTTCTAGGGCTGGGACTCAGCTCCAACCTCTGACAAAGCTCAGATGTCCAAAAAGAAGAGTTTCCTTGATGTTCTCGAACCCGGACTCTAGCCCTAGCCTCTAATGAAGCTCAGATGTCCAGAAAGAAGGACTTTCTTGAAATTCTAGAGCCAGAACTCCAGCTCCAGCCTCTGATGAAGCTCAGATATTCAGAAAGGGGGACTTCCTTTATGTTCCAGAGCCAAGACCCAGCTCCAACCTCTGACAAAGCCCAGATGTCCAGAAAGAGGGACCCCCTTGATGTTCTAGAGCTGGAACCCAGATCTAGCCTCTGAGGAAACCCAGGTGTCCAGAACTGGTGAGAAAACCTCAAGCCTCTGGGCTTTCCTGGGCAGGGATAGGTGTGGCCAAGTTTGTCTTGAGACTGGAGAGGGCAGACAACACTCTTCTGTGCAATGGTGGCCTGCAACATTTCTCAATAGTGACACTGGCATAAAGAGGGGTCCCAGTTGCAGGAGAGATGTGGAGAGGGGACTCCTTGTGGGAGGAAGCGTATTAGGAAGAACATGGCAGCAGAAATCATGGATTGCAGATGGGATGCCTTCGATGAAGCTTGCCTGAGGGCGTGTAACACCGCAGCAAAGCGCTGTTTTATGCCTTTTAGTTTTGCTGGACTCATGGCTGGCCACACATCAGCCTTGACCCACAGGGCTGCCAAATTGGCTGGACCCCGGAATGTAACCCAAGCTAGTTTCTGCGGCTTAGCTCCTCTCCCAGTGGAAGGTGCTAAACCCCCACTTGCCAGCCCAGTGTAAAGCTGCAACCTTGGGGCGAGTCAGATCTGGTTGCCTCCTTCTAGCAATGGAAGTTCATCTAGGTTAGGACTGGGGCAGGGCCAGGCTATCGCAATGGGTGTGAAGACAGCATGAACGGCAAAGGAGGCCCCCAAATACGTGGGGATATGGATGCTAATGTCTCAGGTGAAGCTGCATTTGGGGCTGCAGCCCTGCCCTGAGCACCTTGACTCTACCACTTGCCCTCCAGGAGCTCCATTGACACCAGACTGTCCATTAAGCTGGAGAGAGATGGCAAGTAAAGAAATAGGCCAGGAATACTGACTTGCTCAGAAGCCATAAGAGCATTACAGGTAGATAGAATCCAAGGGACGAAAAATGTAGACTTGGGGAGGAGAGAGCGCTGAATGCTATTTGGGATGTTTGAGCTCTGCAATATCCAGAATGGGAGAGAATCTTATCTCACCAGTTTTGCCATTCAGACACAGCTATGAGAATGGATCCTAGAGGACGACTTACTTCATTCAGCTGGAGTCTGGAGGAAAAGGGAGCAGCTAACAAGCATTCTTGAAAAACACGCCCTAATGATGCCACATCATTCTGGTGATATTTCCTAGAAACTCATTAGAACTTGGAACTGTGCAAACAAGAACTTCTTTGATGAGTAACTGGAACTCGAGAGTTGGGATTGCATGAAGGAGAAATGTCATCTTAGAGGACTGCCTCCCCGCTCCCCACCCTCATTTGGCCAAGTTATTTTAGGAAATTTCCAAGAACAAGCAATTAGAATCACTCATTGCTGATTTCCTAGAAGTCTCCACAACAGATTCTGAAGCCAAATGCAAAATGGGTGAGCCCAGCTTGTGAGGCCTGTGAAGAAAATGTGAATCCTACTCTATAAAGTCGTTGGCCTCAGGGAGCAAGACTCAGAAGTAGAGCTGCGTTAGGGAAAATGAGGACAGAACAGAAGGTCTAGATGGCCAGGCAGAGCCCCGTGGCAAAGACGAGCCTTGAGATGACTGTGGGCCCTCCCCTGCCGGCAGCCACAGCCTGTCTCAGACTCACTCCTCAGAGCCTGTTTCTCCATCACTCCCTTTGTCCTTCTGCCCATCAGAGGGATGTTCTCCAGGCTTCTGTGTTGCTATCTGGCTTCCGTGGGCCATGGCTTGAGCCAGGCTGTGGGCTCTGGGTGACTGTCCCTGAGGTATGGTGAGCTTCCTGAGTGGTGGCCACTTGGCAAAGTGAGTCCATCGCAGGGAAGTGGGCAATTACCGGGGAGAGGAAAATCATGGCTTTCTTGCTTCCCAAGAGGGGCTGAACTGGGCTCCCAATTTCCCTGACACTCCCAGCTCAGCTTGTAGAGGAATCAGGGAATGGAGATGCCTTGGGCTGCAATTTTCTTTGAGATGACTGTAATTTTCCCCTCTTATCCTCACCGGTAGCTGCTGTGGGACAGAGGCAGGCGGGGCTCTGAAAGCTTTTCCTCAAGCTCCCCTTCAGTGCAGAGCTGTTTTCACGTGCCCACCAGCCAGCAGGAGGTTATGCTTCTGATTGTGACCCCCTACTTCTCAGAAGACACTTCGGACTCCGCCCCCGCCTCCATACCCAACAATGCCGTGCGGCATTTCGTGTGACTGGAATGGAAATCCAACCTGGCCCTCGAGGGCAGTGAAGCCAGTCCGAATCGCAGCAGATGATGCCCTCTGCAGAGGCCGGGCTCATGAACGGCCTGGGTGGGTGGAGGTGGGTTGACAGGATGGGGTGGGCAGGGCAGGGGAGTGCAGGACAGTGACCAGCTGGTCCAGAGAGTCCTGCCAAATTCAATCCAGATATTACTGGATTAATCAGCAAAGGAGGGGGAGCCCCGCCCCCACCCCATGGAGACACTGATGAGCACCATGGGATAGCTGTGGCTTCCCAGGCAGCCCACGGACCTACAGCTGCCTATCAGCAGCCAGGGCCTTCTGGGCAGAGCGCCTCGGACCCCCAATTGCCCTGGGAGGGTGGGTTTTTGGTGTCAGCTTAGTTCAGCTCAGCTGGCTTTTATAGAGCATGCACTGGCTGGCTCACTGGGGTGATGCTGTCGTGGGGTAGATGAGCAGCAAGGCAGATTCGCAGGGTTGGGTGCAGGCAGCACTCCATGGGGGCATGCACGGGGCCCTTGCTTTTCAAGCAGAGGTGGACTGAAGGCTGGGCTTGCAAGGGGGTGGGCTGGGGTGGGCGCTGGTAGGGTGTTCTGAAACATTACCTATATACCTGCACTTTACAAAGCACTTTATATGTTTGCCTGGTGTTGGCTGATGGTGGAAGGAGTGATTGGAGATGCCTGTCTGTGGCCTGGGTGCTGGTTAGTACCCCCATGTCAGAGGTACTGACCCTGGGCTCAGAGCGGGTAGAGGCTCTCCCAGGGATTCTCGAGTGTCTACAGGGGGACTGGGATTCCCTTCCTGGGACCAGGAGGCGGGGCTCTTCCTGAGATGCTATGGCTGGAGGCCCTCCTCCCCCAGAATCACAGGGCCATATGCTAGGAGGAAAGACCCTGTAAACTCCAGACCTGACCTCCTGGGACCTGGGGTTAGTCACCCAGGTGGGGATCTGCCTCTCTTGCCCTTCATTTAGAATTGGCTGTGAGCCTCTAAGGGCCAGCCCTTAGCCAAAAGCCTCCATGCAGCCCGGTGCTCCTGCAGAAGTGCTGCCTCCGGAGGGTTTCTGCAACTTGGGACTCCTGGCAGTGGGGCTAGTGTCCTCCATTCACCCCTGCTCCTGCACAGTCCCCAGCCCTAGGTGTGCACCCTCTAGTGTGGGGCGAATGGGCTCCTATGCCCATTAGCTCTGGGTTAGGCTCAGATGTATGTGCCGGGCTCCTGTTATGGGAGGGCTCAGAGCACAGGGGCCCCTGGCCTGGGAGCGGGTAGCTGTGTGCATGTGTGTGGGTGTGTGTGCCTCCATGAGCCTGTGTGTGCCTTCGTGAGCCTATGAGTGTGTGAGCATGCCCGGTGTGCACGTGTGTGGGTGCGTGTGCCTGCCAGTGCATGCGTATGCAGCTCTATGCTTGTGTGTATGTGCATGCGTGGGAGACAGATGGTGGAGAGCGACTGGGAGTGGGCGACAGTGGATCTGTCCCTGAGCCTACAGCACCCTGGGTGCCGATGCCACATCCACATCCTGCCCCCAGACCTGCTTCCCGGAGTCACCCATGCCTATATCCCCTGTGGCTTTGCCCATCAGTCCGTCTTTGTGTCCAGGTCTGCCTCAGTGGACAGAAGAGTGAGAGTCTTGGCCCTTGAACCCCTCCTCTTCTCCATCCTTCTCCACCTCCCCCCCTGCCTCTTCTTGGCAAAGCAGCTGGAGTGAGACCTGGGCTGAGGCCAAGGTTGGGGGTACTGTGCTCCCATGAGCTGCAGACACCGTCCTCTCACCGGCTCTCCCTCCTGTGTCCTGGAGTGGAACCCACCCCCGTTGCCCACCCCTTAACCCCTGCCCCCTTGTCTGGGGTTCTGGCCATCCCCCCCACCCCCACCCCCTAGTCTCCAGCTTCCAAGGCAGCTCCCAAGACAATGGGTTGAGCAAGGGGCAGGCTGGGTCCTGTGCCTAGCCCCTCAGCTCCCCCAGCCACTGCATGGGGCTTCTGCTGCTCTGTGGCACTGGCTGGGGAACCTCAGGACCAGATGGGGCCTCCCAGGCCTCGGCTACTGCATCACGCTCTGGACAGGGCCTTGGGCCCGGACGACGCCTGTGCCCGCCATGCCCTCTGGCCAGATGCTGCACCCTCCACCCAGCCTCCAGGTGAGTTCTCGTCATACCCACGGTGCCCCACCCTCCTTGGCATCCAGGTGATGCATCTACCTGAGGTTCCGAATCCAGGGGGGAAATGTTTGCCTTTGCACTGCATATTTACACACTGATTTGAATTGAGGGGTTCCCAAAATGACATCAGGCTTTTTCTGAAAAAGTCTGTTTTGCCCGATTGGTTTGCCAGTGAGGTTCAGAGTGGACAAATCAAAATGAGCTGATTCCAGACCTCTGAGGTTTTGACAAGTGCTCCATACCTAGCATTTGTCACATCTATATGCTATAGTATATGCCAGAGGCCACCTCATTGCAACTTTGTAAACTTCCTATTAACTTTTACGGCCCATTTAAAAATGGGCTATGGGAGGGGGAGATCCGTGGCTTTCCAAAATCCCTTCATGGGGTCTGTAAGCAGAAATGTCTGCTGCCCCCTGTTCCAGGGCACGTCCCACTCCTCACTGGCAGGGCTCTCGGGCTCACTGATTATTCTCTGAGGATCACACAGGGTCGATTTTCTGTGAATGCAAGTGCGTGGGGTGGGTGGTGGGGCGTCGAGCTGAACGCTGGTCTGGACAGGAAAGGCTCCTGCTTCATGTCCCACCTTGACCCTCAGAGGTTTCCAGGCCCAGCTCTTGGGCCCTGGCTTCCTCCTCTCCCTCTCGTCTTTGGGGGGGGTCCATCTCATGCATGTCTGTTACCATGGACTCCATCATCACGGCTCCCATCACCTCCATCTGGCCTCTGTCATCCTGGGCACAGCATCTCATCTCTGGCCATTCCAGCCTCCATCACCCGCCTCACCTCCATCATCCTCGCTTCGGGGCTCATTCTGGCCTCCAGGGCTTTGTACATGGTAGGCTTTCATTCATTCGTTTGCACATTCGGTGAAGGTCTACTGTGTGCCAGGCCCTGTGCCAGGCATCGTGTAGATGGACGTTGCCCTTGTGAGTGCACGCCTCGGGGAGACGCACGCCAGCCGGTGGATGGCAGGAGAGCCTGGGCCAGGGCTGGGGGTGGGGGCGTGGGTGTGGGCATGAGTGCAGAGGAGGGTGAGCTGGTTTCCAGAAGGGCGGGATCAGCTGGGGTGGTGGGCAGGGGGAGGAAGTGCGGGCTCAGCTGAGGTCCTGCTGTGTGGAGCCTGGAGGGAGAGATTGCATGTCCCCTCTCTATTCCCCATGGGTCATCTCAGTAATGGCTGCCGGAGTTCAGGGGTCCCTAGATTGCTCCCAAGGTCCTCACTCCCAAGTCCTTGGCAAGATTCCTGCGCCCCAGGAGCCTTTTGGCACCTGAACTCTGCCACCTAGTCTGCTGGTCAGCCTCTGTGCTGCCCGCGTTGGTGGGTGTCATTGGATTGTTAACGATGTACGTTTTGCTCTAAAATGATGGTGATTGAAGATGGGAATTATTTTGTCAGTTGATTTTAATGTTTTCTTTTTTGTGTGTGAAGTGTTTGTTGTGAAATATCTATTTTGGAAGTTTTTAGGTGTTGGAAAGCCAGAATCTGGGGCCCTCTGGTGTCTAGGAAGAACCTGTGATGCCCTGGGGTGAAGGGATGTGGACTCCCAGGGACAAAACAGTGGACTCTGAGGTCCTCAGGGTCACCTCCCTTTAGGGACTAGAGCACACTCAGTATTCGGGGGCCTCTGTGGTCTTTAAAGATGTCCCATGTTTGCTAAGGAAATGTTACTTTTGCTGGAGGAACTTCTGAAAAATGTTTAGAATTGTTTACCTGCATGTTTTATCTCGTTCAGAATTAGAATTGGTGGCATGTAGATATGCTTCTGGGTCTACCGAGATGAGGCAGGCCTACTGGGTCTCCACCTTCAGCTCAGGACACCCATCATTCACCTGGGAGGGGCTTGCTTCATTAGATGTTCACAAGGCTGAAAAGTGTCCCAGCCTCAAGTGTCACGTGGAGCCTCTTCCACATGCATCGCCAGAAGCGCCTCCTCCCCCATCACTCTGACCCCGCCCCACACAGACGTGTCACACTAGGCTCCTCCTCGAGTCATGTGTCACCGGTGGATGGCAGGAGAGCCTGGGCCAGGGCTGGGGGTGGGGGCGTGGGTGTGGGCATGAGTGCAGAGGAGGGTGAGCTGGTTTCCAGAAGGGCGGGATCAGCTGGGGTGGTGGGCAGGGGGAGGAAGTGCGGGCTCAGCTGAGGTCCTGCTGTGTGGAGCCTGGAGGGAGAGATTGCATGTCCCCTCTCTATTCCCCATGGGTCATCTCAGTAATGGCTGCCGGAGTTCAGGGGTCCCTAGATTGCTCCCAAGGTCCTCACTCCCAAGTCCTTGGCAAGATTCCTGCGCCCCAGGAGCCTTTTGGCACCTGAACTCTGCCACCTAGTCTGCTGGTCAGCCTCTGTGCTGCCCGCGTTGGTGGGTGTCATTGGATTGTTAACGATGTACGTTTTGCTCTAAAATGATGGTGATTGAAGATGGGAATTATTTTGTCAGTTGATTTTAATGTTTTCTTTTTTGTGTGTGAAGTGTTTGTTGTGAAATATCTATTTTGGAAGTTTTTAGGTGTTGGAAAGCCAGAATCTGGGGCCCTCTGGTGTCTAGGAAGAACCTGTGATGCCCTGGGGTGAAGGGATGTGGACTCCCAGGGACAAAACAGTGGACTCTGAGGTCCTCAGGGTCACCTCCCTTTAAGGACTAGAGCACACTCAGTATTCGGGGGCCTCTGTGGTCTTTAAAGATGTCCCATGTTTGCTAAGGAAATGTTACTTTTGCTGGAGAAACTTCTGAAAAATGTTTAGAATTGTTTACCTGCATGTTTTATCTCGTTCAGAATTAGAATTGGTGGCATGTAGATATGCTTCTGGGTCTACCGAGATGAGGCAGGCCTACTGGGTCTCCACCTTCAGCTCAGGACACCCATCATTCACCTGGGAGGGGCTTGCTTCATTAGATGTTCACAAGGCTGAAAAGTGTCCCAGCCTCAAGTGTCACGTGGAGCCTCTTCCACATGCATCGCCAGAAGCGCCTCCTCCCCCATCACTCTGACCCCGCCCCACACAGACGTGTCACACTAGGCTCCTCCTCGAGTCATGTGTCACATGAGACACCCCCGTGTGTCACTTCCAGCCCTGACTACTCAGTGTCACTTGGAGCCTTTTGTCCCTCCCCAATGTACCACTTGAACCGTCCCCAATCCATGTGACACACCAAATCTCTGTGTCCCACTGAGTTCCATCTGCACTCGTGTCACACAGTTCCACCCTCATGTGCCACACTGAGTCACTCCTACATCATGTGTCACAGAGAGGTCCTGTCGCCTCCCTTGAGTCATCCTGAGAACCTCCTTTCTCCGCTTTGTCCCATGGAACCCTCTTTCACCCAGGGTTCCTCCTCAGCACCTCATCCACCCGTGTGTCCCACGGAGCTCTCTTCCTCCACCTGGGGTTCATCCTGAGCTCCTCCTCCTCCTATGTGTCATCCTCAGAGCTCCTCCTCCCTCGTGAGTGTCCCATGGGGCTCCTCCTCCCCCCATGTGTCATCCTCAGACACTCCTTCACCTGTGTGCCCCATGGAACCCCCTTCTTATCTCATGTGCCATATTGAGCGCCTTCTCCATCCTTGTGTCCCATGGAGCTCCTCCTCCTGCCATGTGTCATCCTCAGCTCCTCCTCCTTCCTGTGTGTCCCATGGAGCCCCCGCCTCTTCCCATGTGTCATCCTCAGCTTCCTATCCCTTCCGTGTGTCCCATGGAGTCCCTCCTCTTCCCACGTGTCATTTTCAGCACCTCCTTCCTCCAGGGTGTCCCATGGAGCCCCTCCTCTTCCTATGTGTCATACTCAGCACCTCCTTCCACCTCCTGTTCCATGGAGCCATTTCTCCTTCCATGTGTCATCCTCAGCTCCTCCTCCCTCCCAGGTGTCCCATGGAGCCCCTCCTCCTCCATCCTTGTGTCATGTTCGACACCTCCTCCACTCATATGTCACATGGAGCCTCCACCCATGTGACACAAATAATTTCTCATCTACTTGTATCACACTGAATGTTCTATCTTTCTTAAGGGTGTCACAGCAAGCCCCACTAATGTGTCACAGGACGCCCCTCTCCCACTCTTGTAGCACACTGAGCTCCTTCCACCACTTAGGTGTCACTCTGACCCTGTCCTCTGCGTGTGTGTCACTAGGAGCCCCACCCATTCAGCTGCACTCTAAGTTCCTCCTCTAATCATGTGTCACACATGTAGTCTCTCCCCACACTCATAAGTCATACAGAATGCCTCTCCCCATCCATGTATCACATTGAGTTTCTCTTCAACATGTGTTACTCAGAGCCCTTCCCTGACTCATGTGTCACCTGGAGCCCCTGTCCCTGTCCATGTGTTACACCGAGTTCTTTCCTGCTCATATGTCACATGAAGCTCCTCCTCTACTCACAAGGCACACAGCACCCCCTGCCCGTTTGTCGAATGGACCCCTCACCTCATGCATGTATAACACTGAGCCGCTCTCCCACCCCGTGTCGTACTGAGCTCCTCCTCCACTGATGTATTGCATGGACTCCTTCTGACACGCGGAGCCCTCCCTGCACCCTTGTGTCTCACTGGGCATCTCTTCCCAACCTTGTGTCCCGTGAGATCTTCCCCCACCCACGTGTCACATCAAGTCCTCTTTCTTGTGTTACTCCAAGTCCCTGCCCCCATATGTCACAGAGAGACTCTTCCCACCCACGTGTCACACCAAGTCGCCTTTCTTGTGTTACTCCAAGTCCCTTCCCCCCATATGTCACACAGAGACTCTCTTCCCACACACGTCACACTGAGCCCCTTTTCTGTCTCACATTCCACCTCTCCTTCACTCATGTGTCATGAGGAGCCTTTTCCCTACTAATGTGTCACCTGAGCTTCTCTCACATGTCACTTGAAGTCCTCCCCTTCCCATGCATCACCCAGAGACCTTCCCCCCACTCATGCATTGCCCTGAGCCCCTCCCTTACTTATGTGACATGGAGCCCCTCTCCACACCCATGTGTCACACCAACCCTCTCTCCACTGATGTGTCACACCAACCCCCTCTCCACCCATGCGTCACATGGAGCTCTTCCCCCACCCGTGTGTCACACCAGCCCCCTCCTCCACCCATGTGTCACACTAACCCCCCCCACCCATGTGTCACACCAGCCCCCTCCTCCACCCATGGGTCACACCAACCCCCTCCTCCACCCATGTGTCCCATGGAGCTCTTCCCCCACCCGTGTGTCACACCAGCCCCCTCCTCCACCCATGTGTTACAGGGAGCCCCTCCTCCCTCCATGTGTCTGTCAATCTGAGCCCCTTTTCCATTCATGTGTCACTCTGAGCCTCTTTCCCACCTCCATACCCTCCTGCCACCCCTACTTCTTAATCTTTAACCCCTTTCCCTAAAGGTTTCCCTCCATGGGCTCTTTCAGAGAATGTTATATTATCAGGTCATTTACTCACAGATATTTTTGCACCACCTACCACGTGCCTGGCTGCGTGTCCCTGTGCATGTGTGTTGGTGGTGTGGATGGCTGGAGAGTGTAGGACGAGGCAGGCAGTATGGTGGTTGAGAAAGATGTCAAAGAACAAAGGAAGGTGTTTTGGGGTACAACTTTATTGAGATGTAATCCACATACACACAATCCGCCCATTAAAGCTCACAGCGAAGTGTGTTTTAGTTATTCACAGATATCTGCAACTATCACCATAATCAATTTAAGATCATTTTCATCACCCCCAAAAGAACTCCAGAGCCTTCAGCTGTCACCTTCACCCTCCATGCACACCCCCCAGCCCTCAGCAACCAAAAATCTACTTTCTGTCTCTGGGAAATTCTTGAAGTGCCCCTGGACTTCATGAGTCCTCACTGGGTCCCCAGAGGTGCCTGTTGCAACCCATTTCACAGATGTAGAAGGCAAGGCTGGAGAAGTACCAGGGAGTCAAAGCAGTGGGTGGGTGGGGTCGAGTCCCCGATGTCCACTCACAGACCTGGGCCAGAATCAGGCCTGTCTCCCCCTTCACCTCCCCATCCTCCGTCCCTTGGCCTGGCTGCACAGTCACCTGGGGGCTCTGTGGGGCTAAGGGAGGCCCAGGCCCTGGCCATAGGAGGCAGGTAGGGCAAGGCTGGGCAGGGTGGACAGGTACCCCAGCGCTGCAGGTGCCCAGCAGTGGGTGGCACTGCCTAGGCTGGCTGTCCCTTGCTGTCACTGCTCTAACCACTAGCAGCAGGCGTCCCCTCTGCCATCCGAGCGCTTGCACTGCGCTTCCGGGAGGAGGGTTGCGGCCCGTAGTCAGTAGTTGGGGGGTGGGAACGGCTTCATACAGGAGTTGATGCACAGTTATCCAGCTCCTATATGATGCCTTTCTTCATCCCCTTCAACCACGCGCAGCCCCCGGACCCTCCTCTGCACCCTTGGCTGCACGGGGACGCGTCCTCAAGTCCGCTGCTGTCCTGCCAGCCTCTTCCCGGCATGCTCCTTGGGCTCTTCTCTCTCTCTTCTGCAGCTCTCTGACTTCCTGGAGGGGAGGGCCTGGGGCTGGGCCATCTCTGAGGCCCCTCCTTGGCAGGGAACTATGCCCCTGGTGGGACACCCCCTGGGCTGACTCCACAGCCAAGGGCAGATAGGCCGGAGGGGGAGTTGG
Source organism: Homo sapiens (assembly GCF_000001405.40). Lineage (NCBI taxonomy): Eukaryota > Metazoa > Chordata > Mammalia > Primates > Hominidae > Homo > Homo sapiens. The sequence goes on from NC_000014.9 coordinate 100,874,849, forward strand.
GTAGCCCTGGGGCTTCTCCCACTGAGGGGCTGGGGCTGTGCTCCCACACAGAGCCCTCCAAAGGGACCCGGCCCACAGGATGGATGGACAGACGTTGGAGAGATGGTGCCCCTTTGTGCCCAGGGTGGAGGGGGTGGGGCTTTGGCGGACCAGGGCTGGCCCTTTCTGTGCCCCAAGAGGAGGGTCTCCTCGAGGGGTCTCTGCCTCTACCCAGGACTCTTTCATGACCAGGAGGCTGAGGCCCCTCACAGGCGGCTTCTTACTCTCTCCTTAAACCTGTTCTGGAGACATTTCCCCTCTCCCCAAGGATTCCCAACTCTGGGTCCCCAGAAGCTGTCAGCTGGGCTCCCTTCTTCCCCTGTGCGTACCCTGCTCAGGCTGGGTACCTGAGGGTGCCCAATGGCAACATGAGCAGGGGGCACGGCCGTGGCCCCTGGTTCTTGGACCTCTGTCTTCTGCCTCTCTGACTAACTCAGGTCCTGTGCATGGCAGAGGTGACCCGCACCAAGCCCTGTGATATTGGCATCATTAACCCCATTAACAAGCCACGACAGCCAGCCCAGGCATGAGCATCGGGGCAGCAGGGCAGCCAGTGTGGGGAGAGAGGCCTTGCAGTAGCTGAGGCCATTAGAGAGGACAAGAGGGTGCAGGAGGGAGCATCCTCACCTCTGCCCTTCCCACTTACATCCCATCTCCCCTTCCTCACCCCTCCTTCCCCATGCACCCCTTCTTCCTGTAGGAGGGAGCACCCTCACCTCTGCCCTTCCCACTCACCTCCCATCTTCCCTTTCTCACCCCTCCTCCCCAATGCACCCCCTCCCTTCCTGCAGGAGGGAGCACCCTCTCCCCTGCCCTTCCTTCCCACCTCCCGTCTCCCCTTCCTCACCCCCGCTTCCCCCATGCACCCGCTCCCTTCCTGGTCTACCCCTCAGCTTCTGTGGTGTCAGGATGGGTATGCTTGTCTTTGTTGATCTCAGACAGGTGGACAGGGGTCTGGACGAGGCTTACTGTTTGGGTCTGAGGTCAGTGCTCATGGGCTTGGGGCATGACAAGGGTCTTGTCGTCCCCGCAGCAGGGCTCTGAGCGGGTGGGTGGAGCTTGGGAGTGGGGGTGATGGCTTCTATTTGTTGTCTTTCTCTTTTTCACTTTGGGAGCAACCGGGGTCACCAGGTGGGCAGGAGGGGACCTCACGTCTCTGCCCTGGGCAGATTGTTAAGAGCTGGTCAAGCTCCTGGCACGGGGGCCTGAGTCCAAGGCCCTAACTGGACCTGGGGCCGCCTGCAGGAGGGATGAGCGAGTCCGGACCCGAGCGGTGAGTAGCCCTCAGCTGCCTGGGTGGTGTGCTGTTGAGTGTTCCAGAAACTGGCCCTGTGTGCACCAGGGCTGGAGGCTGGCACGTTGGGCATCTCATGGGGGTGGGCTGGGTCGGGAAGGGAGGTTGATGGACAAGACTCAGCAGGAGTGGAGCTCAGGGCTCCCTCCATCCCCTGACATCAGTGACCTGGGGGTGGACAGAGAAGGTGGAAGATGGGTGCATTTAGTTGTGGCCCGCCAGGTCCCGTGGGCCTGTGTGCCAGTGTCCGCGCCAGGCTGTGCTGTCTGCTGTTCAGAGGAGTTTTCACCTTTTTTTGTGGTGGCCATGATGTCATAACCCAGCATGACATTTAACATTAACCTTCCTTTTTCTTTCCCCAGGAGAAAAAAAGGTTTGTATTATTTTTCTTTTGAATTTTTTATTTCCATAGGTTTTGGGGAACAGGTGGTGTTTGGTTACATGAGTAAGTTCCTTGGTGGTGATTTGTGAGATTCTCGTGCACCCATCACCTGAGCAGTACACACTGAACCCAGTTTGTACTTTTATCCCTCACCCCCTCCCACCCTTTTCCTGGAGTCCCCAGAGTCCGTTGTATCACTTTATCAGTAGTTCTCCTCTGGGCCTGGGGGCTGCCGCTCTTCTCTGTAAACTAAACCTGCTGTGGCTGGATGGGGCAGGGGAGCCAAGGAGGCGAGGTCCTCACTGTCTGCTGGTGTGGGGGGCCGTGGCCACTCTAGCACCGGGAGCCCCCAGTCAATATGTGTGTGTGTGTGTGAACTGTGGATAAATACGCTTACCTTAGCGCGTGTCTGGATTCCCCCACTGTGGGGCACGGGTGATTACTGCTGGTAAATTCTCTGTTTGGCCTTACCCTGCAAGGTAGTCCTGTTCATCCCTCCACCTTTTTTTTTTTTTTTTCTTGAGACGGAGTTTCACTCTTGTTGCACAGGCTGGAGTGCAGTGGCGCGATCTCAGCTCATCGCAACCTCCGCCTCCCAGGTTCAAACGATTCTCTGCCTCAGCCTCCTGAGTAGCTGGGATTATAGGCATGCGCCACCATACCCAGCTAATTTTTTGTTATTTAGTAGAGACGGGGTTTCTCCATGTTGGTCAGGCTGGTCTCGAGCTCCTGATCTCAGGTGATCCATCTGCCTCGGCCTCCCAAAGTGTTGGGATTACAGGCGTGAGCCACTGCACCCGGCCTTGCCCCTCCATCTTTGATGGCCAGGAGGAAAGGATGGCGGTCGTCGACGGTCCTGGCTGCAGGGACACGGGGACTGCCAATCCACCCCACATTTACCCAAGGAGCCCTTACCAAGCAGGGACAGAGATTTGCCATTAAAATCCAGCCTCTGGGACCCCCCAGGGGTGGCCTTCAGGAGACCTGATCTAGGGACCCTCCATTATGACCCCAGGCTCTATCCCAAGGTAGTTTACTTCAAGGGACTTGGGAGCCCCAAGAAGAATGTCATCTGGGAACAGAGGGGGTTTTAGGAGCCAGCGGCCCTTGGAGACTGGGTCTGGTTATTCTGGAAATGACCCTCCCTCTCACTACATCCCCCATTTGATGATGGGAAAACAGGCTGGAAGATGGACAGCCACTACCTGAGGTCACCCAGCAAGTCAAAGTTGGGGCCTTCTGGGGCCAGGTCACTAAAGGGGATCTGCACCTCTTGCAGCTGAGCCCCTGGCCTTAACCCATGGCAGCCTGTCTTGGGCTGCCATCAGAGGCAGAGTGCTAGGTGAACGGACAGACAGACATGGTGCCCTTGAGCTCCTGGAGCTGCTGTGATGTTGGTTGTTGTGGAGGTCATTGCTGGGCCTTGTGACTGGAGGCAGAGTGGGTGAAGTGGCCCAGGTGAGAGGACAAAGATCAGCCACCAGGAAGGGGCCTCCATCCTGGCTCTGTCCTCAGCTCCTCTGCAGCCGGTTCTGGGCCTTGATTTCCCCAAGTTTACCTTGGGAAATTGACATGAGAAGTCTGTGGATGGGGCTGGGAGCTCTGAGTGCCAGCTGTGCCCAGCAGTTTATTCCTAACTCTGAATCCTCACAGCAGCCTTGGTGGGTTGGAGTGACAGATGAGGAAACTGAGGCTGGGAGAGGCCTTCCTGCAGCCAGCCAGTGGAGGGAGAGAGAAGCCCAGAGGTGTAGCCCCTGCCTTTGAACCTGGAGATCCTGACCATGATCTCCTGGTGCTGCTATCAGGGGTAGATTCTTCAGACAGGTGGATGGTGGGTGAAGGCCAGGCACCCCTGGGGACTTGTGAGGGCATCGTGAGCCCTGTGTGGGGCTGGGCAGTGCAGGGAAGGAAGGAGGCTGAGCTTGCAGTGCCAGCCTTGGGCTCCCGTGGGGTGTGTCCTTGGTCAGGGGCTCCCCACTGTGTGCCCAGTGGTCCTGGTCCACGATGGGTAGGAGCAGGAGGCAGAGCCACACTGTCTGGAGGCTGTCATGCTCCCGTGCCTCCCCTCGAGGACACAGTAGGGTCTCTTCCATGTGGGAGCTGAGAACTCTGGGGCCAGGTGGAAATGGCTTTCCTAGGGGATGGGGTGGCTCCAACTCAGGCTAGTCAGACCCCTGCGGGGCCCCTGAGCTTTGAGCCTGAGATCTGTTGGGTGGTCTCACGGTGTGTCTTCAGGAGCAGGTTCCTCAGCAGGGCAGAGAGGGCAGAGCTGGTGTGTCCTGGCATGGGGGCCCGTGTGCACAGAGCTCCAGTGTTTTTGCCCTCCTAGATGAAGTTCAAGGTCATGCTGAGAGAGGCCCACGGCTCCTTCCCCTCTGTGTCCTCGCAGAGCTCTCACCTGTGGAGGGGTGCAGTGGGGCGGGGGTGCTCTGGGAGGTTGGAGGCCACTCCTGGATAGGTGTGACCCATGGCCAGGAAGAGGGGTCAGCATGTCCTGGACTGTGGAGGGGGAACTCAGAGTGGGTGAGTGCCACCTGCCCTACCTCCCCAACTCCCTGTGGGACCCCTGGCAGCTCCCCTACCCAGGGCAGTGCACCCTCACCCTCACAACAGCCATTTTGCCACTTTGGGGACAGCATGACCCTCTGAAATGGGACCCAGGACTTTTCCTCTCGGAGTGGGGGTTAGGGACTGCTTGAGACCAGGGCTTGTGGACCCTGCAGTGTGGGGCTCAGACCGCACCTCGTTAATCACATGGCGAGGAGGCCAAGGCCAGAGGTGGGAACTGGGTTTCGGGGCTCCCTTTTCTGGAACCCTTAGGAGAGACAGCCCCCACTCCCCCGCCTCCCACTGCCCTAAGGCACCTCTTCTGTCCTCTCTTTGACATGAGCCTGTGGGGGGTGCACGTCCCTGGTGGCCTCAGTGGGGGTGGGTGCCTTCTCATGGCAGAAAGAAGTGCCCAGAGTCTTGGTGGGGACGCCTTCAGGAAGGTTGGGGGAGGCCTGCTGCCCATGTGCCAGGCCCCCAGGGGCTGTTTCAGGGCAGAGCGTTTCCTGCCCCCACCCTTCCTGCCCAGTCCACTTGCCCCCTCGTCCACCCCACCTACTCCCTCCCTCCTCCCATGCGTGTCCCCTCCCCCGCCTATCCTCCCACCACCTCCACTTTTAGAACAAACCCCAAAGTCAGACAGTCTTTTAGTTTGCTTTATTTGAGGAGTGCAAAAAGATTGGGGGGTGAGAAAGCTCGGGGGGTGGGGAAGGGTCTACTCCCCTTGCAAAGCGGTGGTGTGGCCAGAGCCTCTCTGTGACTCGGCATGGTCCCCTGGGTGTCTGTGTGCCTTCTGGGACTCCATCCCTGTATGAGGGGCCCCTGCACCCCTGCACTGTCCAGTGTTCAGTGTTGGGAGGGAAAGGCGCCCCAAGGCATGCAGGGGCCCTCTTTGCTGTGCAAGTCTGGTAAGTGGCACTGGTACGTCCGGATGCCCCAAAGAGCGGCTTTGTCCAGGTAAGTCCAGAGCTCAGGGCAAGAGGAAGGCGGGGTCAAAAAAGCTGAAGCAGATGTGGTGGGGGTGGGGGTGGGTTTGCTTGCAGGGTGTGATGGGGGTGAGGGAGGCACCACATCATCAGATGTCGGGAGGTTGGGGGATGGGGGTTGGGGGGCGGGGGCGGGAGCTCAGGGGAGCAGGAGCACCGGCAGTGGAGGTAGAAGAAGTCAGTGGAGCACCCGAGGTCAGTGTCCCAGGGTGGCCATCACCAGGCCGGGTGGGGGGCCCCGTCACCTGCTTGCTTGGCTGCGCCTGCTGTGCCTGCTTCTTCATCTGGCCACGCGTCATGGGGTCACTTCCTGCTCACCACTGCTTTCTCCCTCATGGATGTCACTCCCGGGCATGGGCTTGGGACCTGGAGAACGGAGAACTCGTAGCCCAGGGCTGGCGCTGGGTCTCTGAGGACTGGGTAGTCCGTTAGCACAGGTGGCATTGCTGGTTGATGAGTTGAAGAAGTTGTTGCCCTTCACAAGTGGGTTCCTCTTGGGTCAGGAGTGGCAGGAAGGGAAGCGAAGCAGGCTGAGGCGCGGGGAGGCCAGGGGACGTCGGGAGGTGTTGGGGTGAGAAATAGAGGGGACTCTTTGCTGGAGACAGGGAGGCGTCTTCAGTCGAGGTTAGCATCTTCGTCCTCATCAGGCAGCTCTTCTAGCCTTGCCTGCTCCCTGGGCTGGCTCTCCCAGGCGGGGATGGGCAGGGCCCGCCTGTAGATCAGGGTCAGGAACTGGCTCAGGGCCCTGGCTGCCTGCTCCCGGCTGAGCAGGTGCAGCTGGCCATCTGCACTGTGGATGTGGAGCAGGCGGCTACCAAGGAATTCCAGGACCTGGGGATCCATCAGGTGGCGTGGGCGGGGTGGGTGGGTGGCTGCTGTGTGGCTGGGTGGGGCCTCCTGCACGTCGTTGTCCTGCTTGTCCTGCGAGGTGTCTTGCAGGCCGTCATGCAGGCCACACTGACGGTAACGTTGCAGGTCGTCTTGCAGGGCTTCTCGCAAGACGACATCCTCATCACCAACGACGTGCAGCTCCAGGTAGCGGTTCTGACGCAGGGCAGGGAGGTGGCCCTCCTGGGGGGTGACTCTGACACCGAAGAACTCACACAGCGTCAGCCAGAAGCCAGGGGTGAACTGCAGGCCTCGGTGGGCCTGGGAGTGCAGAGCATTTCGCTGCCAGCGGCCAGGGCCCAGGAACAGCTCAGCCAGCTCCTGGGCTGGGATGGTGTTTGCACCTACGAGAGCGGGCATCTGGGTGAGCAGCTGGGTGATGGCTGTCGTGATGCTGCTGCCTGCGATGAGGGACGAATCCAGGATGAGTCGTAGGGAGCGCTGGGGCTGGGGCCGAGCCACCCGCATGGCGGGTGCCGGCCGCAGCGAGAGGCATTGCCTCACGCGCAGTAGCACGAGGATGGCTGCCAGGGCTAGGGTGTTCTTCCAGTACAGGAGGCCTCGGAAGAAGTGCAGAATGACGGCCCTGATCTGGGCCATGCTGAAGTGGGCGAGGAAGCTGTTGAGGATCTGGTCGATGGGTATCATGGCCAGCAGCTCTTGCCGTAGGATCTGTTCATTGAGCTCATCCTGTTCTTCATTCTCTTCTTCCCCGGATTCCGTCGATGGATCCCTGGGGAATCCCCTTGAGGCCAGCAGCAGGGTTTGCCTGGCGGCAGTGTTCCTCTGGAAGGCTCTCCTCCACCGGAGGTTTCTCACAGGTGGCAGAGCTCGGCCGCCGTCTTGTTCTGGCAGCTCCATGACGTCAAAGTTGAAGTGGGAGAAGAAGAAGACCCAATGCCCGGGGAGAAGTACGGTGAGCCTGTCATTATTCAGAGAGGCTAGATCCTCTGTGTTGAGAAGGATCATGATGGGCTCCTCGGTGTTCTCCAGGTAGCGGCACCACACCATGAAGGCAGCCCGTATTGGAAGAATCTTCATCTCCGCTTGAGAGTACTCAACCTCGATAGGGGAGATGTTGCGGGAGTAGAAAGCGCAGCAGGCTCTCTTGCCGGTTTGGTCGTCGATTTGGATCAGGGAGGCGTGCAGGGCCGTGCCGGTGACGCCGGTTTCCAAGTAGAATGGGTTCTGGGGCTTGGGGTGGTGGAGGAGAGGCGCCTTGCGGAAAGCCCTCTTCAGGCACTCGAAGGCCTCTTGCTCCTCGACTCCCCAGTAGAACTGGTAGGAGCTCAGCAGCTGCCGCACCAGGGGCTCTGCGATGATGCTGAAGCGCTCCACGAAGTGGCGGTAGGGGAAGACGAATTCGATGAAGTTTCGCAGAGATAGCTTGGAGCCAGGGGTAGGGTACCCTGTTATGATGGTCATGACGTTCTTGTTCAGTTTCACCCCTTTGGGGGTGACGACGAAGCCCAGGAATTCCACGGTTTGGCGGTGGAACTGGCTCTTGTCCAGGGAGCAGTAGACGTTGTGATGGCGGAAGCGGACCAGGACTTGGCGGACGTGGTGGAGGTGCTCCTCCTGACTCATTGAGTAGATCAGGACTTCCTGGCCATAAGAAAGCACAAAGAACCCTAGCATGTCCTTTAGGATGAAGTGAATCACGTTCTGAGGTATGATAGGGTCTGGGGAGAGCGCAAACGGCTGGTAGCTCTTCATCTCTTCAAGCTCCAAACCAAACGCTGCTTTCCACACATCTTCGGTGCGGTGCCCGTTCACGCTTTCCTCCACAATGGTCCCACGCAGCTCCAGTTTTGTGAACCACTCGGCTCCGTGTAACTGGTCAAACAGTTCCGGAATCATCTGTATGTAGTCCTGTCTGTTGGTCAGCATGTCCTGCAGGTCCCAGTATTCCTCCTGTAGCCTGGCTCTTTCTTGCATCCTGGCACCCACAGGTTCCCAAGGCGCGGTGGAGGGACACTCGTAAAAGGTCTCGCTGTGATCACTGTCTCCAGCCTGCTGAAGCTCAGAGGGCTCTGATTCAGAAAGATCATCGGATCCGTCTGAGCTTGGCTGGTCGGAAGTCTCATCATCTGCTTCCTTCGGGTTAAACACGTCGGCCAGGTCTGAGTATGGGTGTGGCAGTCCGGGTAGCAGGCTCATGCCGTGCCTCTCTAGGGCAATGCATGGCGGGGGCGGGCGGAAGCAGTTCTTCAGGCAGTAGGGAGAGTGGAAGGTGCAGCGGCCTTTGATCCAGTCGACTTCGGGGGCGTGGACTCGGAGCCAGCGGATGCCTAGGACCACAGAGAAGTTCGGTGAAGGTACGATGTCAAATTCGATGGACTCCTGGTGGTTCTGGTGGATACACACCAGGGGCTCCGTGTAGAGCCAGACAGGCTCGTTGCCAATCAGCGAGCCGTCCACGGATTGGACCGGCTGTGGGTACGGCTTCTCGTAGAGCTCGACGTAGTGCTCTTGGGCGAACTTCTCATCCATGAAGTTGCCGTCAGCTCCCGAATCCACCAGGGCCTGGACCGCGACGCTGTGGTAGGGGTTCACTCTCACCATGAGCAGCAGGAAGAGGTGGGCGCGATTGATGTCCGGATGGACTTCGCTGGGCAACCAGCTGCTGACCATCCACCTCTCTGGAGCAGGTGAGTCGATCCAGGTCAGGTTCCGGGGGCGGGCCTCGGGGGGCAGCCTGAGCATAGCTCTTCTCTCTGCCAGCTTCTCTTCTATTTGCAGGATGAGCACAATCAGACTGTCTAGGGAATCCGGCTGAGGGACCCGGAATAGATAGTGCCTGATCTCCTCGTTGAGCCCCTGGCACAAGTGGGCCTGCAGGACTTCATCTGGCCAGCCCAAGATGGGTACCAGGCTCTGGAACTCATCGATGTACTCAGTGGCAGAGCGGCCGCCCTGCCTGATGGTGAACATGGCCTCTTCTGCCACACGCAGTGCCTGGCGGTACTCAAACACTTCGGACATGGCCTCCAGGAAGGCTGGGAAGTCTCCGATCAGGGGGCTGTTTTCCTGCAGTAGAGCTTTGGCCCATTCTAATGCCAAGCCGGACAGGTGATTGATGACATAGCCAACTCTCAGACGGTCGTTATAGAACATTCTTGGGTAGCTCTGTAAGGTCAGTTGGCAGAGTACGATGAACTCGTGGAATTCTCTGCGATCGCCAGAGAAGTGCTTTGGGGCGGGCAGTTGGCCTGCATTGATCCCTTTGATCAAGATCTCTTCTGCTACTCTCTGTTGCTCTTTGAGGTCTTGCATTCGGAAGTACAGCGAGATGATGGACCTCACCATGGCCATAAGTTCTGCGGTTGAGTGCTCGGTCTGGTTTTGCTCTTGAGGAGTCTCCTCCCTTCCCGATTCCTTCAGGTCAGTGTGAGCCTCTTGTTCTTCTCGGGCTCCCGATGGGTTGACTGATGCTTCTTTCATCCTATCAGATGCTCCACTGAGTGGATCCCCCCTTGCCTGGTGTGAACCGTTGCATGACTCCTCCAGGTCTTGGAGTAGGTCATTGGGTGGATCCTCTATTTCCTTACGTGGGCCACTGGATGGCTCCTCCATGTCTTGGAGTAGATCAGTGGGCAGCTCTTCCATTTCCTGGAGTGGGCCACTGGGGGGCTCCTTCTTTTCCTGGGCTGGGCCGCTGGCTGGCCCTGCCTCTCCCCGCACTCCACTGCCCGACGTCGCCTCGGTGGTGTTGGATGAGCCCTCGGAGGACTCCATTTGTTTTGATGATGGATTCTTATGCTCCATCATCGTCTCAAATGAGTCTTCAGAGGGTTCTATCATTTCGTCGGATGGAAAGGAGTGTATTCTGAAGATTGGTAAGGTTGTGATGGCGTCCAGTCAGTAGCTGGGACCGTGGAGATCAGAACCTGGTGGTGGAAGGGGAGTGTGGGGAGTAAAGGCAGTAGTTTAGGATCTTGTGAAGTGGCAGTATCAGGGTCTCAAGGACAAATCAGATGCCCAACTAATCAGAGCAGAGAGAAATGGGGGAAAGCCTTCTTGTATCGAGCCAGCCTCTTTGGCTGGTCACTTGGGGTGCCCCCAGGGAGGGAAGATCTGTCAACCCCTGACCTGCCTCCCAGGCTTATTCAGTCTGCCTGTCCTGTCCTTTTCCTCCATAGATGTGAGAAATTCACAGCCCATAAATTCTGTGGCTGGGAGCAGCCACCGTGGCAGGCGGGTACCTGGCAGGGTGCACAGGCTGCTCCATTCCCCCCTGGCACATGCACCTGGTCAATCCTCTTTTCCTGCTTTGGTCACCTGAGAATCACAGAGGTCACATCTCAGCACCATCCAAAGCCACCCCTGGCAGGCTCAGGGCTCTGGAGCAAGCCCAGCCACCTTGGTTGTGGAGCGGGAATCTCTAGCAAAGATGCCTACTGTTTCACCAGTGCAGTGGAAGAGGAGAAAATGGGCACTTGGCCACTGTCCCGTCAGTTGGGTCAGCAGCCCAAAATAGTTCTTATTTCCTTCCCCATGTTCAAAATAGAAATTTCAGGGGGTGTGTACAGGTCTGGGTTTTTTTTTTTTTTTTCCATAAATTTTATAACATACCTACTATGTGCTGGATAACTGCATATTTGTTACTTGATTCTAACTCAGACTTTTGGCCAATTTCTCTTTCTCGATTTGGTCTCCTTCCAATGCTATGTTCTCCCGACCTCTGAGCTGTTGAGGAGATCTTCAAATAATCTCCTTCTCTTCCTACAATCTCCACTCTCCCAGGACTGCCCTCTTTGTGAGGCTTCTGGAACTTCACACATCTGGCCTCAATTTCACCAGTGCAAGCATATCTGCACGCCTCTCCAATCTTATCCTCCCAGGTCCCCTTCTTAACGCCAGTGGGTCTGGTCTCCTCTTTCTAGCAAATATCTTTTTCTCTCTGTTGCTGGTTGAGCCCTCCCAACAGACATGTATCTGGCAGAGTTGGGACATTGAGTGTGGGGGTTGGGGGGAACATGTGACATCTTTGGAATCTGACGGTCCCAGAGTGGATTTTTGGAAATCTAGTGTTGGGTGGTTTTAGTGGGCTGAGACAGAATTGAAAGGGAATGTCTTGGTTGGGGTTATTTGCACATTTCTTCTCTGCTGGGGCAGAGCAAATTAAGCTTTGATTATCTGATAGATTAACTGTAAAGCTACTGCTCTTTATAAATTTAACACCTTTTGTTACTTCTGAGTTTTCTTCTAAGCCACTGGACCCATCCGTAAAAAAAAAAAAAAAAACTGCGTTCCCCCTTACGTGAAACTCATTGGCTAAAATCCAAGCTTTCCAACAGGATACAAAATTCAGATCTGCTGTTTCTCAAAATTAAGTACACCCTTGTTAGCATGACACTTAAATTTGATCATGCAGTCTCTCTGATTAAAGCCTTCCACTGTTTATTTACTGTCTGCAATATTAAATCCAAACCTTCTAGCGTAAACATATCTGACATGTAAACTCACCAAAACTATTCTCTGGTTAAAATGTAAGGGCCTTAATATAATATAAAATTCTTATTTTGTCATTCCTCAAGGTAGAGATCACATTTTTTTAAAGCACAGTATACAAATCAGCATGGTATAGGAATTATAAGAATCATCATCATCATCATCATGATGTACATAGCACATTGCAGAAATTAACTCATTTCCTCTCCATAAAAGTCCTCTGAGATATGCATTATTACTGTAAAATTCCAAACCTCTAATATAAAATTCTAATTGAAATACAAATAAATAATTCTAATTGAAATACAAAAACTAAGTAATTCATCTGCAGACTTATCTATCAGGAATAAAAATCTCAGCATGTCTCTCACTTAAAACTCTTTATTGGTGAAAATTTAAATTTCTTAGCAAGACGATTTAAAAACTAGATTATGCCCCCTCTTAATATAAAGTCTACACTGCTTAACATATTTACAAATTCGACCATGTGAATGATTAAATCCTTCAATGTTCCTGCCTTCAGCTCAAAATCTAATATCCTCGGCATGTTAGAAAAATCTTAATACTTCTTAACATCAAAGTTTAAACTGTTAGCAAGATGAATAAAGGTCATCTCATAATTTCTCTATTTAACACATATAAAAATTCATTTTTATTGCCTGTAAAGTTTCAACCACTTAGCATAAAATGAAAATTTTCACCGTGTAATTTACTTGCCAACTGATTAATACGAACCCCCAAATCTCATCAGGTCACTCCTAAAACCCTTTATTGGCTTAATTCCAAACCTCTTCGCATGATATAAAATTCTGACCATGTCATTCCTCAAAATAAAAAGGTCACTCTCCCTTGCAAGATACACGAATTTGCTCTTATAACTTCTGCTTAAAGCTTTATTCTATCTCTTAATTACCTATGAGATAAGGTCTAATTATTTTTAGCATAGAACAATACATTTTACTATAAAATTTCTCTGACTACTCTACCCAAGACAAAATTTCTGCCATGTTACTGCCTTAAAAATCTCTTAATGAGCCAGGCACGGTGACTCACAGCTGTAATCCCAGCACTTTGGGAGGCCAAGGCAGGTGGAACACTTGAGGTCAAGGGTTCTAGGTCAGCCTGGCCAACATGGTGAAATCCTGTTTCTACTAAAAATACAAAAATTAGCCGGGAGTAGTGGCTCATGCCCGTAATCCTAGCTACTTCTCCTAGGCTGAGGCGGGAGAATCGCTTGAACCTTGGAGGTTGCAGTGAGCCGAGATTGCGCCGCTGCACTCCAGCTTGGGCAACAGAGGGAGATTCCCTCTCAAAAAAAAAACAAGACTCTTAATGGCTGAAGTCCAAATTCCTTAGCATGGCATAAAAATGTAATTCTGTCATCCCTCAAAATAGTGTCCAAACTTCTTAGCATGCTATGTAAATTTAATCATATAACTTCTTTTTATAAAAACATGCTTTGTCTATAAATGACCCGTCTCCTCAGCATGGAGCCCAGCCTGGGTGCCCTTGTGCCCAGGGGATACCTCTGCTCACGAGTGGTCTGATGCTTATTCATTATCTGGTTCAGCAAATCCAGATACCTTAACTTAAAATATGTTTACAATCCAGTTTCTCTGGAGACAAAACCCTCATCAATTTACTTCTTAAAACGCTTTACTGGCTGACATCCGAACGCCTCTGCATGAGATTTCAACAATGAGCTCAATGAGCTCATCCCCCACCCCTTCCAAACACAGCACTTGAATGCCTTCAACTCTTTTGTAAAATCACATCTCCTTAGCATGTGAGCAAAATCTGATCATATCATCTTTATCATAGAGATCCTGTCTTATAGCTGTGCCAAAATGCACTTGTTTGAGCATGTAACTTCTCAACTTAAAACTTCTCGAGGTTTCTTCATTGCCTGTAACATAAAGTCCCAACTACTTAACACAAAATGCGACATTTTACCATGTAGTTTCTCTCAGGATGATCTATTAAAAAACCCCAAATCTCATCCTGTTCCTGCTGTAAGCCCTTTATTGGCTTAAATCCAAAGTTATTAACATGATATAAAAATTTGATCATGTCATCCCTTAAAGTCAAATTCACACTTCCTAGGACAATATATAAAATTTGATCTTATAACTCCTTTTAAAATCTTACAGTGTCTCTTAGTTGTAAATGGAAGAAAAGTCAAAATTCTTAGCATAAAATGTGAATTTTATTTTGTAATTCACTGCATACTATTTATCAAACGCAAAAAACTCACCAGGCCACTCTGTTAGAAAGTTTTATTGGCTAAATCAAATTCCTTGGCATATGCAACAGTCTAATCATGTTGGAGCCTCAAAATAAATTCCAAATTTCTTTTCATATTCGCAATATTGATCATTTAACTCCTCTGATTAAAATCTTTCAACTTTGGTGTCAACATTAATCACACCTCCTAGGCAAGCTCTGCAGGTTGAAATTGGCACTCCCCCAAGATAGAAATTCAAAATGTTTGCGCATGATTGTTAAATTGGTGGCTGTTACTTTTACAATTTCCAGTGTTTCCTTGTTGCTTGTAATGTGAATCCCAAAGCCGTTACCCGTAAAATATATTTTATCATGTTTTTCTGCATACTTATCTCCCACAAACAAGAATCTCATCATCACATTTCTTAAAACCCTTTGGCAAAAATCCAAACTCCTTAGCATGATATAAAACTTTGATCCTGTCATCCCTCAAAACAAAGTCCAGATTTCTTCCCAGGAAACTCAAATTATGAAACTCTTGCTTAAAATCTCAACGTGTTTTCATCACTACAAAAAGCCTCACCATTTTAGCAAGGCACCCACTTTTAATCATGGCACTCCCAGCTTCAAACCTGTCAAATTTCATGTCCTCAACATAAAATCTAAATGCCTGAGCATGAAATGAAAATTGGACCAATTATTTCTTACATTAAAAATCTTTGGATTGCTCTTCTCTACTTAAACTATAAAGCTGAAGTTCTTTTCGCATGAAACTAGAACTTTTCACCACCTACAGTTTCCAGCTTCCATTTCCTGTTCCTCACGCTTCTCTCTGAAAAGACTGAGTTTCCCATTCTCCAGCCTCCAAATGCATTTCGATTTTATTGTCCCCAAATGTTTCTTTTCTTTTTTTTGTTTAACCACGTCCCTCTGCCCATAATTCATTAATTCATACAGCAGCATGTCCTGATTCTTTTTCTGGGCCAGGCACGGTGCTCGATCCCCAATGGAAGGAAATGGAGGCAGACCCATCTTGCAGGTCATCACCAGGAAGGAGATGAGACTCATGTCCTGGAGACGAATACCCCACTGGAGGTGAGTGAGGGGCCTTGGAAGCAGGGCCAGGGGGTTCCCTCCACACCTGCTGAGCATCTGCCTCTCTGGGAGGGCTTTGGGCGTTGTTGGGGCCTGTCGGGCCTCCAAATTCTGGCTTTAGATGGGCACTCTGGGATTCCCATCTGGCTTCACCTGCCTACCAGCTGGCCTGCCATAGCCTGGGCCCTGCCTCTTCTCTGCGCTTTGCAGAAATCATATTCTCAGTCCTTCAGCTGTGGCTCAATACATGTTGTTCTCAAATCTCATGACAGTTTCTTTAAGAAATATCTACTGATTTGAAAATTCCCGCCTTATTTGAAAAAAAAAAAAAAAAAAAGAAGCCCAGAATTTAATGCTGCTGGTTTGGGGTCACAACTGCCTTTGAGGTCTTCGAATGGGACCCTCTTCCCCCCAACACTCAAGAGACAGACGCCCCAGCCTCACCACCTTCAGTGCCCAGAGCCTCTGTCGGGTCAGCTCCTTGCTTGCCTCTGAGCCAGTGGCCCATTGGGTCAGGGCTGCCAACGTGTGTCTATGAAGGGTTGGGTGTGGGGGGGGCCATGGGGGGGACAAATCCCTCAGCAAATACCTCTCTCTGTCAGCTCGCCTGTACAGTAAAGGAAATCTGATTTTAAAAATAGAGCTTGGAAGAGGAGATGAGAGGATATTTAGGAGCAGAGTTGAGCCTGGGGCGGGGGGCCGGGGTGGGGGAATTAGGGGAGAGGTGAGGACAGGGGAGGAGGGTGGGAGGCTGGGGGCTGAGGAGGAAGGTGAAGCTGGTGAGGAGTGGGGAGGCTGTGAGGATGGAAAGGGGAGTAAGGGAGAGGTGGGTTCTCTGGAATGCTGGCCATGCCTCCTCTCCTGGCCTCCAGAAACTAGCCCAGTCACACCTGGGGCCCCTGGCTCTCTGGGCTGCCAGGATGGGTGTCAGGTGAAGATCCCTGTCCATCTTGGCCTCCTTGTAGGTGGTGCTCAGAGCTCCTTGGGTTTGAGGGACATAGCTACTGGGTCTTAGGAGGGAAGTGGCCTCAAAATGAATACCCCCAGCAGCTCCCTCTGCTGCCTGGCCTGCTGTGGCCTCCTGTGGATGGAAGGCACAGCGTCACAGTGAGGGTGGACATGCAGGGACCCTGGGAGGGTTTGTTATTATTTATCGATTATTATTATTATTTATTTTGTTGAACTCGTGTCAAGGTTAAGATGTGTCCATGGCAGCTTGAGGCTTGGAAGCCTTCCTGGTTTCCCTGGTATGAACAAGTGTCAAGGATGGCTCACTTGATGGGACTTGGTGAGGAGGCTGGTGAGATTCCTGGGGGCTTCCTGAGGGCCTCATAAGGAGTTTGGGTTGGGTCCTGGGGATCCCAGTGGACTGTGGAGTCTGCAGGGGCTGCTGGCCTGGCATAGCTTATGTTGGAGTCCCTCCCCCCGGGACCCTTCAATCTTGCACACCCCTGACTTGTGGCTAAAGACGACTTGAGCCTTACAGGGTGGGAGGCCGTTGGCATCTCGGCCCAGGGCAGCCCAGTCTCGGACATTCCCTCTCTTCCCCTATGGTCTGGACCGAGGTCCTTGAATGCCAGGCCCCATGGGCCTCGGACTTCATCGTAGTGATGGGGAAACTGAGTCTTTGGAAGGAGGAACAGGGAGTTACAGTAGAACTACGCTGTCCCCAGGGCGTGTCTAAATCCCAAACCACCCAGCAGGGTGGGGGTCTTCTGTAGAGGGACCCCCAGCCCCTCACCTTGCTAAGCCACTGAGGTGACAGGGAGTGCCTGGGCCCAGCAGCGCTCCTGCTGCTGTGTCCCTGCCCCCTCTATGCTTGACTGGCAGCTCCAGGGGGCAGCTGTATCACTCTGCCCAGAATAACCCTGGGAAGGGGCGTGTGCCGCCTGCGGGAGGGGCTGTGCGAGGGGTCACGGGTGAGCTTGTCCTTCTTGTCTTGCCCAAATCAGCGGGGCCAATCAGCTGCTCCTGAGGCTGATCTTGCCTTTCAAGGCAAGTGGGCAGGGACAGGTCTGCACCGGCCTCCTAGCCTAGATGGGCTCTGACTGTCAACATGACCTTCCTCTCCCAGGTCCTCAGTTTCCCCATGTCTGCAGGGAGGGTTTCGGTGGTGGTCTTCTCACTGTGCTCCTGTAGCTCTGGGGTTCCTAAGAGGTGCCTGCGGGGGTCCCTGGGAAACAGTAATGAGAGGAGGTGGCTGGCCCAACAGGTGGAGCTCAGGGACACCCATTGCTGCCTTAGTTCCACCAGCTGCTCCTATAAATTGGGGTCGTCGTATTATTTCATTTAAACAGAGGTTGCCAGATCTGAGCAATGGTTGAAAGCACAGACTATGTGGTCTCTTCTAATGGCTTGTCTTGATTTTCCAACCTGGGCTGGGAGGGGTGTAAGAGTGGAACCTGCTCATCTCTGGTGGGCTCTCTACTCTCACCCAGTGGGCTGCATGGACAAGCCCAGGTGGCTGCAGGCCTAGGAGTGGAGCTGTTCTTAGAGTAGGAAGGTGAAGACTTTGAGGCAAACAAGGAGGGCCCCACCTCAGGGCCTGGTGGAACTAGAATGAGGGCAGAAGGCAGATGAGAGGCTGGCTAACCTTGCAGAACCTCAGTTTCTAAGGGGATGATTAGAAAGGTAGGAGCACCTCCTTCCAGGGAAGACGGGTGTGTGAAGCCCTTTGTAAACTGTAAATGCTATGGACAAGTCAGGGATAGCTACCGTCATTAGGATTCTTACGACTGTTACTTCCAGAACACCCACTGTAATTGTATGGTCAAGATTTGGACAGCATTTCATGCATGGTGTCAACTTTAATTTTCCCGTTAACCCCACAAGGGGACGATGCCCTGCTTGGAGAGTAAGTAAACTAGAGTCCAGAGGGGTGAAGTGGCTCCTCTGGAACCATAATTATCGGCGACAATGGTGCACAGACCCAGCATACAGGACCTTCCCCGGGAGGGGCAGGCTGATGACTGGAGTTGGTGAGGGGTACGTGCGGAAGACGGAATGTGACCCAGAAAGGGACGACTAGAATGTATTTATTAAATACATTCAAATGAGTCTCTGAGTACCTGCTCTGTGTCAGGCGTGATTCTAGCCACTCACCCCTAAAACTGACTTTGCTCCTAACGAGTTGGGGGATGTGCTGCCGTCTTACAGAGTTAAACTGGGATTCGGAGGGCGAGGTGCTGGCACAAGGCCCCCGAGAGACAGAGGCAGGGTTTAAAGCCAGGTTTCTCCTGGGCAGGAGCAGATGCCCAGAGTGGGGTTGGCAGTTGCCATTTGGGAAACTGTTGGGACCTTCAGAGCCAGAGATGCCATCTTCATTCCATGGTGTTGATACTGCCAGCCTCGTGGCCTGAGGGGCATCCAGACCACAAGAGTGGGGGTCTCAGTGTCTGCCTCCATCTCCCCCAAAGGTGCTTGCTGTCATTCCCAACTCATTCTAGCTTATTTGGTGTTCGAGGAGGGACAGGACAGCTGGCCCAGGACCTGCTAATTATAGCTGCTCAAGTATTTGAATAGAGGCCTTGAGTACACACCACCATGTCATGGTTTTTTCTTACAGACGAATGAACACTTTAACCCTTGTCCTGAGTGCCAGGCCATCCCATTCACTGCCCCACCTCCCCTGCCTGCCCACCCGATCCCTGGGGGAGGTCGACATGGGACCTCTGCCCCACATCTTACCTTGGCTGCAAGCGTTCAAGTGGATCTCCTCCCGTCCTGTGCCACTCGATCCTCGCTGCTTGCTAAAAAGTTATTGAATACATTTGTTTCTTTAATTGTGAAAGTCCAGTCTTTTTGACATGCGTACATTTTCTACAGTAGCAACCACAGTGCACACACACAGTCTTCCAGCCTGCTCTGCTCGCGTGCCTTTCTGTTGTGAGCTTTTTTCCACGTGGCTACGTTGGGGACCTCCGTGATGCTTCCTGAGTGCTTACTATGCGCCAAGCGCTGCTTTCACCATTTTACAGGTTTTCACTCTTTCAATCGTTCTAAGAAGCTGCGAGGGCCTTCCTTTTATTATCCCCATTTTTCAGAAGAGGAATCCGAGGCCTTGGGACCTACACCCACCCTCACACCCGGGCCCACGCTCACTTTAATAACCCGGACTGGGCAAGGACTAAGTCCAGCCAGAGCGTCAGCCTCGCTGGCGTCCTCACTGGCCATGGCCCTGCAGCCTTGCTCTTCAGTTCCTGGAAGCCTCCTGCCCTTGGTGGACAACCATTTTGCTCTCTAGCAAATGGATAGAAAAGTTTATGTGAGTCTGGCTGGGCGGGGTGGCTCACACCTGTAATGCAGCTCGTTGGGTGGCTGAGGCAGGCAGAGCATTTGAGGTCAGGAGTTCAAGACCAGCCTGGCTGACACCGTGAAACCTTGTCTCTACTAAAAATACAAAAATTAGCTGGGTGTGGTGGCGTGCGCCTGTAATCCCAGCTACTTGGGAGGCTGAGGTAGGAGAATTACTTGAATCTGAGAGATGGAGGCTGCAGTGAGCCGAGATCATGCCACTGCACTCCAACCTGGGCGACAGAGTGAAACTCCGTCTCAAAAAAAAAAAAAAAAAGAAAAAAAAAGAAAAGAAAAAAACGTGTATTTGAGTCTGGGCCCCGGCCTCTGTTGGACTTTGAGTAAATCTTAATTTAGCACCCTGAGCTGCAACTCCTTTCTCCTGACCCTGCCACCTGCATGCGCCATTCAAGTGGCTGCGCCCCAGGCTGCTCATCCCTTCCGCCCTGGGTCCCCATACACAGCAACCCCATGGGGTTTTTGTCCTGCTCCTTCATATTAATCTGCATTGGTGACTCCTTTGTCCCATCTTCCCTCAGCACACAGTAGGGCTGCTGGCAGCAGGTGAGGCCTGGGGCAAGGGCTCAGAGAGGCAAGATGCCATTTGGCCATGCCACCGAGTGAGCAGTTTCTCTTCTTGCCCTCCCAGGTGGCGTGAAGGGGAGATGGCTGCTTTCTCCTGGGAAGGGAGCAGATGCCTGGCCCAGGACCAAATCAAAAGGTCTGAAAAATGATATTCATTGTCC
This sequence comes from Homo sapiens, assembly GCF_000001405.40. Lineage (NCBI taxonomy): Eukaryota > Metazoa > Chordata > Mammalia > Primates > Hominidae > Homo > Homo sapiens. The sequence goes on from NC_000014.9 coordinate 100,894,796, forward strand.
TAATGTGTAAATTTCGACAATTTGCAAATTTGTAGATTCTTTAGAATAGAACTAACTCAAGCCCTTCATTCTGCAGCTGAGGCTCACTGCCCCCAGTGGGCAGTGGGTCCAGGGGGTTTCTGAGGACAGGGCATGACCCAGCCCTGCTGCCCCCAAGATGGCACCTGGCTTGGAGGGGTGAGGGGCCCTGTTAGTCTGACTTTGAAGAAGACCAGCCTTCCAGACTCGCTTGGTGCCCTGACAGGTATGTGTGCTCTTCTCTCTCCCACCTAACAGCCCCTTTTGGGAGACAGGGTCTGAGAGGAGTCAGGGTCGTATAACCTTAACACAGTGTGTTATCCAAAAACCCACTAACCCTGTTACTCTTGTCTGTCTGCTATGTGAAACCAAGGGCGGTGTTAAAGTTTATCACCATGATATACAGATGTGCGTGGGGACATCTGGGATGGGGCTCAGGGGTCTACCTGGAGGTCAGAGAGGGCAGGATCTGCTTAGGGGAGATGGATGACTGTGGGGGTCAGACAGGGCAGGGTTTGCTTAGGGGAGATGGATGACTGTGGACATGTGGCTGTAAATCATCCTCCCCGTCTTACATAGGATGGGGATGCAACTTTCAAGAGTTGCCTTGATTGGTACCTTAAAGGAAATAAAACATAAAATGCTTGGCACATAGTAGATGCTCAACACATGTAGAAAAGGCACTTATTTTAGGTGGATCTGCCGCCGAATGGCCCTTTTGCAAGCTCTTCTCATTTTTTGGAATCCAAAGGGAAGGTGTGGGGAGCAGGGTCGGGGTGGAGGGGAAGGACGACGTGAGGTTGCAGAGGGCATTTTCTTGAGGCAATGGCATATCTTTCATTGGTACTGGCTGGGTTTATGCGGACTTTGAGAGGAGTGGAGTGTCTCCAAGTGGGGCTACCCCAGCCTGCAGGTTGGATGCAGGTAACCTCAGTCTGGGCACTGCATTTTTATTTACCATAAAAATATTTCATATTTGCTGGGTGTGGTGGCTCACGCTTATAATCCCAGCACTTTCGGAGGCCGAGGCCGGTGGATCACCTGAGGCCAGGAGTTTGAGACCAGCCTGGCCAACATGGTGAAACCCCGTCTCTACAAAAATACACAAAATTAGCTGGGCGTGGTGGTGCATGCCTGTAGTTCCAGCTACTCAGGAGACTGAGGCATGAGAATTGCTCGAACCTGGAAGGCAGAAGTTGCAGTTAGCCGAGATTGCACCATTGCACTCCAGCCTGGGTGACAGCAAGACTCCGTCTCAAAAAAAAAAAAAAGAAAGAAAAATTGCAAAACTATAGCAATCACCTCAAGGTTTTCACAGGAATCAAACTCAGTCCAAACTAAAATGCTGTGTAATAAATAGTGGGGCTTCACGTGCAGGAAAGGCGATTAAGAGCGAGGCATGCAGGCCGAGGGCTGCTTAACCTGTCTCAGATTTCTTCCGCACAAAGTCATGGTTGAAAATAGGTCTCTGCCTGGCAGAGGGTAAAGAAGTTCTCGAAGGCCTCTGTCTGCATTAGCTTGGTGAGAGGGAAGACATTTAACCAATTAACCAATTAGTGATCTGTGCGGATGGAGACTGAGCAGGACGAGGGTGCCACCCGACTGGGTGTAAAGTGGGCTTAGTTTTGTCTTCTTGGTGTCTGGGAGCCTCAGTGCCTTTCTACGTAGATGGGAGTATGCTTGTCACATCCTTGTCACACAAGTAACCCTGTGCCTGTTTGAGGATTCCAAGAGCCTGTGACGGCTGCAGGGGGCCCTGAAGCTTAGTGTGCAAGCAGGAGCTGGGGACAGAGGGGCTTCTGACGGGAGTCGGGGTGCCTCCTCTGGATGTGGGGGTGGGCTAGGGTGGGCAAAGGTTGCTTCCCGTTCTCCTGCAGCTGACAGTTAGAAATGCCAGTGCCGTTTAGCCACAGTCCCTCTGGGTTAGAGTCGGGAAGAAACATGGCAGTTGTGTGTTTTGCACAGGAATCAAGCTGTCAGGGGGCACAGTGAGGCCCCAGCTCCTTACCAGCAAGCCGTCTAGGCTGCGAACGCGAGCCGCCGGGCCGCAGCTCTCTAGAGGTCCCTGTCCCCACCGCCTGGCCCCATCTCATGTCACATTCCCCCAAGGTCTCATTCCACTCGGCTAATCTCCAAGAACACCGGCCAGGGCATTGGCTTTCGGGTCCTTTTAAAGACCAAAAAGTAAAGCACTCCCCCGTGGGTGCTGGACAGCTTGGGAGGGATTTGGGGCTGTGGGTGGTGAAATCACAGCCCTGGGCACACACCTGCCAGCCCGATGTCACTGACAGGCTGCTCGGAGGCTTGGGGCTCCAGTGAGAGCATATAGATATTTTTTAAAAAACATATTCGCGATAAAATAAATCCCCTGTGTCTGCAGAACTTGCTCTGGGCATGTACCCACTCCCAATCCATCAGGAAACATGCCCTTTGCTTTGTATTTGTAAAAACAGAAACAAAAACAAAAACAACCCACAGGCGAACAAGCAAATTAAATCCCCCCCACACAAAATGTTTATTCTAATTATGCAAGAAATGGATTGATAATTAATACACGCATTAGTAAAAATCAAACACTGCAGATAAAGCCATCTTTAATGCTTCCCTCGATCCCTCCCCATCACCCCCCAGCAAATTAACTGCTCTTCTCAGTTTCAGGCGTCTGGTTCCAGATATTTTTTTCTGTGCATTTGCATATGTAGATAAATATACCTCTAAAATCTATGACTTTGTTTATTTTTTACATAAACTATATCATAGTGTACATTTCCTCTCGCAGCAGCTTGTGTTTCTTCCTTCAAGAGTCTGCTTAGAGATAATAAAGATCAACACTATTCCTTATAACAACACCTCAGTATCCTGCGAGCTGTACACACCAGAGTTTATTTAACCACCTTGCTGCTGGCATGAAAGCCTCAGGTCCTTTACCCTGGTTGGCGGGGGGGGGGGTGGGGGGGTGGGGGGCGGGGGGGGGCAGTGAATTGGTGGCGGCAGGTGTAAGTAATTGCTGAGATTTGGGTTTGGGGAGTGGGCTCACGAGTGTTTATGACATTATTATAAATGAATATATGAGTGCATAAATTAGCAAAATAAAAGGGGGCTTTTCTGGACCAATGATGAGACAGTGTTTATGAACAAAAGATCATGATTAATCCAGTTCTGCACAAAACACTGAGGTCCATTAGAAGACAATAGGTCTTGGCTGTTTCATTCCTTTTAAGAGCTGTTTAATATTCCACGGTATGTATGCACCATTGTTGATTACACTCTTCTACTGTTGAAAATCCCAGCTGAAAGTGCTCTGGGGGAGGAGAAGCTTTGGTCACAGTCCTAGCCGTCAGGGTGGGTCACAGATTCATAGGTGTTCATTAAATTATTTTTTAAAAAAGAATACATAAAAATGGTGCTTAATGCAGATCAGTGAGGAAGCGTGTCACAAATCGAGGTTTTAATTAATACGATTCTGCTCAACTAATGCCCGATAAAAAAGATCTAAGCTGTTTCCATTTTTTGTTGCTGTTACCAACGACACTGCAGTGAGCATTCTTGCAGCTAAATCTGTAAACACATCCTCGACTGTTCCTTTACCCCAGCTTCTTAGAGATGGGGTGGTGGGTTAAATTGTTTGCAAAAGTTTATTTTCATTGAGTGATCTTTCTAAAATGGCATTTTGACCTTGTTACTGTCTTGCTTTAAAGCCTCCATCTGACTTCCTGGAGCTTCCGGGACGGGGTCCAAAAAATAAGGCCTTATCCTGGCATGGAAGACCCTTTAGGGTCTGTCTTGGAACTTGCCAGCCTCAGCCCCTCCCCACTGGTGTTTACCTGCTAGGCGCACCTCACCCCCACGGGGCTACCTGTTTCTCTCAGCGGGCTCCCTACTTCTTAGGCTTTGCGCGGCCGTGCCTTTTCAGCCAGTTTCTCCCCGGCCTTAAAGAGCAGGCTTGAAATATCCCTGTTGGGGAGCCCAAAGTTAGATGGGCCCCACGAAACACTGTGTTCAGAAGCCCACCGAAGCCCTGACCCTGGAAGTGGGATGCCTCATTGACATTTTTTTCCCAATTAAAGGGAATGTTTTGCATTTTTCTAGAATTGATGAAACTGGTCAACTGTTACTCACCCTCCTTCCTTTGTCCCTTTCTAGGAGCCCTGGGCTCCCCCAGTGTTGCCTGGGTCTGACTTTGCCTCAGTGAAAACTGCCTCGAATTCTTTCTTGCACCGATGGGCAGATGGGCAGTGTCGGAGGATCGTGTCATCTGTCCCGTGGCGCTGGGTAAGTCTGCAGTGTTGTAAAGCTGCAAACACCCTTCTGGGTGGGGCTCAGGCTGGCACCCCCCCACTGCCCCAGCCTGCGCTATACCACGTTCCCCTGATGCTTGCCTTGTGCCGGGCCCCAGAACCCAGAGTCATGGGGTCCACAGCGCGGGAGTAGCGTCTCAGTGTTGTGAGTTCTGGGGATGAGGTTCGGGGTATGATTACAGCTTGGAAATGGCTGATTGCCATTATGGCTCCTCCTTGCCAGAGGTAAACGGGTCTGGTCCCAGAACAGGAGGAGGACATGTGATGACTGGAGTAACGATGAGGGGCTCTGGGGAAGGACAGGGCTGAGAGCAAGTGCTGGGACCTTTGGGACCGAGTCATATTCTAAAAAGAGCACAGGCTTTGGGGGAGAGGAGCTGTGAGGCCAAGGCAGCATCCCCCTGGGGAGCTTGTCAGGAGTAACAGGAGCCACTGGCAGTGTTTGGGCTTTTGGTCCCTTTTTTTCTCTCCCAGGGGAAGGGAGAAGGAGGCATTGCAGGAAGCCAGCCACCCTGAGCACAGACCCAGCTACAGAACAGACTTGAGCTGCGTGTCCTTGGCAAATCCCCAAGTGTTTCTGTGCCTTGGTTTCCTGATATTAAAAAAAAAAAAAAGGACTCATAATCTCTCTCACACAGGGCTATTGAGATCTCAATGAGGAAATAACGCAAATAAATCATCCAGCACAGTAGCCAACACGCAGTACCCAGCAAAACTCGGTAGCTCTCCCCATCTTACCCCGTCATGAAATGCTTAACCCCCTCCCTGAGACGGGCAGCTGCTCCCTTTCAGGGCAGGGAGACCCAACAGAGGACAACACAAATGCCAGAGAGAGTGTGAGGGGCAATAAAAGCTGATGCTCGCCTCCCTCCCAGACATCTTCCCAGGGAAAAGTGTGCTTTCTTGAACACCTGGGGGCCGGGGAAGGGGCTGCCCTACCACTTTGAATCGGGTTTCCCGAAAAGTTTGGTGAGAGTTTATTTTTATGTAAATAACATATAAAAAGTCAGACTTCTCCACAGGCAGATTTTTTGAGGCTCATATTTTACAGACTTTGGCAAGGGTCACTCGGAAGGAACAGTGGTTACAGTCTCCAGAGGTTCATAATTCCTGGAAAAACTTCTGGCCAAACCTGACTTCTCCTAAATTTCACAGAAAATTCTCCCTGGGCTGGGCTCAGGCTAAATGAGCTTTTTGTGTGTTAGTACAGCCTTACCTAGTGGAAGCATGACTTGCACGTTGCCCTTTACACAAAAGGGAACCTCCTCGGCCGCTGTGAACAAAGGCTCCGCTCTCCGAAATGTTTGATTTGTTTACTCGGGAGCGTGAGCCTGGTCAGGCACATGTCTGATACTGGGGCTATTTCTCTGCGGCCATATGTAGAGCTGTCCAGGTCTCTGCAATTTAACCCTGCGCTTCATGCCAGAATCCCATTTCCTAACTTCCTCAAGCAACGGGGCAAGGGAACCACAGCAAAAAGGAGTGTAGGGGGAGTGTTCCCTCCGTGTCCGGCAGGGGCTAAAGGGCTTGCTGCCCTGTGGCGTCTGCCTCTAAATAGGGATTTGGGTCGGTGACTTTTCACATCTACACCAAAGCCCTTCAGAACCCTTTCTGCACCACCAGCTATCCTGAACCAGAAATCCCTGTTCACAGAATTTCCCATGTGGGTGCCTCTTGTTCTGCACCCTGCATCGCGCCCCCTCCCCCGTTTATGTAAATGACACATGTAAATGTCACTCTCCCAAACATTTTCACACCTGCAGCTTCAAATCAACCTTTTAATAGGTTAAAACAACAGCACCAACAAAAACCAACAAAAACAGAGGCTCCCGAGAAACAAACAGTTTTTCCCGAAGGGCTTGCAGTGCCTAACTGAGCTGCCAGGGCCGTCTGTCTGTCTGTTAGCCAGGAAGGCAAACCAGCCTGCGCACTCCACCTGCAACACGATGCTGCCCCCCCACGGCGGGTCGGAGCAGCTGTGGCGACCCCAGGGCTGACAGATTGGGTTGTCAGGAGCAGGACAATGAGGCTGCAGTGAGGATGGGCTCCATCCTTGAATGACTCTGCCCTCCTTGAAATTTTTCTGCTCCATGGAGGTGCATCTCTGCCCCCGAGGACCTTGGGCATTTCACAGACAAGGAGCCCTGGCTGGCCTCGCAGCCATCCCCCATATGCACACACGCACACGCACAGACATGCGCGCACACACACATGCTGAGTGCCTGCACTGGGAGCATAAGGCAGAAAACTCCTTTGGAAACTGCAGAACAGAGCCTTGTCTAGCAGAGGTCCCCTGATAAAGGTCCCACAGTTCCTGGGAACTGAACCCCTGTGAATGGGCCAGGAGAGGCAGCTCCCGACTCCCGTGTGGGCTGCATTCATCAGCAGGCCGGCACCCCAGCCCTGTCACTGTGTGAGGAGCTTTCATGAGTCCACTGAACATGTAAGTCACAGTCTGGCAGCTGGCTGCATCTGTGGTTGCTGCTCAGCCTCCAGAAAAGGGCCCCTCAACCTGCCAGACCTCCTCGCTCCTTCCACTCACTCTGCCAGCCTGTTGCCCCAGAGAGGACACAGGCCAGCCTCTGTGGGCTCAGGAGCCAGGGCAGGTGCTTGGCCACTCTAGGTGTTCTGGCCCTCAAGAGGGGAGTTGGCAGCAGGACAGTCCCCACCTCCCCCCACCAGCCCTGGGCACTCAACCCCATTCTCTGCTCCTCTCCCTCATTGCCTTATTGGGACAGAGGCACCCCGCCAACCATCTCTGTGCCTTTGCCATTTAGCCCAGGGCAAGCTACTCGGGAGAGGCCAAATGGCCTCATACTGACCCCTGCCTGGTCCCCTCTGGCCACCTCGCTCACTTGCCCGCTTGCCTGCTCAGGAGTTGGTGCTGTGGGAGCTTCTCAAAGGCCTAAACATGTGGGCTGCCAGCCTGGGCAGGAAACCGTGCTGCAGCCTTCTCAGCCAAGCACTGGCCTGCCTCTCTCCCCTCGGATGCCTCCTGTAACAGGGAGCTCCCTCTCTCCCCAGGCAGCCTGCTCAGGGCTCGCACGCAGAGCTGCTTTGCTGAGCCCTCCCCTGCCTTTTGCATCTGCCTCCTCGGCTGTGCAGCAGCCCCCTTGCCCCCTCTGCCCTCCGATCTCTGCAGGCTGTGGGCTCCCTCTCTTTTCAGTCCTCTCCTTTCTGTGCTGAATGGCAATACCCCCACCAATGGTGGGAACAGGATTGGGCGCCTCTACACCTGTCCTAACACCTCTGTCTCTGTTCTTTTAGACCTGGGACAGAGCCCTTTGCCCTGCTGTTCTGCTAAAAGCCCAGGGGAGGGCGTGGTGCTCCCCTCCTGGGGCCAGCTGCTCCATGTCTATCTGTTGAGCGGCTTCTCAGCCCTCTTGGGTTTTCTATGGCCCCTTTTCCAGTTGCTAGGGAGAACGCTCTGTATGCAGCCCCCTGCCTTTTCTGCAGGAGCTGCTGGCCTCCCGGCCAGCCCTGGTCAGCCCTGCAGTAGCAGCAGCAGCAGCAGCAGCAGCAGTAGGCAGCCACAGCAGGGCTGGGGGCTCCCGAGCCAGGCAGACCGGCTTGACTCCCTGCTCTCTAGCTGCAAGACAATTCCCTTTACTTTTCAGACTCGGCTTTTCCCCTGTGAAATGGAGATGAGAGTTTCTCCGTCACTGGCGTGAAGTGAGGACTAAATGAGATAAGTGTAGGCTTGCACACATCAGACACTTCATAAATGCTTGTGGAGTAGACGGTGGGACCCAGGGAGGGAGAGAGAGGTATGTAACAAGTGTCGCAAGAGAGAAAACAGCCTGGCCTTTCAAGACCCTGCTCCCAATACAAACGGGAACCTCTCCTGGCAGAGTCCCCTCTGCTGGCTTAATCGCACAAATCAAGTCAGCCGGAGGCAGCCCCCGGCCTGTGGAACTCACAGTAGATGCAGCAGGCAGCATAAATGACATGCAGAGCCCACATCTGCATTTAATAGACCGAGAATTTGCATTGTATATAACAGCACGAGGGGTAAAGCATGAAGGCATAAAGGAACAGTTTTTCCCGGCGGCTTCCTTGAAGGGCCAGCTTAGACAGGGGTCTGGGGAGGAGAAACTCAGCGGGGTCCGGGCATCCCATAGACTATGGGACAGACATCCATCCATGCACTCATTCTCCAAGCCACCACAGTGTACCTACCTTCCCCGGGCCCAGTCCCAAGCGTGAGGCTGGGGATGAAGTGATGCCGGTGGCTTAGTGATGCCGGTGGCTTCCTGTCCTCGAAGCTCAGTCGGTCTGGTGGGGGAAACAAACAGGGAATAAGACACTGGAAATTGAGGTGATCAAGAGGGGGTGCAGGCATGGAGATTTATGGAGCCCCGTCTTGGAGCCAAGTCCCGAACTGGGCTGTCTGCAAAGAACTCACCCGGGCAATAACCCTGCACACTGGTCTCATGAGCCCCATTAGATTGATGAGGAAACTGAGGCACAGAAAGGCAAAGTCCTATACTCACCGTCTCTCAGCTGGTGTGAGGCTGGGCCAGGATGGAACCCCAGACTCTCCGAGGCTCCCCACCACACCCTGCTGCTGAAGGCTGCTCAGCGAGGCTGTGCCGAGTGCTGGGGGGGTGTGGGTGGGCAGGGGACGGATTGATTAGTTATAAGCACCTCCCAGCGGTGCTTGAGATCCCAGCTCCTCTGTGGCCCAATCCGTTTGAAGGGCAGATTCAAAATTAGGTGGTAGCACCTATGGGCAGAGGCTTATGAAAATGGCATTATTAACCTGATGTGGAGAGGGCCCTGCCTGTCTGCAAGTAGATTGCAGATAGAGACGGAGGGGGCTGGGCTTGTTTGTGTGGACAGTGAGTTAGAGAGGACAGAGAACATCCAGGGGCCCTCCAGGGCTTCCGGACGGGGAGAACCAGATCTGGAGGGGCTGGACAAGTGGGAGGGGGAAGAGGGGTACGTCTTAAGGGTGCCCCGGCACCTCAGGGAAATGCCCCAGGCTGGACTTGGAGGAGGATCTCCAGCCTTGACTCTGACACAGACAGGGACTATGGCCCTCCCCGCACCTCGGTTTCCCATCTGTGAGATAAGAGATGGAAACCAAACGTCATTTCGAGAAAAGCCCCCATTCCCACCACCCTCCTGGCCCCCCCCTTCCCCCACCACCCCAATCACGTTTGCCAGACACCTGTCTGCTTGTCAGAGCAATATTCAACAGGAGAGTTCCTTCGCTTCCTCCCTGGAGGGAGAAGGGAGAGGTGTGGACGGGGAGAGGGGAGGGGAGAGGTGCCCCCCACTCAGAGAGGCCGCTGAGCAGAGTTCTGCATCGGGTAGGAGTTGGGCCACCGAAGATTTGTGCCAACTCACGGTGCGGTGGAATCAGACAGTCTGAATTCTTCAGACACCAGCCAAGAGTCTGTGGCGCCCCCACGTGCCACAAGGGGGCTGCCTGGGCCACATTTCTGAGCCCGAAAAGTGAGGAGGGGGACAGTCAAGAGGGACCGGCGCTTTTGCTCTGGCAGCGGCGCTTTTAACTGCGACAGATGCGTGCGGTGCGGCGGGGGAGCCGGCCGTGCCGGGGCTGGGGGCTGCTGGGCGGGGGTGGTCGGGGCGGGGGGCGGGGGCTGCAGGTTGCGCCCCTCCCTCACAGACGGCTGCGCTGCAATGCAGCAGGCTGCGGGAGCTGTCCCGGGAGCTGTCCTGTCCGGTGGCCGGCTTTCCAAAGTGGGGAACGAGAGATGAGGGAGGGAGCACTTCCAGGCGCTGCGTGGTGGCCAGGCGCCCAGGAAGCCGAGGGGCCCGAGACTCTGCAGCGGGGCCAGAAAGAGAAGAGTGGGGGAGGAGGCCGGGAGTGGTGCATGGACCAGGGGGTAGAGGGAGGTGGGTGTGGACCTGGGGTCGGGCGCCAGTCAGCTTGCAGCCTATGAAGGACGGAAAGGAGGGCTACAGAGATAGGGGAAGAGTGGGGCTGAGGATAGCCAGAGCGGCTTGGCACACAGTTTTAGGGTAAAAGCATCAACTCTTATCTTTCCAAAAGAAATAAAAAAGCCAAAAAAAAAAAAAAAGGCATTTGAAAGCTAGACAGCTGAATCCTTCCCAGCATGACTGAGCCGGTCACTCCAGGGTCTTCCTTCAAAGCGTGTCTAATGGGAGACAGCGTTGTCCCAGTAACCAAATTGGGACCAGAGTCCCAGGGAAGGGCTCATCAGGTGGCCGCTCTGCCTTGAAGAGTGGTACCCTCAGGCCCTTTTCCAGCCAGGGGTCAGGGAGAGAGCTGGAGGGCTCGGGGAGGCAGGGACTGGGAGGGAGAGTGGGGAGAGGAGCGCTGGGGGCTGCAGGAGGGTCTCTGGGCAGCTGGCGGGTGTCTCGTTCCGCAACACTCTGCACCCTGGTACATCGTCCTCCGTCCACTCAACGTGGAATGATTCTCTTCCCTCTGGATCCAGCCCCTCTAGTTCCCTTTTCACTTTGAGGCATTTGCCCCCTGTGAATCAGTTCCCTGCTACTCCAGAAAATTTCTCTCATACCCCAGGCCCCTCTGTTCTTTTAAATGGCACCCTTCACCCCCAGCCCTTCATCTTCTGCACTGTATTTTCACTTGTTGATTTAAAAATCCCTTTATTATGGGAAATTGCAAACAACACAAAAGTAGAGAAAATAGTACGTATTTTTACTGTTTACTCAATTTTCATCTTGCCATTACCCGGACACGGTTGCCGTCAAACCCTGGCCCCTCTTGTTTCATCTAAACCCTAAACTGTCCCTCTACTCCCACTGCCCAACCCCTACCCCTGGACTATTTCGAAGCAAATTTCAGACACCATCCTGTTTCCTCTGAGCATTTTTTAGTTTGTATCTCTAAATAAGAAGCTTTTGTTTCTTAAAAATAAAACCACAACACCATTATCACAAGTTAAAAAATTAATAGCCTTTCCTTAATATCATCCACCATCTATGTAGCATTCCAATATTCTTGATTGACTCATAAATTTCTTTTACAGTTGGCTTGGTCAAGTCAGTGTTCAAACTATCTCCTGCTCTTTCAAGGGGATCTGGGGCTCTAGAAGGTAAGTATGGCTACACATTTAGGGGTTGAATATCTGCCTGGACCTTAAATGAGAAACTCAACCTCAGCAAACCTCAGTGTTCTCACTGAAAATGGGGCAAGTTCTGGGTCTCTCCTTGGGTCATTGAGAGGGTTAGAGCATTAACCCCTGAAGCCCCAGCCGCATGTCTAATATGTCAGAGACACTCAGCAAACAGTAGCTGCGAGAATGATTCTTTTTCCCAGAAACGTTTAAAGGGGATTTGGGCAGGGGCAGGCAAAACATAGCTGGCTATTGTCCATAAAACAAAAGGCTCCTGGCAGTCCAGGTCCCCTGAGTGGTTAAAACAGCACATGCACTACATCCCAAAAAGGGCAGCCTACAGTCTGGGGGCTGGGTTCGCCTGGACCTCCTGGCTTGCCGTTTAGCTGCCTGACCTCAGCTGTTGTGACCTGGGACCAACAGGGGACCCCGGCAGGTGCCTATCCACTAGATGGCACTCTCTACTGTGAGTCCAGGGGGGACCACCACCCCAAACTGCTTTGGCCACTGCCCAGCCCTGGGTGCCACCGGAAGATGCACACCACTAAAACATCGCAGATAATTTCTAAAAAGCACTTCTCAACATGTCATGCAAAAGATGCGGTGGTTTATTTCCTTGCATAAATCCCAACCAGATTGCAGAAGCAGAGGGAATGAACATTTAATGACTTTGCTGAGGCCAGACACTGGTATGTCTACGCTCTCTTTAAATCCTCATCCCAGCGACATCTGATTTCCCTTCATTTTACAGATTAGAGGACTTGGAGAGGTTAGTGACTTGCTCGAGGTCGGCTAGGAAGCAAGACCCAGGATTCCAACTCAGGTCTGTGTGATTCCTCTGCAAAATGGAGAGGTGGAAGGATGGATGTCAGGTCTGATGGATGGATGGATGCCTACATCAAGATACATGCATAGATGGAGAGATGGCTGGCTACCTCATGAATGCTGGTAAGATGGATGAGTGAATTGAAGCACAGGTGGTGGAAGGAGAGAGGAATGAGAGAGGATAGTCAATTTCCCACCAAGATCAAAGGCTTACTTGATCTTTGAAGAGAGGTTCCCTCTGAATGGAGCTTGCTGGTGAAGCTCCTGCCTTCTGTTCTGCTTCTGAGCGCACTGACTGGCTCAGGTGGCTCTGGGACAACAGGTGGGATGCCAGCTTACAGGGACCAAGTCCCAGCTGTGGTGCTGGAGCTGCTCAGTGGCAACTCTCCGTCTCTGCTGCTTTCACGCAGCACTGACGAAGAGCAGGCATCCGCCTTTCCACTGGCTCTCCTGGATGACTAAGCCCTAAGCCCCAACCGCATACTCAGCCCTTCACTGGCACTTGGCATAATTTTATCTCCTCTAAATCATCACAGCCACCCTCCATGATAGCAATTTCTATTCTCAATTAAGTGAAAAGGAAACCGAAGTTTAGGAGTGGTAAGTGACTTACCCAAAATCGTATAAGGAGGAAATGCAGACCCAGGATTTGAACTCGAGTCTTCTTTCCTTCCAAACTCATCCCCTCAACCTGTTTATTTCCTTTTCTCTATGACCATGTCTGAAGAAATCTGCCTTGGGGTTGTCTCATATTGGACTCACTCTCTTGGTCTGTCAGTGAGCTGAACTTCTCATCCAATCAAATCCAAGCTTATTTCCCAAGTAATATCTCTAGTGTATTCTATTTGTAATGATCACACAGGCAAGGGCCACACATATCACTGGCATCCTACAGTACAATTAATCAAGTCAAATTAGATTCCTGGCATCTCATATTCTGACTGAATGCTAATGGTAGTAGATGTAAAAATGACTCCAGTGCAAGGCAAGGAGGGAGGGGACTGGATGTAGGGCTGAATGGCGAATCAGTAAGCCTTGCTGCAGACCTGGGTTAACATTAGCAGATAGGTTTTGAGAACCTGCTCATGGGCTAGGCCCTACTTCACACATTCTAGGTGCTAAGGTTTCAATCTCAGCTTTGCCATTGACTACTTTTGTGAGTTTGGACAAGGTATTTAATTTCTGTGCCGCGTTTTCTTCAGTTGTACCAACAGTACCTTACTAATACCGATAGTACCTTACTAATGAGTACTTGAGGATTAAATGAGGCAAACATATAAATTCCTTAAAAGAGAGCATTCCAGGCTGGGCATGGTGGCTTATGCCTGTAATCCCAGCACTTTGGGAGGCTGAGGTGGGAGGATCCCTTGAGCCCAGGAGTTCGAGACCAGCCTGAGAAACATAGGGAGACCCCAATCTCTACAAAATATTTAAAAATTATCTGGGTGTAGTGGTGCACATCTGTGGTCCTAGTTACCTGGGAGACTGAGATGGGAAGATTGCTTGGGCCTGGGAGGTCAAGGCTGCAGTGAGCCATGGTTGTGCCACTGCACTTTAGCCTGGATGACAGAGGGAAACCCGGTCTCCAAAGAAAAAAAAACAAAAACAAAAAAGAATGCTTTCCAGATGTTGAGCATTCAATAAATATTTACTTACAGTGAAAATTACAGTTGTTATAAGTATTGTTATTGAGGTGTCATTTGATATCATTGGCAGGTAAGAATCATTATCCACATTTTACCAGTAACTGAACAGGTGCTCAGAGAGGCCTGTGTGCTTGTCTTTGGAGAATGCATCAGTGAAATAGAAACAGAAATACTAATTTAAAACTAGAAGTTCTAGTGATAGAAGTAAGAGTTCTACACAGCAAATGGGCATGATCCATCTAAAGAAAGATGAAACCCTAAGAGAGGTGAGACTCCTGTGAAGGAATTTCCTTGCAGTATAGGGGCTTACACAGGGGTTGCATGGTTGCTGGGAAGAAGCTGAGTAGGTCAAAGGCAAGATAAATAATTACAGTCCTCTGAATCCAAGTTTCTGAGGTTGAAATTCATTAAACTTCATGGTTTCTAGCAGTAGTGGGCAAGGTTCCCCAGTTCTCAGATATGATTTCATTAAACTTCTTTCCCTTCCTATTTTTTGGGGGAGAAACAGTCACTTGAGAAATGTTTCTTGACTTGCTCTTTTGGAGGTGGCCAGTTGGAAAAATTCTGAGTCTCTTACCATGAGGGGCATGAGGACTGGGAAGCCTCCTCCTTTTCCTGGGGCAGCACATCTGTAACTGGAGCCTAGGTGGCATGTGGCTGCACATCACATGGGGTGCCTCTGGCGGGGTGCAATCGGATGCCCTAACAGCCAGGCGGGAGGAGATGGGTTTAGCATTGGTGCTGACTTGCTGGGCTGTGTTGAGGATAAGCTGTGATCCCAGCATTGCCTGACTTCAGATTCTGTGCCAGTCCTGTAAGAACTGTTGCCCCTGCATCTCCTCCAAGATGGACAGTCTATTTATTCATCCAGGTCCAATGGTACATCCTGGGGATTCCCTCTGCTTCTGGGGCTGCCTGTGTGGGAGGTCAGAAAAACCTTCGCACCTCCCCCCCAGCCCCCGCCACGTGATTTATTCTCACACTCACATTGCGGGCTGGCAGTGGGACATTGCTGCCAAAACGAGGCTTCCGGAAGAAGTGGTAAGGCCGACTCTGGAGCGACACTGCCCGGGTTTGCCTCCTGGCTCAGCATTTCCTTGCTGTGTGACCACTTATAAGTCACTTAACTTCCCTGAGTCTCAGTTTCCTTAGGTATAAAATAGGACTAGTAATGCTTTGCTCAAATATCATCATCTCCGTGAGGCCTCCTCCCTGGTGTCACTCCCTACCCCCTTCCTGCTTTATTTTCCTCCCTAGTTCTTACCACCATCTTTTATCCCATGCATTAGGCTTACCTTTTCTGATGATTTTCTGTTCCTATCTCCACCCACAGGGATGTTAATTCTCATGGAACCGGGATCTGTCCGTTTTGCTCACTACTGTATCCCTGGCACTTAGACCCAGCAACAATACAAAGTGCATGCTCAGAAATTTTGGGGAAAAATTTATGAGATACTATTGAATTGTATCCACCCCAGAGGAGTGTCAATGTATGCAAAGTAGGCAGTGTGGTGCTTGGTACAGAGTATGCATTCAATAAATATTGGCTAATTATGATTATTATGTCTAATTCACAGGACTGTTGTGAGAATCAAACGAGATAATGTATGCTGAGGCATGCTGTGAACACTACGTGCTGGGTACAGGAGGTACAATATTAATGATCCCTGCTGCTTGGAGGGAACTTGCACTTAAAATGTTATGCTTTTCATTTTCACACCACTTAGGAGGGAGGAAAGGCTGGTGGGACGATCGCCACCTGAGGCTCAGGGAGGGGACAGGCCTTCTCCAAGGCCTCACAGTATGAAGAAGGCAGGGGCAGGTCCCCACACTGGTGGTCTTCCCACGACTCCCTCATGACAGTCCCCCAATGGACAGATTGATGTGTAAATGACGTTATACACCTACACCATAACTCTATATAATATATAGAATTATTTTCAGGTCCCTGAGTTGCTCTGAGGCCAGTTGTGGCAGGTGGTACACACCCAGGACAAGCTGGGGGGAGGGGTAAGAAGGAAACTGGCTGTGTATCTTTGGTAAGGCCCATAGTGAAGCCTCTTTTGGTTTCTTGGAATCAAGTTGAACATCAAGAATCTCACTGCATAGACTTCCCCAAGGGCAGTCCCACTTCACAAAATGAATTTTCATTTTCCAAAGCACATCCCTTAGTTGGATTTCTGTTTTTCAGTGTATTTGTTTAAGCTCTGATGCCATGTCCAAAAAAGAACATGCCCGAACAATTCCCTGCCCGAGTCCCAAACCCTTGGCTTGATCTGAGCATTGAACTAATTCATTTCTTTGATCAAACTGGGGACTGTTTGAGCAGTGGGCTGGGCGTCATGGGACGGGGAAAGGGTGGGGTGTGCGCAGGTGTGCAAGGCGGGCTACTTGAGGGATGGGCGATAGTTCAGGTCACCCTCCGGTTGGACCCACGAGGGCGCTGCATTCCTCATTCTACAAACCGTACAAGTCGGGGCACAAGACAGAGAAGCCAGGTCACGTCTCTGCAGTTACACAGCTCACGAGTGCCTGCTGGGGTGGAACCTGGTCTGTCTGTCTGTCTAACACCAGAGCTCGGGCGCTGCTGCAGAGGGAGCCAAGATTTGGGTGAGGGAGGGGGCTCAGAGGTGGGATGGAGGGTTTTTTTGTATTTTTTTTTAACCTGGTTGCCATTGGCTTGAAAATAATAACATAACTTTGCTTGGGGACCCCCCACTGCAACTATCTTGCTGATGGGGAAACAGGCACAGAGACGTTAGTTTGCTTTGCTGATGTCACCCAGCTCGTCTGGCATTGAGGCTGGATTTGGGAGGTGGGTACTGAGGTGTGAGCATATGTGCTGCAACCACTGGGCCCACTGGCTCGTGGTGTGTGCGCAGGTGCAGATGGCTCAGTGATCTGGGTTTGAGGGCTTTTACCAATCCCCCCAGCAGTGGGTGTACTCTGAACTCAAGCTTGTGTATTTCACACTCTCCCTCGACCCTTCTCTTTAGCCTTCACTGAAAACTCCTGCAAGCCACTGACCCATGGAAAATATTTAAGAATACATATATTACATATATGTTGTAAATTTATATATATATATATCTGGAAAGGGATTGTATCCAGGAGATTTGGGAGTGATTGTTTAAGGTAGAGGGAGGCAGGGGCATGAGAGGGGGAGGGATGGAGGTGGGGACCACCAGTGGTAATTCTCGTGGGTGGTTTTAACAATCAATACAAGAAGAGAGAGACATGCCAGCAGCAAGGACGGGAGTGGGTTGTAAACCAGGGATGGTGATTAATTCTTCACAACTGAGGGGCATTAAAAAAAGAAATCAGAGTGGTTCGTGGCTATTAATTTTGTTATTAAAAATAATCAAGGAATAAAGAAATAAGGTAATAAAGGCCTCGAATGGAACAATTCTGAGAATGTGTTCTGGGCAAAGGATTATGACTAATCCAGGTCTGGTAACCTGATATTAACAAACAAAAAAGGCCTCGTAGGCTATTTTCTTTTTTTAACCGGCTTTATGTTCCATAGAATGGGCACACTGGGGTTTCTCTCCCAGAGAAGGTGAGTGCAGACAAATAAAAGCCGGCTTTGTGGGTGTTGATTGAACAGTTAAAAATGAATGAATGCGTAAATAAAACCAGAGACAGCCAAGCATGTACCAATGATGGCAATGTGTTCCTCACTCCCCAGCTTTATAAATATATAATTGATAAATCAGTATTGTATGTATTTGTATTGTATTTAAATTGTACAGTGTGACATTTTGATATACATATATATTGTGAAATGATTACCATAATCAAGCGAATTAACATACCCATCACCTCATGTAGTTCCGTTTTTCCATGT
This sequence comes from Homo sapiens, assembly GCF_000001405.40. NCBI lineage: Eukaryota > Metazoa > Chordata > Mammalia > Primates > Hominidae > Homo > Homo sapiens. The sequence continues at coordinate 100,912,503 of NC_000014.9, forward strand.
GTGCAGTGAGAATACTTAAGGTCTACTCTTTTAGCAAATTTCAAGCATGAAATACATTATTGTTAACTATAGTCACCGTACTCTGCATTGGGTTACCAGAACTTACTCCTAACTGCATCTTACTCCTAAGTTTGCATCCTCTCACTAAGATCTCCAGATTCCTCTCACTCCTGACCCCTAGTAACTACCTTTCTAGTCTCTGCTTCTGTGAGGTTATTCCAAAACAAAAGCCAGGTTCTAGGCTGTTGAGGCTGAGGGTAGGAAGTGTATCAACAGGTATACAGAATAGTCACTGGTCTTGGGCTAAATGGTGACTTCAAGTGTAGTGGCTGCATAGTCAAAAATGAATTAGATGAGTACAAAAGTGACGAAATGAAAGAATGTCAAGAATGGACCACAAAGACAGTGTTTTATGACCTAAAGATTAAGATTTATCCATTTGTGTACAATTGTGGACTATATAAAATAAAACAAGACTTTGACCTCAGTGGATAAGAAGTATTTGGATGTACTAATCAATATTTTTGGTCTGGGTCAGTGGTGGGTTCATCTGTGTTTGTTGTATTTAAAAAAATAAATGAAAACATTGAAAAGGGTGAGTAGGAATCAAATATGATTGTCACTCCAAGTCTGCGTCATCTGCATCCGTTAGGAAGAATATCTGGGTTGGTTCCTTCTTGGGTAAGATGCACAGGGACATATGTTTGTGAGAGTCATGATTCTTGTTTTTGATTAGAGTGGTGAATTAATACACACTCATTTGTAATAATACAAATTAATAAATGAATAATTGCGGAGAGCTATGCTTGGGCCAGTGGTGAGACTGTCATGAACCAAAGATTATGATTAATACTGTGCTTCTCACCTGATGGCCATTAAAAAAATCTAGGTTTTTTCATCCTTTTTAATATCAGCCTTGTGTTCCACAGAATGGAGGCTCCAGAGTGAAATTAATGACACTTTGTCGATGAAGATCTTGATTGTGACCTCTGTGGAAAATGAGCCATGAACCAACCAATGTGAGTAATGTTTAGTGTTGTTGTTTTGAAGTTGGGTGGTTGGTTGATGGTTGTTTATTACATTATTAAACATGAATCAATACATAAATAAGGTCAAAGATGACGGGCATGATGAGAATGTCATGAACCAAGGGTGATTAATTTCATATAGCGTAACTGTTACCAAATTAAAAAACAATATTACTGGGCTGTTCTCTGTAGCAAATGAGCAAAGAAAAAAAGGAACACACACACACACACACACGTATACTACATATATATCACATGTATCATGTGTTATGTTTATACATGTATCCTATATATATATCACATACGTAATATGTGTTATGTTTATTTTTCATATTTGCAGGCTGGGGTGGGTTTATATATGTTTATGGGGTAATTAAACATAAATGGATGCATGTATAAACAAGATCAAAGAGAGTCAAGCATGGACTAATGAAGACAATGTATCATGATCTAAGATTTATGATTGCACAGCTCTGCAAATTGGAGAGACATTGAAACACAAATATTTATGCTGTTTCATTCATTTCAGTAGCATTCCACTATTAATTTATGCACTACACTTTTGCATGAACACTTCCCTATTGAAGAAGTTTGGGATGTTATGTCGGTGGCAGAGAGTCACATAGGGAAGTAAGGTATTGGTCGTTTTCTGTTTGTTGAATAGGATTCGTGATTGTTCTTTCATGATTTTTGTTTAAAGCGATAAATAAAACTTAAAAGGGCCAAGCATAGATAATGAGGATAATATTTCATGTAAAGTGAGGCTTATTAATTAAATTCTACACAAGTAAAAGTCATTAAAAATGATCCAGGGTGTTTATTTTTCTAATAGTTGCTGTTTGTTGCACAGAATGGACAAATCATAGTTTATATAGTCATGCAGTATTTATGAGAATGTTGACTCTTACTTGGGTAGATAAGGTACTTAAAGAAAATGTAATTAATAGTTGATGTTGTTAAATCTTGGCTGGAGAGTTGTTTAAGGGTGTTCATAAATGAGTAAATGAATGAATGAACAAACACATGAATAAAACAAGAGAGGGCAAACATGGGACAAAGGTGATCATATCTCATTGTCGTAAATTCTTTTTATGTAGCTTCAGCATCCGTTTTCAACCTAAGTTTAACTTTCTCATTCCAGAAGCAGGCTTAGTCACCCTTGACACAGTTTGCAGTTATCCACCTCCTCCAAGTTCTTAATATGTTAGATCCAGATAACTGCCTTGTACAGCCACCTCCAGGATACTGCCTCCCTAAAAAACAGCTAGATACACTGACCCCACAGCCTATGTGGACCACACAGATATAGTGGCTTGCTCTAAATGCACCAGTGAGAACTCTCTGCAGGAAACCTGCTTGGGAAATGCCATAGCCTGCAATACAGGCTTTCCCCTTCCCGCTGGCCCTGTGAGGCATGCAGGATCTGTAAGTAATAAACTGCTTCTGTTGTTTCATTTCATGTGTTTTGTTGAGTTGCTTCCTCTGTGTCTCACCTGACCAACACACTTGAATTGAACTTCTTTCCTGGTCAGGGATCTCCTAGAGAATGGCTATCTTGGCAGGAATAGACTAGATGTAGGTCAGACAAGAACCACAGGGGTACTGCCAGTGTAAATGAGTTTCCTATGAGAGGGACACCTGGTAATGGATAGGATGCTTAGGCATTAGACTGTCTGCTGGGATAAAGACGTATCCCATAAAAGATACGCTGTAAACACCCATGACCACCTCTCCTGCATCCCCATCAGGCAGAGCTAGAATTTATATTCACTCTCTTGAGACAGACCTCAAGACCATGTTAGAAGAAAGTACAACACTCATCATCCTAGAATTATGATTATTCCAATTCAGTTCATCCAAGGTCCCTTTAAAAATGCATTGGTTAAAGAGTCAGTTAATATTCTTTTTTTTGGCATGGTGGCATGTTGGATGTTGATTTTAGTACTAAAAATAAATAAATAATTACCTAAGTGTGTAAAATAAACAAAAGGCCAAAACATGGACTGGTGATGAGAATGGTCCAAGAATGAAAGCATTATAGTTAATTAAATTCTGACTGCCACACAAATAACCTACCCTGTTTCACTTCCTTTACCAGCTGTTTTGTATTTCATTTTGTACATGAACATAGTTTATTTACACGTTTGCCCATAAATAGAAATCTGGGCTATTTACTCTGACCAAGGAGCACACAAAGAGATGAAAGATGACGTCAGTGTTCTATTAGTGGAGTAACAGATTGGATTTATGATTGCTCATTGCAACTTCTTTAGAAATGATCAAATCAAATAAAAGAGTGTCAGCATAAACCAATGATGATGTTTCATGAAGCAGAGATCATGATTAATCCAATTAGGTTCATTAGAAAAAGTTCTAGAATATAACCTAAGAGTATTTTCTAGTATTGCCCAATGGAACTTTCTTTCTTTTTTTTTTTTTTTGCCTTGAGACAGGTCTCACTCTGTTGCCCAGGCTAGACCTCCCTGTGCTCAGGTGATCCTCCCACCTCAGCCTCCTGAGTAGCTAGGACTACAGGTGTGCACCACCATACCCAGCTAATTTTTGTATTTTTTGTGGAGACAGGGTTTCTCCATGTTGCCCAGGCTGGTCTTGAACTCCTAGGCTCAAGCAGTTCACCGGCCTTGGCTCCCAAACAGCTGGTTACAGGTGCAAGCCACCATACCCGTCCGCAGTAGAACTTTCTGCAGTGATGGAAATGTTCTGTAATCTGTTCTGTACAGTATGGTAGCTACTAGTCCATGTGATTATTGAGTCCTTGAAATGTGGCTGGCGTTCATGAGTAACTGAATTTTTAATATTACTTAATTTTTATTAATTTAAATTTAAATAGTCACATGTGGCTACTGGCCCATGCAAGTCTGATATCCAGTGGGGCAGTCAAATTTTAAAGCTACTACATTAGTCAGTTGTGTTAGGTGGTTGGTTCATGGCAGTTTTTTGAATATTAAATATGAATACATAAATACAAAAGTTAAATAAAAGCCTAAGCATGGACCAGTGATGAAAGTGTGTCATGAACCAAATATTATATCCATACATTTCTCAACAGATGAAGTCCATTATGTAAAGGTTTCTGTTTCTCCAGTTATGGTTAAGGATGAAAAGATTATCTATCTATCTATCTATCTATCTATCTATCTATCTATCTATTCATCTATCTATCTATTATCTATCTATCTATCTATCTATCTATCTTTCTATCTATCTACCTACCCACCTATCTATTATATATCTATCTATCTCTATAATATACTACTGTTTTTCTTGGTTTTGATGGTAGATTCGTGGTGTTTTACTTGATTATGTTATAAAAATCAATAAGTGAATACATTTTTAAAATTCAAAGACCTTAAATAAATAGGTTATCTGTCTTCTATATGGTAAATATTCTATAGACACGAAGGTCACAAGAACCACTCCCACTTACAAAAAGAATAGGAGGCACTGAGCAGTGCCACCCCACGGCAACTCCGTAGTCCTGCTGGGCAGATGATGTGGGCTCTCCTTACCTGGGCCTGTCACTCATATAAGTGGGGACACATAGAGAGGGGTTTGTAATGGTCATCATTCTCATTTTTATTTTAGGTGATTCACTCCATGGTGTTCATTAAGTTAATAATTAAAATAATCAATTGATTAAGTCAATTAAGAATGAAGTGTTAATTGTGGGTCAGTGGTGAGAAAGAGGGCCAGCCATGGACCAATGTTGAGAATGTGGCACAAGCCAAGGATTATGGTCAATCCAGTATATTAAAATTTTAATATTTCTTTAAAAAGTTTAAATCTAGTCTCTTTCACACCTTTTCACACCTGCTTTCTCTTCTACAGAGTGAGTGCACCGCAGGTGATCAGCTATTCTGTAATGATGAGGGCCGGGCTGCTTTCTCTGTGGGCAAGGAGCATGGAGGCTGATGACAGGACAGTCAGGGTCCTTGTTCTTGGTTTGGATGATTTGCTCATGGATGTTGACTGTATTATTTAAAAGAAATAAATAGCTCTACATATTAAAATATTGCAGAACATGCATGGACCAATGATGAGAATGTTATATGAATCAGTGTTCATGATTAATCCAATTCAACACCACTTCTATTAAGAGTACAGTCAGGCTATTTTATTTGTGCTGCTGGCAGTTTAATATTCATATACATTTTACATCACTGTTGATTTAAACAGTCCTCCATTGATATACACCTATGCCATTAACTGCTTAAGAGGGTATCACAAAGGAAGATTGAAAGTAATTATCAGTATTCTATTGGGCAAGAAGATGGTGGATTTATAGTAGCTCATTGTGTCATCTTTGAAATATAGACAAATTAAAAGAAAGAGGGCTAAGGATGGGCCAGTGATAACTGTGGCATTGCTATGTATGAAGAATGTTGATTGATCCATTGATCCATGTGTGTCATACTGAGATGCGTTATAGGAAGAGATCTAGTGTATTATCTCTGTGGGAAATTAGATTATAGACATGCACAGTCTAGTATCATCAGTGCTAGCCACTGGAGCTACTGTGCACTTGGAATGTGACTAGTCTAATCGACATGTGATCTACATGGAAAAATACACACCGAGTTTAGAAGCCTCAATATGAAAAAGGTAAAATATTTCTAGAATTATTTATATTTATTAAATGATAGTATTTTAGATATTGGGCTAAATAAAATACACAATTACAGTTGATTTCATCTTTTTCTTTTTACTTTTTAAATATTGTAGCTTCTAGAAAATTTACAAGTATTCGTGTAGGTGGCATTATATTTTTTATTGCTCAGCACTGCTATAATCCAATGAGAGGAATATTCAATTTTATGTTTTTCTAATCCATGGGTACTGATTGTATTATTATTGGCTAATCAGTGATGAATCAATGACAAGTGAATAAATGAATGAGAAAAAAATGGGAACAGCACATGCTAAACATTAAAGTGTATACTGCTGAAACAAGGATTATTTTCCTTTTTTTTTTTTTTTTTTGAGACAGAGTCTCACTCTGTCACCCAGGCTGGAGTGCAGTGGCGCAGTCACAACTCACCACAGCCTCGACCTCTAGGCTTAAGCAATCCTCCTGCCTCAGCTTCCCTAGTAGCTGGGACCACAGGCTCATGTCACCACACCTGGCTAATTTTTTTGTATTTTTTGTAGAGATGAGGTTTCACCATGTTGCCTAGGCTGGTCTCAAATTCCTGGGCTCAAGTGATCCACCCGCCTTGGCCTCCCAAAGTGCATGAGCCACTGTCTGGCCTATTATAAGTAGTTTTTATTAAGCACCAAAACCCGTAAAAATAATGGCTATGGTTTAATGGTTAATTCTTTTAGGTAAGGATGGTTAGTTTGTTTAGGTAAGGAAGACATGAAAAGATCATGTAATAATCGATGCTGTTCTGTGTTGTTGGTGGTGTCTTGCTAGTCTTCAGTTTTTTGTTTCAAAGAAAATTACTGACATTAACAAATACCTGATTATGTAGCTGACTAAATGGAAGAGGATCAAGCATGGCAAGTGCTGAGTGAGGATTAATCCATGTAGGCACTACTGAAATCCACTGTAAGAGATACCCAGTCTCTTACCTTCATAGATGGGCCTGTAGCAGGGTCTTGATCTTAACCCTTTTATGCCTCATGGTAGTGATTACATTAGTATAGTGTAAGTGAATCGATGAGTAAATCATTAAACAAATTGAACAAATGTATAAACGAACTTTTTTTTTTTTTTGGAAAGGGAGTCTCACTCTGTCGCCCAGGCTGGAGTGCAATGGCGCGATCTCGGCTCACTGCAACCTCCGCTTCCTGGGTTCAAGCGATTCTCCTGCCTCAGCCTTCTGGGTAGCTGGGATTACAGGTGCCTACCACCATGCCCAGCTAATTTTTGTATTTTAGTAGAGACGGGGTTTCATTATGTAGGTCAAGCTGGTCTCGAACTCGTGACCTCAAATGATCTGCCCACCTAGGCCTCCCAAAGTGCTGGGATTACAGGTGAGCTTATTAAACAAGTGTGTAAATGAATAAAAAAAGAAAGCCAAGCATGAACCAATGGATTATTATTATGTTTTTGAAGCATTGAAGTCAATAAAATACACACAAGCCCAGGGCTGGATGGTTGCTCTTACTTCTAAGGGAAAGATTTTTACATAAAGAAGAAAATGGAAGAGGACCAGTGTTGAGAATGTGTCAGGTGATAAGAATTAATATTAATCCAGTTCTAGTCATTGAGTTCATTGAATAACAATGAGAATGAAGATCTAGTTGATTATCTCTGTGGGTGATGGGCAGATTGACAGATGTTAGTTTTATTCAGAGTTTTTGAACAGTTTTCTTTGGATTCTCAGCTATGGATTGTAAGGGAATGAATGAATAAGTTTATGTCACAATAAGTTAAAAGAGGACAGATGACAGACCAGTGATGGTCATAAATTTTGAAGCAAGTATTAGGATAATACATTTCTATACTGCTGATGTCCATGTAAAGGATATAATGTCTGGACTCCTAAATGCTTAATGTTCACAGATGTGTTCTTGTTATAGTCAGTTTTGGATGCTGGTAGATTTATCCTTCTTAATTTTCTTTCAAAAGATAGATATGAGATTAAATTAACCTATTACAAATTAAATAGTAAATAAGCAAATAGATGAATACATAAAGAGGGACAAGAAGGATTTGTCAATTAAATAAAATTTTATTTTATTTTAAGAATAAAATAAAACTTAAAAAAAGAATGAGCATTGGTGAAAATGTACCCTGAAACAAAATTTAAGATCAATATAATTCTGAACAAGTGGGTTCCACTACAAAACAGATGGAAGAAAATAACTTCATTCAGTTTACAATTGTTTAATATGTCATTTTTTCACCACTCTTAATTTACACATTCTGCCATTGATAAAGATTTAGGTTTCTAAGCTATTGACAGAGAAAACACAAGTAAGGAAAAAAATGTTGTCAGGGAAGTAAAACAAGTGGTTCCTTTATGTTCTTTGTTAAATGTTTAAAATTTGAAAAAGTTGAGGAAAGGCTAGAGAAAGAGGGCCCTGCCTGGACCACATTGAGTGTGGGACTGTATAAGGATTTTGGTTGGTCCATATGTGTAACAGTGAGATCCACTGTTGAAGGAGATTTGGTGGATTAGCTCTTGGAGAAATTAGCCTACATCTATCAGTTATAATATTCATATATCTTATTCTTGCTTTGTTGTGATTCATGAATATTGATAAAGCAATTTTTGTCAATTAATGAATTAAATCAATAAACAACTGTATAAATAAATAAAAATGTCTCAAAACTAAACCAATGGTAAGTACCCTGAGGTGCTTGAATCAAGGATTTTGATTAAACTATATGACTCTAGGTCCATTATAAAAACAAACCTAATTTACTGCCTCAGTGGGACATGAGCTTGTAGCTGCAGTGAGGAATATAGGCATCTCGTGCTTGGGATTTTGCACATCTGATATGAATCCTATTATTAGTAGTAAATCAGTGCATGAGTAAATAAAGACACATACCAATGAATTCAGCCAAAGAGGGCTGGATATGCACCAATTATGAGAGTATTATTCTAAGTAAATGAAGGAAGGGATTATTTATTTGCTTATTTATTTTTTATTGACAGAATGCTTTTTTATTATCTATAGCATCAAGAACAATACTTCCTTCATAGCAATGACAAAATAAAACTATAATAATAAAATAATAAAAAATAATAAAAATGTTAGCAGTATAGCTAACAATTGTTTACTATATATTAATCACTGAGCAATTTTTTAAAAATTTTCTATTTTTATTTCAATAGTTTTGGGGGAACAGGTGGTTTTTGTTTACATGGGTAAGTTCTTTAGTGGTGATTTCGGAGATGTTGGCGCACCTGTCACCTGAGCAGTGTACAGTGTACCCAATGTGTAGTCTTTTATTCTTCATCCCCTACCAGCCTTCGCCCTGAGTCCCCAAAGTTTATTATGTCATTATTATGCCTTTACATCCTCACAGCTTAGCTCCCACTTATAAGTAAGAACATACAATGTTTGGTTTTATTCCTAAGTTAATTCACTGAGAATAATGGTCTTCAACTCCATCCAGGTTGCTGCGAATGCCATTATTTTGTTCCTTTTTACGGCTGAGTAGTATTCCACAGTTTGTGTGTGTGTGTGTGTGTGTGTATATATATATATATATCACATTTTCCTTATCCACTTGCAGATTGTTGGGCATGTAGGCTGATTTCATATTTTTAAAATTGTGAATTGTGTTGCTATAAACATGTGTGTGCAAATGTCTTTTTCATGTAATGACTTCTTTTCCTCTGGGTGAATACCCAGTAGTGGGATTGGTGGGTTAAATGGTAGTTCTACTTTTAATTCTTTAAGGAATCGCCATACTTTTTTCCATACTGCTTGTACTAGTTTGCATTCCCACCAGCAGTGTAAAAGTGTTCCCTTTTCACCACATCCATGCAAACATTGATTAACTTTTGATAGTTTAATTATGGCCATTCTTGCAAGACTAAGGTGGCATCCCACTGTGGTTTTAATTTGCATTTCCCCGGTAATTAGTGATGTTGAACATTTTTCATATGTTTTTTGGGCATTTGTTTATCTTCTTTTGGGAATTATCTATTCATGTCCTTTGCCCACTTTTTGATAGATTTTTTTTTTGTGTGTTTTGTTTTTTTGCTGATTTGTTTGGGTTCCTTGTAGATTCTGAATATTAGTCCTTTGTCAGATCATAGTTTGCAAATATTTTCTCCCACTCTGAGAGGTGTCTGTTTACTCTGCTGATTATTTCTTTTGCTGTGCAGAAGCTTTTTAGTTTCATTAGGTCCCATCTATTTATTTTTGTTTTTGTTGCACTTGTTTTTGCATTCTTGATCATAAACTCTTTGCCTAGGCCAATAACTAGAAGAGTTTTTCTGATGTTATATTGCAGAGTTTTTATGGTTTCAGGTCTTAGATTTTAAGTCTTTGATCCATTTTGAGTTGGCTTTTGTTTAAGGTGTGAGAGATGATGATCCAGTTTTATTCTTCTACACGTGGCTTGCCAATTATCCCAGCAGCATTTGTTGAATAGGGTGTCCTTTTCCCACTTTATGTTTTTGTTTGCTTTGTTGAAGATCAGTTGGCTGTAACTGTTTGGTTTTATTTCTGGGTTCTTTCTCCTTTTCCATTGGTCTATGTGCCTATTTTTATACAAGTATCATGCTGTTTTGGTGACTATAGCTTTGTAGTATAGTTTGAAGTTGGGCAATGTAATGCCTCCAGATTTGGTCTTTATGCTTAGTATTGCTTTGGCTATGTGGGCTCTTTTTCAGTTCCATATGAATTTTAGGATTATTTTTCTAGTTCTGCGAAGAATGATGATGGTATTTGGATGGTAATTGCATTGAATCTGTAGATTTCTTTTGGCAGTATGGCCATTTTCACAATATTGATTCTATCCATGCATGAACGTGGGATGTGTTTTCATTTGTTTGTGTCATCTATGATTTCTTTCAGCAGTGTTTTGTAGTTTTTCTAGTAGAGATCTTTCACCTCTTTGGTTAGGTATATTCCCAAGCACTTTTTTGTTCTTGTTCCAGTTGCTGTAAAAGGGATTGAGTTTTTGATTTGATTCTTAGCTTGGTTATTGTTGGAGTATAGCAGTCCTACTGATTGCATGAAAGGGATTATTTAAAAGAGGACAAACATAGATGAATAAAGTTAATGTATCATTAAAAATGTTCATATAAATAAAAGGGGACTAGGGTTCTGCACACTGTGGATAAAGAACATAGAGTCAGTTATTTGTAATAATATTGTAGGCCATTTTGCATTTTCCTTGAAGAAAATAAAAATACTAACAAATTATTCCATGAGTGAATAAAAAATAAACAAATAAATGGATTCATAAATTAGGATCAAACATGGACCATTGGTGAAAATGTGTTAAGAAATGGGGACATAAATTTATCCAATTCTAATCAAGGAAGACCTATAAAAAAGATCACCTTGGTTCTTACCTATGTGGGTGGGGCTTAAGTGATAGAATTTGGAACATGCCTAGTTTTTTATTATTTTTTTTAGGGCACAGGTTTGGGAGTTTTCACTATATTGCCTAAATTAGTAATTTAAAAAGTCAATAAATAAAATCAGGGCCATTCTTGGGCTAATGATGGGAATTTGACAAAAACTGGAGTTTTTTTTTTCCATAAATTTGGTACAACAGGACTTAGGTCCCTTAAAAAAAATCTAAATCTGTGCTGCTTCTTGAATTTTCTAAAATCTAGTTTTTACTCCACATTCTGTATGCCAGATCTGACTTATTTGTTATCCAATGATGGAGATCATGGCTGTCACTTATGTGGATAAGAAGCAGAGAGGCACGTTAAGTAACAGAGTTCTTGTTCTTGCTTTGAAGGGGGCTATTCATGTTGTCCATGGAATTAATTCAAGGGAATGAATGGCTACCACAAACATAAATAGAATTAAAAAATGCTGAGAGAGTGGATGTGAAGTGTTCTCACCACAAAAATGGCAACTACGAGAAGTAATGGTTATATCAATTAGCTAGAGTTAGTCATCCGACAATGTATATATAATTCAAAACATCATGTCGTATGCGATAAATACACATAATTTTATCTGTCAATTAAAAATAAAATAATAAAATCAAAACCAATTAAACAATGCCATGCATGGGCAAATATTGGGAATATGTAATGAACCATAGGTTAAGATGAATTCATTTTAGTACAGCTGAAGTCCCTTACAAAGATGAATTTATTTTGGTACAACTGAAATCCCTTACAAACATAATTGGAGGGGGTTGTATTCATTTTCACAGTTGCTTAATATTCTACTCTATTGTGCACCGTATTTTAAGAAGATTTCTCTATTGATAAAGATCTAGGCTTTTTCATTGGTGGGGAGGGAGCACCTACAAATACTGAACAAATTGCCAGTGTTCCAGTTGTGGAATGAGGTGATAGGGTGTTCATTGTACTGCTATTAAGTTATGAGTAAATTAAGCGAAAGACGATTGAGCAAAGAGCAGTAGCACACGGGATGGTTAGGAAGCAAGGTTATCGATTAATTATAGGCACAGTCTGAGGCCCAATTAAAAAGAGATCTCGTCTACCAGCTCTGTGGGAAACAAGCCTGGAAATAGCATTCTGCAGCAGTCAGAGGTCTTGTTCTTGGGTTTTTGTGATTCATGGATATTAAATTATTTTGTGGGTGAAACCATGAATGAAATAATATGCATAATCAATAAACAGTGCATAAGTAAATACATGAGGAAAAAGTGAGTGATGAATAGTTCTGTGGCATATGAATCATTAATTTTGATTAAACCCTAAACTCTGAAGTCCATTAGAAAGAGACCTTGCTCTTCTCTGTAAGAGAGTGGAATTCAGAGTAAAAGTTCAGTTTCTTGGGCTTTAGTGCTTCCTAGGTAGGGATCATAAATGAATCGATGAATGCATTAACAAAGAAATGTGTAAGTGAAGATAAAGACTGTCATATGTGGACCATTTATGAGAGCATGTCATGAAACAAGTATTTCTAGGAATATATTTGTAGAATACTGAATTTCAATATAACATATAGGCAAAAGCTGTCATTTGGAGTACATAGGAGCTGCAGACACGCAGAAGCACATGGACAGATGCATCTAAGTGTCCATGTTGGCATTCTGGATTGGTAAGAGGTTGCTAGCTGTCAGCTTATTGAGAAGGAAAAATATTTACACAAACAAAAGATTACATGACTGTAATAGAAAAGGAGCAAATATGTGCCAATTTGAGGATGTGTTACATGACACCAGTTATGATGGATCTAATTGTATCCACTGAATTTTATAAAAAGCGACAAAAAATGGCAAGGGATAGAGTCGGTTATTTCTATGGGTTGTTTTGTTTTGTGTTCAAGTTCAAGTGTAGAGTCTGGGATCTCTGGTAATTATATATTGTTTTTTAAGTTGAATGAATATAATTATATCTCAAGGGCCAACTCTGGACAGTGTGGAGCATGTGATGTGGAATAAAGCTTATGACTAATCCCGTTCTACCCTACTGGTGTCCTTATAGAGAAAGTAGGATCTAGGCGCTTCTAACTTGGGTTAACTTGGGTTAAGTTCATAGAGAGGGATCATAGAATATTTCAGTTCTGGGCTGCTGGTGGGTTTACCATATTTTATTGAGAGAGGGCCAAACACGAACCAATATTCAGAATGTGTCGTATGACCAGGGTTATAATTAATCCAACATTATTTAGTGAGTTTTATTTTTAAGAAAATTAAAAGAGGATTTTTTGGGCTGTAGCTATGGGCTATGAATATGTAGACAGATATTGACAGTTCTTATCCTTTGTCTTGGAGTCCATTGTTATTGATATGTTGTTCTAAGGGAATAAAGGAGGTTATTCATATCAAGATCAATTATTTAAGAGAAGGCCAAGCATGGGCCAGTGAGGAACAGGTGTTATGAACCAAAGATAATGATTACTCCAGTTATACTCTAATGTTGTCCAGATAAATAGAGCTCCAGGTTGCCCCTGCTTTGGATAAAGCACACATTGAAATTTCCATGGAGTAATTCTTTAGAAAAACAGATATGTAATTTATTCCATGCATAATTGTATATATGAGTAAATAAGTGAATCACTAGACATGTAAATCAGAAAGATTTTGCATCATTAATGAGAATATGCCATAAAACAAAGGTTTACATTTATCTAATTTTGCACAAGTGAGATCCACTAAAAGTGATCACCTATCTGGTAAATTTATGGATCTGGAGTATGTAGACAGATATTTATGATAGATATGGCTCTTATTCTCATGTTGATATTCATTGTATTATTTAAAAGCCCAAACTACACAAGTCAATAAATAAGGAGTGCCATTTTTGGGCAATGATGAGATGACCGAAGTTTATGATTAATCTAATACTGCCAAACAAATTTCCATTAAAAAGTCTAACTGTAGGGTCTTTCTTTCTCTTGAAAGTATGTATTTTACTTCACCAAATGAGCACATTATGGTGAAGAACTGATTTAGTCATTCTCTAATGCTAAAGATCTTGCCTTTTACTTCTGTGGGTAAGGAGAGAAGAGATTTATGTAAGTAACAATTAGTGTTTACTGTTCTTGGATTGGGAGGTTGGTTCATGGGTGTTGCCTGAATTTATTAAAATAATAACTGGATATATTAATAAATAAAACTAGGTAACACCAATATGTACCAGTGATGAGAATATGTTCAGAATTGGGATTTATGATTAATCTGATTTGGTACTAGTAAAATTCAATAAAAAAGATACAGGGTATTTCATTCATTTTCAGAGATGATTCAGATTGTTTTATTATTGCGTTGTGATTCAGTTAAGTACCTCTCCATTGATAAAGATTTAGGCTATTAATTCCTTGAGGGAGGAGCACATAGGAAGATGGACAGTGTTGTCAGTGTTCTAGTTGTGCAGTAAGATTATGATTCCTTGGTGATTCATTATACCATATTTGGCACTTGAAAAAGGACCAACCGTGGACCAGTGAGTAGCATGGAGCTGACATGAAAGAAGGAAGTTGATTAATTTATAAGTGCCAAAAGTGCATATATGTATATATATGTATACAAACTCACACACACATATGTTGCAGAAAGTGACTTCCATCTATTAGCTCTTTGGTCAATGGACATATATACAATCATTAGTATTCACAGATGTTGTTCTTGAGCTTTTTGATTCATGAGAATTGATTATACTATTATTATTAATGAATCAATGAATAAAGAAATAAACAATGCATAAAGTATGTCAAGTATAGCCAATCATTAGTATTCTGAGCTGTAGGAATCAAAGATTTTGATTAGATTCTGTAACTCAGAGGTTTATTAGAAAAAAGAAACTAGTTATTTCGTCTGTGGGAAAGGGGCTTACAGCAAAAGTTAGGAATAGCCAAAGATCTGATTCTCAGTTCTTCATGCCTGTGAACTGTATGAGAAGTGAACCAATGCAAGAATAAAGATGTAGAAATTAATGATGGCTAATTATGCAAGTCTTTAATGAAACAAGGGTTATTACTAATTATTGTTATTTTCTGAAGCACTGAGTTTCATAACATAAATAGATTAAGTGTCCCTTACTATTTTCCACAAAAGACATATCTAATTTCACGAGAGTCCCTGTTGTAATTTTGGATTGATGTTGGGTTGTCGGTTTTATTTAGAAAAGAAACAAATCATTTACATTAAAAGTAATTGTTCCAATAATTGCCTAATTGAAAGAAGGCCAGGTGTGGACTAATACTGAGAATATGACCATAGGTCTTATTAATCCAATTCTGTTCACTGAACATTATCTAAAACAACAAAAATGATCTAGCCATTTGTATTTTTGGGCAGTGAGCATACAAACAGATATTAGTCAGTGTTCTTGTCCATTGTCTTGGCTTTTATTCATTTTGATGTATTGTAAAAAGTGAATGAATAAATGAGTTTGCGTTTCAATTATTTAAAAGAGTATGGAGGATTGGCCAAAGTGTCATCAAACAAAAATAACAATTAACCCATTTTTACAGATGAAAAATAAAAGAAATCTACATGGATCCCACTTTGGACAAAGTGCGTGTCAACAGTTGCATGAAATGGTATTTCACTTCTTGATTATTGTTTGTTTTTATTCTTTTTTTAGAAAAAATGAATAAATGATCAAATTATTTTGGGGGTAATTAAATAAAAGAAAGAACACAAGTGAGTCAGTAAATGCTTAAATTAAGGTAGATCTTGGATCATTGCTTCATGGCACACTCTCAGAAATGCTCAAATATGGTGCCTTAAAAAAATTAATGAGGTTTGGGTGTTGATGTGGTTAGGGAGTATACAGATAGATAGTTGTTAGTGGTTACATTTATTACTCTTGCATTGGGTGGATTTAAGGGTTCATTATATTAAGAATTAAACAGTAAGTAAATTCATACATAAAAGGTATGGTTATTCTTGAGTCAATAATGAGAATGTGTTAGGAACCAAGGTTTATGATTAATCTAAAATAATTTCTAAAAGAAGTTAAGTCTTTGCTGTTTCGTTCTTTCTAAAATGTGTATTTTCCTTCACACAATGAACATGCCACAGCTAATTATTCGATAACAATAAAGACATTGGTGTTTTGCCTCTGTGGTTAAGGAGCTCAGAGTCTGTTGTAGATAATAGTTAAAGTTCATGTCCTGGGTTTAGGTGGCTTGTTCATCACTAAATTATGTTAGAAGAATAAACCGCTAAATATATACATATATAAAAAGCATACCATACAAGAACCAATAATGGAAGTGAACCAAGGTTTATGATTAGTTTAATTCAGCCCAACTTAGGTCCATTACAAATGATGGAGGGCTTTTATTAATTTCAGAGGTTTTTAATATTGTATTTTATTTTGTGCCGTGGTTGATTTACACACATTTCTTTAAAGTTAAAGATCAAGGCTATTCACTCCTCTAGGGAGAAGCAGATAGGAAAAGGAAGATAGTGTCAGTGTCCTCATTGTGAGTTAAGATGGTGGTTCACAGTTGTTCATTCTATTGTATTATTATCTTTTGCTGTGTAATGAATTACTGAACAATTTAATGGATTAAAACAACAATAAACATTTGTCATTTCTCACGGTTTCTATGTGGCAGGAATCCAGGAGAGGCTTACTGGGGGCAGTTTTAGCTTAGGGTTTCTTGTGAAGTTGCAGGCAAGATGTCAGGTTGAGTTGCAGTCATCTGAAAGCTTGACTGTGCTAGAGTGTCTGCTTCACTTACATGGCTGGAAAGTTGGTGCTGATTGCGGGAAGCCACAGTTTCTTCACAAATAGACTCTTCCTCAGGACTGCTTGAGTATCCTTACAACATGGCAGTTGATGTCCCCTAGAGCAGTCAATCTAAGACAGAGAAAGGTGGAACCCTCAATGTATTTTATAATCTAGCTCCAGAAGTCATACACCATCATTTCCACAGTATTCTGTTGGTAATACAGGCGGTCATGATTTAATATGTAAAGAAGCTACACAAGGCTATGCATAACAGGAGCATGGGCCTTGGGAGCCATTTGGAGGCTGGCTACCTCATGTACTATCTTTAAAATATGGACAAATTAAATAAAAGAAAGTCTGGATGAAATATTAATGTGAGATTGGTATGAAGCAAGGAAGTGTAGTTAATTATTTGTATAATGCTTGGATCCATTCTGAAAAAATGCAGTATCACTTCTATGGAAAATAAGCTTATAGATCTCAGTAATATTCAAGGATCTTGTTCTTAGTTTTTTTTGATTTGTGTCTATTGGCTTTGTTGTTAGTGATTCAATGAGTGAAACAATAAACAAAGGTATGAATGAATGAATAAAAAAGAAATGCTAGGCCTAGACCAATGATGAGTATTCTGGGGTGTCTGAATCAATGATTTTGATTAAACCCTGTAACTCTGAGGTCCATTATAAGAGGAGACCTAGTTAATACCTATATGGTAAATGATATTATAGTGGAAGTTAGAATTATTTGGGATTTTGTTCTTAGGTGGTTGAAGTTCATAGGTGTGGATTGTATTACTAGAAAAGATTTAGTAAATGAAAAATGAAACAAATATGTAAATAAAGGAAGACAAGTAGAGCCATATGTTGCCTAATTATGAGAATGTATAATGTATTTATTATTATTAACACACTTCTGAAGCACTCAGTTTCAACATAAATTGATTAAATCTGATACCTATTTGGGTAAGGAATATACATACAGAGACAAGTACCTAGAAATCAGTATTGTTTGTCCTGCATTATTTAGATGTTGCTGTTTCTTAATGAACACAAGAAAATATGATCTAGTCTGGGAATCATGAGCAAATGACAGGTGTTAACGCCATTCATATTTCTGATGCAATCTGTATGTTCACAGATATTGATGATGTCATGAGTGAATGTATACACAGGAGTGAATGTATTCAGTTATTTGAGGAAGGTAAAGCAGTGTTTCTTGACTTTGGCTCTATTGACATTTTGGGTAATTCTCTATGGTGCAAGATTGTCTTGTATATTGTAGGGTGTGTAGTAACTTCATTGGCTTCTACTCAGTAGATGCCAATGTTGACCCTCCTCCCAGTGTGACGATCAAACATTTCTTCAGACTTTGGCAAATTTCATCTGTGGGGGGCAACATTGTCCCCAGTTGAGAACCACTGAGGTACAACATGGACTGAAGAGGAGCATGTGTTAAAAACGTGTGAATTATTTATCCTGTAGTATCTTACTGATGTTCAGATAAAGAAAAAGCAAAACAAAAGACCTAAAACTAGGCTCTTCCCCCACGGGGTCAGGTTCATGTGTATAGTTGCATTTAATTGTATTACGATTCTGGGTTGTTGATGGGCTGATCATACTGTGTTTTCTCCGAAAAAACAAAGAATTGTTCATGAGTACTTACTAAATGAATAAGTGAAATGACAAATGAATAAAGAAACACATAAAGGAGAGTCTAGCATGGACTATTTTGGTGAAAATTTACCATAAAAAAAGTGGTTAAATTTACCTAATTCTGTACTGTATAAATGAGATCCATTATTGGGAATAAAGTTCAGATTTTTACCATCTGGGTAGAAAACACATAGATGGATACTTGTAGTAGCTTTTATTCTTGTGTTGGGTGCCAGATAAATCAGTAAATAATATTCCAGGCCATTCTTGGGCCACTGATTAAAATGTGGTGTGAATAAGAGTTTATAATTAATCTAGTACTGTCCTACAAATGTCCCTTGAAAGATTTAAATGCATGTAGGCTGTTCTTTCTTAAATCTACTCTTACTTTACACAATAGATGCACCATACCTGATTTAATTATTTTTCAGTGGTGAAAATTATGGCTTTTACTTCTGTGGGTAAAAAGTGTAGGAATGGATTTAAGTTAATTTTTATATTCTTGATTCGTGTGGGCTTGTTCATGCTTTTTATTATTTTAGAGAAATAAATGGGCACATATTTAAATAAAGTAAAAAAGCTCTGTGCTGTGATCGCGCCACTGTACTCCAGCCTTGGCAACACAGTGAGACTCTGTCTCAAAAAAAAAAAAAAAAAAAAAAAAAGCTCTGTGCATTGCCCAGTGATAGAAATGATTGTAAACAATAACAAAATTCTATTTCCATTCGACACAACTGAGAACATTAAAGAAAATAAGTTAGAGGGTTTTTAAATGACTTTTAGAGTTGAGGATTATTCCATTTTATTTTTGCACCATAGCTAACTTATATTTCCTCAAGTGACCTAATCTGTTGAACATATATATATATATATATATATATATATATATTTTTTTTTTTTTTTTTTTTTTTTTTTTTTTTGAGACGGAGCCTCTGTCTGTCACCAGGCAGGAGTGCAGTGGTGAGATCTCGGCTCACTGCAATCTCCGCCTCTTGGGTTCAAGCGATTCTTCTGCCTCAGCCTCCCGAGTAGCTGGGACTACAGACACGTGCCACCATGCCCAGCTAATTTTTGTATTTTTAGTGGAGAGAAGGTTTCACCGTGTTGGCCAGGATGGTCTCGATCTCTTGACCTCGTGATACGTCTGCCTTGGCCTCCCAAAGTGGTGAGATTACAGGCGTGAGCCACGGTGCCCGGCCAATCTGTTGAATGTTTAAGGGCAGTACATAGACAATGGTTTATATTGTCAGTGTTCCTATTGTGGGGTAAGATGGTGTGCTCGTGGTCATTTATTGTGCCACATTTAAAATACAGACAAATTAGGCCGGGCACTGTGGCTCACACCTGTAATCTCAGCATTTTGGGAGGCTGAGGCATGCGGATCACCCGAGGTCAGGTTGCCCCGGCTGGAGTGCAGTGGTGCGATCTCGGCTCACTGCAACCTCCGCCTCCTGGGTTCAAGCGGTTCTCCTGCCTCAGCCTCCTGAGTAGCTGGGATTACAGGCACACACTGCCACGCCTGGCTAATTTTTTGTATTTTAGTAGAGACAGGGTTTCACCGTCTTGAACTCTTGAGCTCAGACAATCTGTCCGCCTGGGCCTCCCAAAGTGTTGGAATTACAGGGGTGGACCACCGCGCCTGTAATTTTGGGTTCACAGCAAAATTGAGCAGAAGGTACAGAGATTATTTCCCATATGCCCTTTGTCCTTCTGCATGTATAGCCTCCCCTGTTATCAACATCCACCCCATTAGAGTAGTGCTTTTGTTATAATCTACATTGGCATATCATAATCACCCAAAGTCCATAGTTTACAATAGGGTGCACTCTTGGTGTTGTACATTATGTGGTTTTGGACAAATTTATAATGACATATATCCACCATTATAGTATCATACAAAATACCACAATGCTCTGAACATCCTCTGGGTTCTGCCTAGTCATCCCTCCCTCCCCTACCAACCCGTGGCAACCACTGATCTTTTATTGTCTCTGTAGTTTTGCCTTTTCCAGAATGTCATACAGTTGAAATCATACAATACGTGGCCTTTTCAGATTGGCTTCTTTCACAAGTACTCTGCATTTAAGGTTCTTCCATGTTAAGCATAGCTTGATCGCTCTTTTTTTTAGTGCTGAATAATATTCCATTTTCTAGGTTTACCACAGTTGATTTATCCATTCACCTACTGAAGGATATCTTGGTTTCTTCCAAGTTTTGGCAATTATGAAAAAAGCTGGTATAAACGTGTGTGTGCAGGTTTTTGTGTGGATATAATTTTTCAACTATGGGTAAATACCAAGGTGCATGATTGCTGGATTGTATGGTAAAACTATGTTTAGTTGTAGAAGAAACTGCCAAACTGTCTTCCAATGTGATTGTGTTGATTTTGTATTCCTACCAGCAATGAATGAGAGTTCTTGTGACTCCACGTTTTTGCCATCATTTGGTGTTGTTAGTGTTCTGCATTTTGGTCATTCTAATAGGTGTGCGGTGGTATCTCGTTGTTTTAATTTGCATTTTCCCAATAATATATGATGTGGAGCACGTTTTCATGTGATTATTTGCCACCCTTATATCTTTGTTGGTGAGGTGTCTGTTAAGGTCTTTGGCCCATTTTAAAATCTGATCACTTTCTTATTGTTGAGTGTTTTTGTTTGTTTGCTTGTTTTTGAGACAGAGTCTCACTCCGTCACCAGGCTGATCTTGGCTCACTGCAACCGCCATTTCCCGGGTTCAAGCGATTCTCCTCCCTCAGCCTCCCAAGTAGCTGAAACTACAAGTGCTCGTCACCATGCCCAGCTAATTTTTGTATTTTTAGTAGAGACGGGGTTTCACCATGTTGGCCAGGATGGTCTTGATCTCTTGACCTCGTGATCTGCCCACCTTGGCCTCCCAAAGGGCTGGGAGCCACCATGCCCAGCCTATTGTTGAGTTTTAAGAGTATTTTGTGTATTTTGTATAATAGTGCTTTATCCAATATGTCTTTTGCAAATATCTTCTCCTAATTTGTTGCTTGTCTTTTCATTTTCTTGACAGTTTCTTTATGGAGCAGAAATTTTGAAAGTTCAAAGATCAGTTGATTATATTTATGTGAGTCTATTTCTGGGCTTTCTACTCTGTTCCATTGATCTATTTGTCTGTTCTTTTGCCAATACCACACTGTCTATTACTGTAGCTTTGTAGTAAGTTTTGAATATGGGTATTGCCAGTCCTCCAACTTTGTTCTTCTCTTCAATGTTGTGTTGGCAATTCTGGGTCTTTTGCCTCTCCATGTAAACTTTAGGACAGTTTTGTCAATATCCACAAAATAACTTCCTGGGGTTTTTATTGGGATTGCATTGAATCAAGCTGGGAAGAACTGACATCTTGACAATATTGGA
Source organism: Homo sapiens (assembly GCF_000001405.40). Lineage (NCBI taxonomy): Eukaryota > Metazoa > Chordata > Mammalia > Primates > Hominidae > Homo > Homo sapiens. Next base: position 100,934,342 of record NC_000014.9, read on the forward strand.
CTTTCCTATCCATAATCTCCATAACTTCTTCCACAATGGCTGTACTAAATTACATTCCTACCAACAATGTAGAAGAGTTCCCTTTTCTCTGCATCCTTGCCATCATTTGTTACCTTTCATTTTTTTGATGAAAGCCATTCTAAAAGATAAGAGATGATATCTCATTGTGATTTTAATTTGTGTTTCCCTAGTGATTAGAGTGACTGATAATTTTTTTATATATCTGTTGGCCATTAGTATGTCTTCTTTGGGAAAATATCTGTCCAAATCATGTGTCTATTTTTAAATTGGGTTTTCTTGCTATTGAATTGTTTGTGTTCCTTATATATTTTGCATATTAACCCCTATGAGATGTATGGTTTGCAGATTTGTTTTCCTGACCTGGAAGTTGTCTCTTCATTTTGTTAATTGTTCCTTTGCTGGGCATAAGGTTTTTAATTTGATGACATTCTACTTGTCTATTTTTACTTTTGTTGTCTGTGTTTTTGGGGTCTTATTAAAAAAATCATTGTCTATGCCAATGTTGTGGAGCTTTTCCTCTAGTAGTTTTATAGTTTCAGATTTTATGTTGAAGTTTTTAATCCATTTTGAGTTGATTTTTGTATATTGGGTGAGATAAAGATCTAATTTCATTCTGCATGTTGATAACCAGTTTTCCCAAAACCATTTATTGAAGATACTGTCTTTTTCCCATTGTGTTCTCTCGGCACCTTTGTCCAAAATCAATTGATTGTAAATGTGTGAGTTTATTTATGAACTTTTAATTCTGCTCCATTGGCTGATGTATCTGTTTTTATGCCAGTATTATGCTGTTTTGATTATAATCACTTTATAATATATTTTGAAGTCAGGGATGTAATGCCTCCAGCTTTGTTCTTTTTGTTTAAGATTTTTTGTATGTGGCTATTCAGTGTCTTTTGTGGTTCTATATGGATTTAAGGATTTCCCCCCCTATTTCTATGCAAAATGACATTGGAATTTTAATAGGAATTGAATTGAACCTGTAAATGGGTTTAGGTAGCATAGACACTTTAACAATTTTAGTTCTTTCAACCCATGAACACAGGGTATATTTCCATTTATTTGTGTTTTCTTCAATTTCTTTCACTAGTGTTTTATAGTTTTCAGCATACAGGTCTTTCACCATCTAGGTTAAATTTAGACAATATTTTTGGTGCTATTGTAAATGGGCTTATTTTCTTCATTTCAAGTTAATTACCTATTAGGATATAGAGTCACTACTGAATTTTTTTTGATGATTTTCTATCCAGCAATTTTACTGAAGTCATTTATCAGTTCTAACAGTTTTTTTTTTTTGTGTGAGGTAGTTTGGATTTTCTGTATATAAAATCGTGTCATCAGCAAATAGAGACAATCTCACCTCTTCTTTTTTCTATAAAGATGCCTTTTATTTCTTCTTGTTCTTCTAGGATAAGTCTACTTTTCTTCCACGTAACAACCACAGGATAGATGACATTCATTTTCTAAGAAACAAAATCTTGGCAGTTAGATCCGTGGGGTAAAGAATATAGATACTAATGTAAGTTAACACCTCAAGTTCATGTCCTTGGTTTGGATGCTTTGTTCAGGAGTGTTTAGTGGTATTTCAAAGGAATCAATATCTATAACAAATTAAAATAACCAGGAATGGACCAGTGATGGAAATGTGTTCCGAAAATATGTTTAATATAATTTGGCACAACTGAAGTGATAAAAATATAGTAGTTAGACCATTTATATTCACAATTATTTAACATTGTATCTTATTTTCTACCTCAAATGATTTAATCTTTTCCATATTGGTATGGTCCTGGCCGATAACTCTTTGTGTGGCAGCCTGAGAGAATATGGAAGACACTGTCAGTGTTGGAAGATGGTGGTTTTATCACTTTTCATTGCACTGTCTTTAAAACATGGGCAAATTGACTAAAAGAAGACTACAGAAGAAATAATGGTGATTGTGAATTTGGTATGAAGCATGGATGTTAATTAATCACACATGTTCTCTGAGGTCCATTGTAAAAGGAGACCTAGTCTTCAGGGAGAGAGCCACTAATGGGGAGATCTTATTCCTAGAATTTTGTGGTTATATTATTATTCATGAACCAATGAATAATAAATGAATGATATAAAGGAAGAAAAACGTGCTTGGACCAATGATGAGTACCATGGGGTATCTGAAACAGGATTTTTGATTAAACCCATATGCAATTCTGAGGTCCATTACAAAGAGACACGTATTATTCCTTTTTTGGGAAGTGAGCCTATGGTACCTTTTCCTTGGACTTTGTGGTTCTTGGGGATGGATTGCATTTTTGTTATAAAATCAGCCCATGAATTAAAAATTTATCAATGAGTAAAACATAAAGCATAAGTCATGTACTTATTATCAGTGACTGTAATGAAACATGGATTATTATTAAAACTTATCTGAGACTCCCAATAAATTAATACCCAAGGCTTCTACCATTCTGGTAAGGAGCATATGGTCATTTGTATGCAAGAGTCAGTTTTTGTTCTGTGTTGGTGGTGGGTTGCTGACTATTTTATGAAGAAAATGAAGCATCTTTAATCATATAAATAGTTGGTTAAATAACCACTTAATTGAGACCAAGCAGAGACCAATGATGAGTGTATTAATCTATTTTTTAATGGATTTTTATTAAACAAATAATAAAAGAAACACAGTCTATTCTTCCTGAGGGCAATAACTCTAGACAGATGTAAATATTCTTCAGTGTTCTTGTCCAGTGCTGTGAGATCACAGATACTGATGTCTTTTGTATATGAGAAGGAACTTGCATTTTTATGTCTCAGTTTATATTTTAGAGTCAGCAAACCATGGACCAATTAGGAACAAATGTTATGATATGAGAATGCTGATTCTTGTTTTTTTTTTTCATGATAGACATTCTAAGAAAAACTCTAGGCTCTCTCATTGTTTTTGGAATACATACATGGTTCTTTCCAAGTAGTTTCTTAGAAAAATGTTTTTAAAAAGAGGCTTTTAAAAAGAGCCTTTTAAAATGTTTTTAAAAGAAGGCTTTATTTTTCTCTATAGAATGAAAACCATGTAGCTGGTCTTATTATTCTCTAATCATGAAGACCATTATTGTTATTTGTGGACTAAGGAGCAGAAAGACTGATGTAAGTAAACATCAAATTGATGTTTTGGGCTTGGACTGTATTCATTCATGGGAACCCACTACATTATTTTGATAAAATAAATGGTTAAATAACACATGAAATTAAGGAATGCCAGTCATGGACCTATGATTGTAATGTGTCATCAACAAAATTTTATGATTAATTCAACCCAACCCAACTGAAGACCATTGTTAAATAAAGGAAGAGCATTTCATATATTGTCATAGTAATTTAAATTCCCATTTAATGTTTTTGCTATAGTTGCTTAACATATTCCTTCACGGACAGACATTGAAGTTGTTGAGTTTTTGAGGTAGAGGTACCTTGGGAGATATTATATATTAATTTGCTTAATTGTGGGCTCACATGGTAGATCCATGGTTTGCAATCACATTAATGAGTAGACAAATCAAGTGGAAGGGAAGCTGGTAGACACCAATCATAAGTATGAGATTTAAATGCAGCAGAGTCGCTGATGAATCTCTATGTGTAAACTTGAGGTTGATCACAAAATATGATCTAGTCTATTTGTTCTGCATGAAAGAGAGTAATGAACAGATCTTGGTTCTATTAAAGACTTCTGTTCTCAGTTTTGTGTCATTAAGGGATATTGATCATATAATTATTATTCCTGAAACCATGAATGACTGAGTCAGTTCAACAAGGTATAAATGAATGAAGAAATAGAATGCCTAGCCTGGATCAATGATGAGTATTGGTGGAGGTGTCTGAATCAACACTTTTGATTAAGCCCTCTGTGTAACTCTGAGATCTGTTATTGAATGAGAACCAGCCTATATTCTCTGTAGAAATTACCTAATAGAAGTTAGGAAAATTCAATAAAACTTGTTCCTGAACTTTTGTAGTTCAAAGATATGGAATGTATTATTTTAAGTGAATTCAATGCGTAAATAGAGAAATGTGTATACATGAGAGAAGATTAACAGTCCTACTTATGGAACTATTCTTTGAGTACAATGAAAAAGTATTATAAATATTAACACTGGCAATAAAACAAGTATAATTATTAATCTGAGGTAAAATCCTATTATACAGAACATATTGTATCTGCAGTTGAGACAATTTTTTTGGTTTTATAGTTTGCTTTTTTTTTAATTAAGAAAAGGGAAAGTGTTTGCATCAGCCAGAAATCCATTAAGTAATATCTACTTAACAGATTTTTATATAGACAAATATTCATAATCATTACAGATCTTATTCTTGGGCTAGGTGACGCATTAGTGTCTATTATACTATTTAAAACTAAAAGTTCAATACTGGCCTGAAAAAATTGCATTTTTGAGCCAAGGTTTATTGTTATCTAGTTCTGCTTGACTAACATCCATTGAGAAAACCGTATATCTATTCTAAATCTGCCTTTTTCCCTCCAGAGTGGACATAGGCCAGCTGATTTAATAATTTAAGAAAGAACTGTTATCCTGAGTAAGGAGCATAGAGACAAATATAAGTAAGTTCCTTATTTCAAGTTCTTTCTTTGAATGGTTTGTTTTTGGGTGTTAGCTAAAGGATTTCAAAGGAATCAATGTCTACATACGTGAAATAAATAACACACCCCAAATGCACCAATGATGGGAATGTGTAATGAACCATGAATTATGTTTAATCTAAATCGTCACAACTGAGTTGATTATAAAAGAAGACAAAAGTTAACTTATTCTCAGAGCAGCTCAACATTATTCTTTATTTCATGCCATGGTTATTTTACACGTTCCCTTATGGGTAGAGATCCTGGCTGACATCCGTTTTGGGGCAGCGCATGAGAATATGGAAATAGGTGATTTCGTTGTTTTTTATCAGGCCATCGTTGACATATGTATGAATTAAATAGAAGTGGGCTATATCAGAACGAATGCTGAATGTGAACTGAGAGCATGCAGGGGCATTGACCAATTCACATGTGCACCTTTACGTGTCATGGCCTAAGAAATGTAGTCTAGCTCTATGGGCCAAGAGCCTAAAATTTAATGATCTTGTTTTGGGGATTTTTGATTGTATCGTTATTTGTGAGTCAATAGGTCAATCAATAGATGAAAAAAATGCACATCATGGACCAGTGATGAATATCATGGGGTTTCTGAAACAACATTTTTGATTAAACCCATCTGCAACTCTGAGGTCCATTACAAAGAGACACCTCTTTATTCTTCATGGAAAATGAGTCTAGGACCTTGTTCATGGGCCTTTTGTGGTTTGAGGGTATGAATTAATTATTATAATAAACTTAGTCCATGAATATAGAATTTTATCAATGAATGAAGAATAAGAAAGGTATGCATGCACTTACCTACTAAGGCATGTAATGCAACATGGATTATTATTGAAACAATTTTGAGGTTCTTAGTCCCAATAAATTAGTGGCTAAGGCTCTATTCATTTTGGTAAGGAGCATATGGTCATCTGTGCACAAGACTGAATGTTTTTGTTCTGTGTTGAGGCAGGTTACTGGTTGATCATTTTATTAAGGAAAAAGAAATACATTTACATAAATAAATAGTTGACTGAGTAACTGTAATTGAGAGAGGGAGAGCATGGAATGATGATGAGATCTATATACAACGACACTCATGATTAATTCAGTCTTTTATGGAATTTTACTTAAGCAAACAGACAAGTTTGGTACTAGATTCACAGCGTTTATTATATTATCTAAAACAAAAAATTTCATGGTGAGAGATATTTCATCTTGACAAAAACAATTTATGTAAGTTAATAAATAGAAGTGTTCTCTCTTCTCAAGTGTTCAGAATAGGGTACAAAACAAGGTTTATGATTGTTTACTACAGAGCTATGATTCATTTTAAAGAGCTAAACATATAGTATTTGATTCTTTTTAAAATTTGCGTTTTATGCTGCAGAATGAACGCACTCTACCTGATTTAATTATAGTCTTCTGGTGAAGATCTTGCTGTTATCTCTGTGAATCAGGAGAGAAGAGATTGATGTAAGTAAAAATCAAACTTTGTGTTCTCGCTTGGGAAACTTGATCAAGTTTATTCATTGAATTATTTCAAAGGAATAAAAGGCTACATACATAAATGAGTCAAAGGTGGTTATGCATGGAACAATGGTAGAAATGTGTTATGAATTAAGAATTATGATTAATCCATTTCAGCACAACGAAATTCATTAGGACAAAAAGTTGAAAGGTATTTCTGTCATTTTCAGAATGCCTTAATATGCTGTTTTTGTACCATAGTGGATTTAAATACTTCCCCATTGTGATTGTTATTGACAGTTAACTAATTGAGGGAAGAACATAAGAAAATGGAAAACCTTGCCTATAGCTGTGGTATAACTTGGTGGTTATACCATGATATAACCATAGTAACGTCTTAAAAATACGGATGTTAAATGAAAAAAGCCCAACCATGGACTAATGGAATATATGGAATTGACGTGGTGCAATTTGTGGAATGAATTAATTCACCTTTGCAATACTGAGGCTCATTACAGAGAGAGCCAGTCCTCTAGTTCTGTGGAATATGAATCTTACAGACATAGTTACTTCTTCAAGGATCTTTTTGCCCTCTAATTCATGGATAGTGATTTTACTATTAGTGAATCAATGCCTAAATCAAGAACAGTATAATTGAATTAAAGCACAGAATACCAAGTCTGGATCAATGATGAGTATGCGTGGGGCATCTGAATCAAATATTCTGATTATACCCTGTCTGTATCTCTGAGGTCCATTGCATCTATGGGAAATGTGCTTGGAGAGAAAGTTAGACATATTCAAGGAATATGTTTTTGGTCCTTTTTGGTTAATGGGTATAGATTGTATTATAAGTAAATCAATGAATGAATAAAGAAAAATACAAATAAAGACAAGGAAGGCTTCATTTCATTCAATTATGAAAGGAGCTAATGATGTTTTGAGTTTATATAAGTCTGCTCCTCCTTCGAGAGCATATAGATAGATATGCACTCAGTGTTCCGAGTTAGTGGCAAGTTTCTGGTTGCGTGTCTTGTTTGATTTAGAAAGGGATAAAACATATACTTAAATGATGTATTTAGTTTAATAATACTTAATATAATAAATATTAGCCAATAAAATTAACATTCATATTCAATAATAACAATATTGCAAATCATGCTAAACACATTAACATAATTTTTATAATAAACAACAATTTAATACAATTAATAATAAACACTAAAATACTAATGATTAGGTTGTGAAATGTGGAGAAAGTCTAAGGATGAACGTTGAAAATTTGAATATAATAACCAAAAATCCTCTTATGTTTGCTCATTTTTATTTAAAAAGAAAAATGCAAATGCATTTTTATGACTTTCATGAGTAATAAGTGAATAAATAGATGCTAGTGTCATGAAGGGTTTTTGTCCAGTGTCTTCTGAATTCATGAATAGTGGCACTATTATTATGAGTAAAAGAATCATTTTATATCTCCATCCCTTATTTAAAAGAGGGCAAATCATGGACTAGTGAGAAGCATATGTAATGTATGAAAGGGTGTGATTAATCTTGTCTATCCTCTTGAGGTTTACTTAAACAAAAAGGTCCAGGACCCTCCTTCCTTTGGAAGGGTTGTGAAGACCCACTCTCTAGACATATTTTGATATTAACATTTAAATGGAAATTAATTAAAAATAAAAATTCAGTTCCTCAGTCGCACTAGCCACACCCCAAGCCACATGTCGCAAGTGACCACCATTTCAGAATTGCCAATAGAGAACACTCGTATCACCGAAGAACGTTCCCACAGTGCATACAGGGCTAATATGAACAGTTGCAGGTAATAGTATTTAATTTTAGGTAGCAGGTGTCTTCACCATTTTGAGTTTTCTTTAGAAAGGAGAGTAGATAATTAAATTATTTTTTGAGTTATTAAATAGATGAGTAAATAAACAAATCAGTAAATAGTTTGAATTAAAATAACTGTGGCCCACTGGTCAGATTGTGTTATAAAACAACAATTTAAATTCGTCTTATAGTGCAAAAGTTTTCCTCATTAAAAATGTGTCTTCCCTTTATGCTAGGAATACCTAGGCAGATATTGAAAACTGCTCTTCTAGTGTTTGGTGGTAGATTCAAAAATGTTCATGATATTATTTCATGCTAAGAATTATGTCAATACATGAAAAAGAACTACTGTTGGGTTGATGATTAAAATTTGACACAAACCAATGTTTATGATCCATCCAGTAATGGAGAACTAACTTCTACTTAAAAATGGATTTTAAAATGTACACTTTTTATTCTTATAAAAATCTGCCTTTTCCTCCAGAAGGAATAGACGAGATTGGATTTGGTCATTTCCCCAAGGTGAAGAGCATGGCGATTTCTTCTGTGGTAAGGAGCAATGTGAGTAATGGAGTTTCTGTTGGTGGGTTATGTGGTTGGTTCATGTGTGATTATTGAAGAAAGGAACAAAAGGCCATATACACAAAAATGAAAACATCAAGTAACAACCAATAATAGGAATGTGTTGTAGGCCAAGGAGTAGGACTGACCCATTTCAGCACAATAGAGACTTATTTTTTAAAAAGGTAGAAGGAATTTAATTTTCAGAAGTGTTTCATATTTTGTAGTATTTCTGCGCCATACCTGATTTAAGCATTTCCATATTGGAAGAGATTCAGGCTGTTAACTGTTCAGGAGAAGCTCTTGTAAGGTGAAACATGCTGTTTGTGTTCTAGTGGGGGATACCATTGTGGATTTTCATTGTTCATTATACCACCTTTAAAATTAGGCAAATTAAATGAACATAGCCCAGTCATCGGCCATTCATGTTGATAGTACTGATCTGAAGCAAGATTTGTTGATTATTCCATGTGTGGCACTGAGATCTAGTCTGACAGCTTTGTGGGAATTGAGCCTAGAGATATATTGTTGTGATATCCAGGATCTTGTTCTTAGAATTTGTGATTCATGGGAAAATGAAGGTATACATGAATGAAGAAAGAGTGCCAAGCCTGGACCAATGATGAGATTGGAGGGTGTCTGAATCAAAAATTTTGATTAAAGCCATCTGTAACTCTGAGGTCCATTTTAAAAAGAGGCCCCCATTTTTCCCTCTAGGGAAATGAGCTTATAACACAAGTTCAGAATATTCAGGTATCTTGATCATGGGTGTTCATAGTTTTTTGGTATAGATTCCATTTTATAAGTAAATCAATGCATAAATTTTGCATAAATGGGTAAATATAAGGAGAGCTTGGCATTGACCAATTATGAGAGTATGTAATGACGAATGGATTATTATTATATGCTTCGATAGCACTGAATTCCAGTGATATATAATGATAGAGGCTGTTGCCTTGTTTTGGAAGGCGTATGTGGACAGATGTATGCCAGACACAAAATAATTGTTTGATGTTGATGGTTGTTTACTGATTGGTTTTATTTAGAGGAGGGAAAATTGCATAAATAAATAATAGATGAAACAGTTATTTAATTGGAAATAAATGAGCATGTTTCAACTTGAGAATATTCCTTATGAAAAGTTATTATAAATCCAACTCTGTACTGAGTTTTATTAAAAACTAAAAAAAGCATCTAGTTTCTAAATCTTGTGGATAGCATAATGGACATATGGAGACATAATATTATTCAAGCTTCTTCTATAATGTAAGTAAATTCCTATATATTGAATTGTTACATGTGAATAGAATATGTCCTTGTCACAATTAATTTTTTAAAAGAGGGCGTAACACAACTGAGTGAGAAATGAAAATGAAAGTTAGTCTTTTTCTAAACTACTGATGCTGTCTTCCTGGTTAGGTGTGGGAATATAGACATTGAACATGAAAAGCATTTCTGTTGTGGGTTCTTCATGAGTTTACTGCTCTGTGTGTGTGTGTGTGTGTGTGTGTGTGTGTGTTAGTATTTGTGAATGTATAATGAAATATTCCATGCGTCATAACATAAACAAATCAAAACAATAAATGAATTCATATATAAGTAGGGTAAAGCATTTACCATTGGTGATAATATGCCATGAATCATGAATTTAAATTCATCCATTTCTACACATGTTGAGTCCATTAAATAAAAAAGATGATCTAAAGCGGTTGCCTGTGTAGGTGTCTATAGACAGATGTGTGCCATAGTCATAGTTTTTGTTTTGGGTGATGAATTTAACAGTGTTTATTGTATTATTTAAAGTTAATAGTTAAATCAGGAAATAAAAATAAGTGCAGTTCTTGGGTCAGTGATAAAAATGGGATTTGAATCAACTTTATGATTAATTTAATATCACACAACTAATGTCTTTTAAGTCAATCTAAATCTGTACTGTTCATTCTTTTGAAAATTTGTATTCAACTCCACAGAATGAAGACCATGGTTGATTTAATCAGTCTCTGCTGATGAAGATCTTGGCTGTTACCTTTGTGTGTAAGGAAGCTAAAGACTTAAGTAAATAACAGTCCAAAAACTTGTCAATTAGGGTAAATTTTTCATTAATGTTCACTGAATTATTTAAAGTTAAGGCATATGTAGATCAATGAGATGAATGTGTTATGAAACTTAGATTGTGGTTAGTCCAATTAAGCACAATTTTGGTTAAAAATAAGATGAAAGACATTTTATTCATTTTTTTATCTGATTAATAATTCATCTTATTTTGTACTGCATTTAATTTAAGATTTATTCACTAATAAAATCTATGGCTGCACTGTTCAATGTCGTTTCCTCTATCCACATGTGGCTATTTATATTTAAAATAATTAAAGGTACATGCACTTTTAAATGTAATTTCTTGGTTGCATTAGCCACATTTCTAGTGCTCAGCAGCTGTATGTTGCTATTGGTGACTGTAATGGAGAACGCAGTTACAGTACGTTTACATTATATGCAAAGTCCTGTTAGACAGCTCTTTAATGAGGGAGGAATGCATGGAAAGGTGGAAGATAAGTGGAATGAGATGGCTAGGAAGCAAGGATGTTCATTGATCTATACTTGCTTCACTGTGGGCCACTACAAAAGGAGATCTAGTCTATTGAGAATAGGGCTAGTCTATGCGAAAAGAGCCTGTAAACAGATCTTGGTTATATTCAAGGATACTGTTTGTGGATGCTAAAATAACAATGGGTATTGATTTTATTACTGCTACTGAATCAATGAATGGATCAATAAACAAAGGTATAAATGAAGGAAAAGATTGCTTATCCTGGATCAATGATGAGTACCCTGGGGTGTCTGAATCTTGGATTTTGATTAAACCCTATAACTCTGAGGTCCATTACAAAAAGAGTACTTTTCATTATGTCTATGGGAAATGAGCTTATTCCAGAAGCTAACAATAATCAGGATTTAGTTTTTGGGCTTCTGAGTATGGACTGTATTATTTTTAGTAAAGAAGTATATGGATAAATCAAGAAAAGTACGGTATAAATAACAGAATGGTTATTCCTGCTCCAAATATGAGAGTACATAAAATAATAGGAATCATTACTAATACGTTTCTGAAGCACTAAGTCCCAGTAAAATAAATTAATCAAAGCTGACCCTTTGGGTAAGGAGCAGTTAGATAAATGGATGTTAGAGTCCATGTTGTTGTTCTGCTTGAGGGTGTTCATTTTTTTTTTTTTAAAGAAAAGGGCAAAATGTTTACTTTAATTATTGCTTAAATTACTACCTAATTGAGAGAGAGTTTACACATGGATCTATCTTGAGAATATGTCAAATGACCAGTTATAATGAATTCTAATAATCTTCACTATTTAAATTCAGTTCCTCAGTTTAATTTACGAAAGCAAGGAAAATGATCTGAATTTTCTGTCTAATGAGCATGGGATGGGCATTGATATTGTCCAGTTTCTGTGAAGTCACAGACATAATGATTTTATTATAAATGTAAAAAGGAACAAATTAATGTCTCAATCAGTTATTCAAAATAAGGCCAAATCATGGACCAATGAGGGCCAGGTATTATGGAACAAAAAGAGTGATTAATCCAGTTCCATACAACAGCTCTCCAGTATTGTCATTATTTCCATAAACAAAATTGAGGTAGGCTCTTGCATTTTTGGAATGGTGAATATGTTTATATATTTGGATAGTATTTCCCTTTCAGTCTCATTGGTGCAATTTCCTTAAAACACGGAATAGACATGCCTCCATGTGTAACTATTTAACTTTATATGTATGTGTGTATGCACGCATACACAATTGTTGAGAATGTACTCGAATCCAGGATTCAGATTAATTTAATTCTTTCTAGCAAGATTCATGTAGAAAGGAAATTTAACCCTTTCCTAGTTGAGTAGAAGGCAGATAAACAGACAGACGTGTTTAATAGTCACAATTATTATTATTTTGCCTGGTTTTACTTACAGTAGTTAAATTTCATACTTGAGTCAATTAGTCAATGAATCAATGTTGTTCATCTTTTAAATACACGACAAGTACCAGGGTTTATTTCTAATCAATAATTGTTGACTTGAACGGAATTTTAAAAAAATCTAAATCTAGGCTGATCCATTTCTCTCTATCTCTCTCTCTCTCTCTCTCTCTCTTTCTCATCTACCTATTATATTCACCTTGTACTCCACAGAATGAATGCGCAATGATTCAATTATTCTCCAGCGAGGAAGATCATGGTTGTTGTCTGTTTGAGTAATGAGTGTAGAAACCTATGTAAGTAACAAAGTGATTGCTTTTGCTTTAGTGGTTGTTAAGAGAGTTAAGTCTTTCTGGAAAGGAATAAATGACTATGTATACAAATAAAATGAATGAAGTTATATGTGAATCATTCAGCACATCTGTGGTCAGTTAAGGAGAAAAAAGCAAGACCATCTTATTCATTTTAATAGTTAATTATTGAGTTAATTAATGTAAAAATAAATTATTCAATTTTATTTGAGTCACAGTTGATTTTAACCTCCCTCTATAAAGACAGCTTATTCACATTCCAAGATGGAAGATATTGTCAGTGTGGAGTAAAATGGCAGCTTCGTAGTTCTTCATCATCACATCCTTAAAATATGGACAGGGTCAATGAAAGATGATCAAGCCTTGACCAATTAAGAGTATGGGATTAATATGAAGCAGATATGGTCATTAATCTGCTAATCTGAAAAACTGAATCTATCACACAAAGGGATCTATCTTCCTTCCTCTGTGAGAAATGACCTATGAAGAGATGTCAGGGTTGTCTGATTTCTTGTTATTGGGTTTTTGGGATTCATAGGAATTGATTATACTGTTAGTAAATCAATGAAACATGAAATAATGTGTAAATGAATGATGATGAAGAATACTAAATATGGACCAATGGTGGGTTTTTGTTGGGTATGAACCAAGGATTAAGATTAGTTCAAATATGCAGTAGTAGTGTCCATTCCCAAGAGGGATAGTGGTAAATGAGCCCACAGACAATGTGGCAGTACTCATGGTATTTAAGTTTTAAGGTTTTGATAGGTATTGATTATATTATTATAAATATATCGATGATTGAATCAGTGCACTAATGTAGAATAAAAGAAGAAAAGAATCTACTGTGGGCATATAGAATGAAATAATAATTTTTTGTTTCTTCTTTACATCTTAATTTTATTTTAAGTTCTGGGGTATATGTGCAGGATATGCAGGTTTGTTACCTAGGTAAATGTGTGCCATGGTGGTTTGCTGCACCTGTCAATCCATCACTTAGGTATTAAGCCCAGCATGAATTTGCTATTCCAAAAAATATTTCTGAAACACTGACTTTCACTAGGACTTGATGAAGCATTTTTTCCCTTTGGATGAGGAGAATATAGGCAATTTTTGTAATAGTCAGTGTTCTTGTTCAGGTTATAGAGTGAATTCATAGTTTTTCATTTTATTAAAAGAAAAAAGCCATTAAATAAATAAGTAAAAGATTAACCCACTAACTAAACTAAAGAGGGCCAAACATTGACTGTTAAGAAGCCTGGGTTCCTTTTTATTTACCTGCTGTTCAGATATACAAAGAATTTCAAGGCTCTGTCCACTTAGGGTATTTTATACGTAGACAGATGCAAACATTATATTTTAGTACTTAGTTGTTGGTTTTCTTAACCTGTTCATTTTCTTTAGAAATGTGAATGATGATTAATTAATCCATAAGGAAGTACAGACACAAATACATAGATACAGATGTATACAAACTGATGTATACATAAATAAGGGATACCGTAGACCATTGATGAAACTGTGCTGTGAAACAATCATTTAGATTAATTTCATTTAAATGCAGTTCATTTAAAGGTAAACCTAAATTATTGTTATCTATGCGAGAGGGGCATAGAGACAAGTATTCATTATATAGTTCTTTTCCTTGTATTTAGGAATGAGGTTTATTGTACTTACTAGTTTATTAAAACTTAACTTTGAGCTAGTCATAGGCAATCATAAGCTGATGATAAAACTCTGTTACCTATCAAGAATTTCAATTAATCCAGTAACACATGACATCCATAAACAGAAAGAAAAATCACAGTGGTTTCATTCTTTCTAACATCTCTTTTGTACTTCACAGAATGGAGGCGTGATGGCTGATGCAATCATTTTCCACTGATGAAGGTTTTGATGGCCACCTGTGTGAGTAGGGAGGACATAGGCTGCTGTTAGTAATTGTCTTAAGTTCTTAAGTCTAATATCAAGGATTTTGTTAGTAAATTTTGATTTTATTATTATAAAGAGATCAATGACAAATCCAACAAACAAGCATATAAACAAGTAAAAAACGAGACTGAAGCATTGTTCGCCTATGAATAAATGTGATTAGGCAAGAAAAACTACTAATATAAATGGAAAACACTGACGTCTCAAGAAATACATGTATCAAGCATGCTACTTTGTCTAAGGGTCTTAAGACACTGCATATAAGAAATAGTCAATATTATTGTTCTGGATCAGTTCAAGTTCAAGTTTGTTAATTTTTTAAAAGAAAAATATGTAAATATTATCACAGATTAATAAATACCTAAACTACTGTGAAAATGAAAGGGTAATACAAAGGTGACTGAAGACAAGTTATCAGTGTTTATCATCTGGTCTGCTTTGTATTCCTCAGAATGAACAGCCCCATCTGATTTAATCACTGTGCAATGACCGTGAACTGTACAGTTACCTCCGTGTGTCACAGGAAGACTCTTGTGAGTAGTAGTTAAAATTCTTGTTTTGTTTTAAGGGTATTCTCTGTATTCTTAAGAAGTCTAAAATATAATCAAATAAGGTCAAGCATTTTTATTATTCACTACCTAAGTACAAATTTATTCTTAAGACTTCCCTATTCATAGCTATTTATTTTATGATTACAGCACTATTAATGAATTGATTAATCAAAAAACGAATGTAGATAGACATGAATGAAGAAAGATAGAGTCAATCTTGGACCTATGATGATGACTGGTGGCGTATGAGTCATTGACGGTGAATACAGGTCTGGAAGTCTGAGGTCCAATATAATAAAAAATCTAGTCTTCACCTTCTATCCTAGGGATAGACATTAGGAATATTTGAGGATGTTGTTCTTGGTCTTCACGTTCATGCATTTTCCCTCTATTTTTATAATTGGATCAATGAATCAATAAGCAAATATATTTTAACTGCATAAAGATAAAAATAGGCGTTGTCCAATTATGGAAATATATGGTGAAATAAGAAATACTATTCACATTTATTAAAAACACTGAGGTCTTCTTTCTATTAACAAATAAATGACTCAGAGGTATTACTCGCTTGCTGCAGGATGGCATATACAGTAAAAATAATAATAACGTATGTGAGGTCATTTGGGTCAGGACCATGTTCATGGTTGTTTGTTTTCTCAAGAAAAAATAGTTTCACACATACTTACATGACTAATAGAATGAAAGGAGAAATGTGTGGATAAATGGACAGAATATTTCCATCTTTTTATCTTTTTTGCTTTGTACTCTCACAATGAACACCCTCAAGTTGACTTAAGCACCCTTCCATGGTCATGAGGTTTCTGGTTGCCTCTGTGTGTTAGAAGCTTGGAGACCAATGTGAGTATAGTCAAAGTTCTTGTCTTGGTTCTGGGTTTTTAAGGGGTAGTCATTGTTTTATTAAGAACATTACAGATAATCCAAAAGGTTAACCATGGTCCAGGGGTAATTATGGCATTGCCATGAAACATTATGTTGATTATCTAATATTTATAAAATTAAAAATGATTAATGATAAAATCACTGTGAGAGATGATCCTATAGAGAGCTATACAGTATTTCTTGTTCTTAAGTTTTTGTAACATTATTTAATTACTATTAGTGAAAGGATGAATTAATAAATAAACAAATGTAGAAGTAATGGAGAAGAGGAGGGCCAGTCTTCAGTCAATGATGACTCTGCCTCTGTTGAAAATACCATACCCTATAGACAGATTTAAGAATACACAAGGCTCATGTTCTTGGTTTTTGCATTAATGGATTTTGATTCTATTATTATAAATAGATCAATGAAAGAATCAATAAAGCAATAGAAACACACATGAGTAATGAAATCATCGTACAATTATGAAACTATGTAGGGAAACGAGAAGCCATTTATATATATATGGAAAAAGTCTGTTAAGAAATAAATGTTTCAAATGTGTTACCTCTAGCTAAGGATGATATAGAGGATATAAATAATATAGATAGATAAAATAATTAATAAACAAATATAAATAAATCTGAATAAGTGAAGTACTGTCCAATTACAAAAATTGTATGAGTAGATAAAAGAAACTATTCATATATATTGAAAACAATAGAGTCTATTATGAAATAGTCAATATACAAAGAAACGCTCTTGATTTGTGTCAGTGTCAAGATCAATGTTGTTTGTTTTCTTAAAAAATTAATAAATATTAAGTGAAAATTTTAAATGTCTAAATGATTGGCTAAATGAAAGGTGACATGCATAGATCGAGGAAAATAATGTCTCCATTTTTATTTTCTTTATCTGCACTGCTTTGTACTTACAGGCCTTCTGCTGTGATCGCGTTCTCCACAGTTGCCTCTGGGTAGGAGCCTGGACACTAATAGAAGTAAGAGTCAATCTTCTTGTCATATTTTTATATTTGTTTAGGGTAGATTTTAAAAGATTCACTATAAATTTTTAAATAACCAAAGAAAGCCACCCATGACCCAGTGGAAAGTATGTGGTGGACATGAAACATGTTGATTAATCCATATTTATAACACTGTGGATGATTAATGAAAAAAACATGGTAAATGACTTTATAGACTGGTGTTAGGGATACTTAAGTCATCTTGTTCTCAAGGGTTTTGGGATTTTGTTCATAAGCGTTTTAGATAGGTAGATATTTACTTTAATATGATTAGTTTACTGATAAATTAACCAGTAAAGAAATGTAGAGATGAATGAGATAAAAGAGGCCCAAGCTTGGGACCAATGATAATGACTGTTGGGGTATGAGTCAGTGAGGTTGAATAACAGTTTGTATCTGGAAATCTGAGGTCCAACACAATAAAAAATTTAGTCTAATTACTCTGATGGAAATCCAAAATAAAAGGGCAAAATCTTTGTATATTCCTAATATGTATTTGATAGCATTCTTATAAGTAAATCAATGATGGAAGCATTAAATTAATATATAAATCAATAAGTATGATTTATTGTACTATAGATGGTGAAGCTTTATTCAAGTATCAATATATGTGGTCAGGCAAGAAATATTAATAATAAATGTTGAAAACACTATTCCCATTAAGAAATAAGTGGATCAAAGTGTTACCCTTAATGATCATATAGACACTGATAAATAATAGTCAACTTTATTACTGTGGTTCAAACCAAGTGGAGGTTGTATGTTTTGTCTAGAAAATATATAAACTACAAAAAGTTAATAAACACCTAAGTGAATGAGTAAATTAAATGTGGGGAGTAAGATTCAATTAAGATAAAGTCCTAATTTTCTTTTAATCAAATGCTCTGCTTTGTACTCCTTAGAATGGATGCACTGGAGCTGATTTAAACATTCTTTGGTGGTCACAAGATGTATAGCTGCCTCTGTATGTTTGGCGCATGGAAAAAAATATGAGTTTTTGTGGACATACACTCTTTATTTGAAAAGTATGAAATATAATCCAAGAAAGCCAGCCATGGCTCAGTGATAAATATGGAATTGATATGAAACATTATATTGATTAATCACCTTTGAGGATGATTAATAAAAGAGAGAAAGTGATTCTATATAGAGATGCAGGACTATTTCAGGCTCATTCATGATCTAGGTTTTTGTGCTTCATGGTTATTTTATTATCATCAATAAAAAGAAAAAAGAAAAAAATCTTATACTGTCCAAAAAATTAGGGAGACCAGCGCCCAGTGTTCATGTGAGGGGGGACTAGTGTCCATTTCCACCAAGCAGCCTGGAAATGCTCATCCTCACAGGGCATTGGAGAGGTTTCTCAAGAAGCGAGTGCCTCCATGGGGGAAATAATTAACCCCAGATTAAATGCTGCTTCAGACCTAATGGATGGTAAAAACAAGATCCAAAAGGATCAAACTCTTTCCAGGTAGATTAACTGTATCCCAGAACAAAGCTCAAGGACATTTTTAGAAATACGTATATATCCAGCACACAAGCAGGGTAAAATTCACATCTGCAAATTTACCAGGCATTCAAAGGGGCAAAAAATACACAACCCACAATTAAGAGACTAATGAATTAATCAAAACCAACCCAGAACTTATACAGATGTGAGCATTAGCAGAAAAGGACTTGAAGTAGTTATTAGAACTGTCTCCCTGGCCGGGTGTGGTGGCTCATGCCTGTAATCCCAGCACTTTGGGAGGCCGAGGTGGGTGGATCACCTCAGGTCAGGAGTTCAAGACCAGTCTGGCCAAAATGGTGAAACCCCACCTCTACTAAACATGGACCAATGATGACCACTGGTGGCGTTTGAGTCATGGACGATGAATACTACGTGTCTGAAACTCTGAGGTCCAACAGAAAACATAATTGGATAGATATCAGAAATGTGCAAAGATCATATTCTTACTTTGGATTAATAGATTGAGGTTCATCATCAATAGATAAATGATAGAACAATTAAACAAGAATAAATAAAGGTGAATCATTGTTCAATTATGAATATACATGATGATGTAAGAAATATTATCACTAAAAATTTTAAACACAGATGCCCCTTAAAGAAATGGATCATGAGTCCCGCCACTGCACTCCAGCCTGGGCGACAGAGCGAGACTCCGTCTCAAAAAAAAAAAAAAAAAAAAAAAAAAAAAAGAAATGGATCATGAGTATCAGCTCTTTGGCTAAGGTTCATCTAGACTCTTAATAAGTAAGAGTCAGTTTCATTTTCTGGTTAAGTCTCATTTGACATTGTTCCTTTTGTTATGAGAGAAAACATTTCCATTCTGAAAAATTAATCAATATAAAAATAACTGAATAACAGAAATATGGAAAGGATCAATGGAGATAAGGTTTGAATTTTTTCTAAAAGAGTTACCTGCTCTTTGTATTCTGCAGAATGGATGCACTTGAGCCGACCTAAGCATTCATGGTCATGAGATTTGTGGTTGCCACTGTTGGTTAGGAGCATAGAGATCAGTGTGAGTAATAAAGTTCATGTCTTTCTCTAAGAGACTTTTTAAAGGGTATTCATAATATCATGAATGTGTGAAAAATTATCCAAAAGGCCAACCTCAGCCAATGATAAATATGAGATTGGTTGAAACAGTATATTTGCTAGCTCATTTATGACACATTGAGGATAATTCATGAAAGATATATCAAAGTGGCAGATTATATAGAAAGTTGTGGAATATTCTATGCTCTTACTGTTTGGATATTATATTTACATGGGTTATAATATTAATATTCATGAATTAATGCATAAATAACATGTAAATGAGAATTAAGCTAAACAGTCCTAAGCCTGAGCCAGTGATGAAAACTGGTGGCATAGAAGTCAAGGATGCTGAATAATGTGTGTCTAGAACTCTGAGGTTCAATAGAGGAGGAAATATAGTCTATTGCTTTTGAAGTGATCTTATAGTTAGGTTTTGGAAATACAAAAGGGCCATCTTCTTGGATTGTTTTTGTGACTTTTGTTTCTTCTTTAAAATAAATTCATTGATGTAATAATCAATGTACACATGTAAAAAATTAAAGATGAGGAGTGTGAAGCATGTCCACTCAATGTAAATGGTGAGACAACAGAAATCATTAAAATGTATTGAAAATATGAATACCATTTAAAAAACGAACAATTCAAGTGTAATCTTTGACTACGGATGACATAAGCAGTATAGTGAAGTTTCTTATTTTGCATCAGAACAAGTGTGCTGTTGTTCATTTTTTTAAAAGAAAATTGATAAGTATTACCACAATTAATAGATACCTGAATGACTAAGAGAAGGGTCAAATGAATGAATCCGTGAAAAATATTTCAATCCTGTTACCTTCTCTGCTTTGCACTTCCCAGAATGGACACACCTGGGCTGGCAGAACATCTTGCCTTGATCTGGAGCCCCATGTCTGCCCCTCTGTAGAGGTGCACATGGGCCAATGTGAGTTAACAGTAAAATTATTTTTTGCTTTTGCTTATTTGTTTAGGATATTCAGTGTAATATTTAAAAAATATTATATATTAATATAATCAAGGAAGGCCAGCTATGTCCCAAGGATACGTATGGACTTGACATGAAATATTGTGTAGATTAATAGATATTTTAAACAATGAACATGATGAATGAAGGAAGTATTAATATACTAATTGAAGCAAATGATTATGTAGACAGATACTAGGAATACTTAAGGATCTTGTCCTTAAAACTTGGTGATCCAGAGGTATTTATGTTATTGTTAGTGAACTAATGAATCATTAGGAAACAGCTTACAAATAAAAGGAGAAAAAGAGGGCCAATTCTGGCTGGATTGATGATGACCACTGGTGGCCTATGAGTCATACAATGAATACGTGTCTAGAACTCTGAGGTCCATCACAAGCAGTATCTAGCCTAGTCCCTCTGTCTGAAAAACTCCTGTAGACAGATGTCAGGGAAATACAAGAACCTTGTTCTTTTTCTTTATGTTTATGAATTTTAAAAATATTATATTATTAAAATAGCAACGAAGAATAAACAAACATGTATAAATGAATATAGATGAGGATGAAGTATTGTTTATTGTTGAAATGTGTAGTAAAGAGAAACAATACTAATATAAATTGAAATGGTTGGATAATTAATGGACCAAGTGTAATACATCTTTGACTAAGGATCATATAGATAGCAGTAAGTAATGGTTAGTTGCAAGTTTCACATTTGTTGTATTAAGAAAAAATTAATAAATACTCAAATGACTATGTAAATGAATGGTGAAAAATATAGATTAATGTAAAGAATATTCAATTTTTTAATCATCTTCTCTGCTTTGCACTTTTCAGGATGGATGCAATGAGCTGATCATTTTGCTGTGATCAAGGCTATGTTGCCTCTGTGTTAGGCCAATGTGAGTAATGGTTCTTGTCTTGGTTTAGGTTGTTTAATGGTATTCCTGATATTATTAAAAATTATTTAATATAATAAAAAGTTAATTGGCTTAATGACAATGTGCAACATTGAGGTTAATTAATGAAAGAGATGTAGTCTCTGTGGGAAATTATTGTATAGACAAATGTAAGGATTCTTCAAATATCTTGTTCTTGGGTTTTCAAAATCATGTATTCATTTTATTATCAAAGAAGAAATGATTTATTCAATAAATATTTAGAAATGAATGATGAAAGAGAGACCCAACTATGAATCAATGGTGACCACTGGTGGCATATAAGTCATGGATGATGAATATGAGAAGAAAAGAATCTAGGTTTTTGCTTCTGTTGGAAATGATCCTGTAGACAATGTCAGAAACATACAAAGATCATTTTCTTATCTTGGGGTCATAGATTTAGGTTTATTATTACTAATATATGAATGATAGAACCATTAAACAAATATAAACAGATTACAAGTAGAGATTTAAGCTACAGTGTCCAGCTATGAATATAGGAGATGAGATAAATTATTACTAAAAATAGGAGATACTGATTCCTCTTATCAAAGAAATGGATCACAGTGTTTCCTCTTTGACTAAGGATTATATAGAATCTAACAAGTAAGAGTCAGTTTTATTTTCTTGGTCAGAGATTGTTTCTTCTGTTAAGAGAGAAAGACACCTATAATATGAAAAATTAGTAAATACCCAAATCACTGAATAAATGCTATGCAGAAAGGCAGGATCAACAGAGATTAGGTCTCAATGTTTTTAGTCTGCTCTGTACTCCTCAGAATGGACAGACCCGGGCTGATTTTGGTGTTCTGTGGCTATGAGATCAGTGGTTGCCTCCATGTGTTAGGAACATGGAGACTGACGTAATAGTCAAACTTCTTGTCTCAGTTTCAGTGTTCTTCTGAAGGGTATGCAGTAAGTGCAAAATGTAATCAGTGACTGCCAACCATTACCCAAATGTAAAAAATGTAATTATTATATATGAAGCCTTGAGGTCAGTTGATCTACAGGCAGATGTTAGAAATATTATTATATTTCTGCTTATTCCATAGGCAGATGTTAGAAATATTCAAGAATCTTGTCTTCTAGTTTTTGTGATTCTTGGTATTTATTTTAGTATTATTAGATTTTTGATGTATTATTCAATGATATGAATGAAGAAAATGAGAGCCAAGCCTGGATCAATGATGTCCACTGGTGGCGTATAAATCATATTTGGTGAATATATGTCTGGAACTCTGAGGTCCAAGAAGGAAGGAATCTAGGTTATTGCCTCTTTTAGAAATAATCCTATAGATTATTTAAGAATATATAAGGATCTTATTTGGCCTTTTTAAATGAGTTTTTACTCTATCATAATAAATTGATCAATAAAAGGATCAACATATGGATACAAATACATAAAGGTAAATAGGGTGAAGCATCATCAAATTATGGAAAGATGTGGTGGCAAGAGAATCCACGTGTATGTACACTGAAGACACTGAATGTCATTAAAAAACCAATGGTTCAGGCTGTTACACCTGGTTAAAAATCATGCAGGTAACATAAATAATAGCCTGTATTCTGTATTAGAAATAGCAAAGATCCGATTGTGTTTCGTAGCTATCGATTATATCTTCATAAGTTGATTAGTGCACAAATAACCAAAGAAATGTATGAATACACGAAGAAAAATGGAACCAAGTATGGACTAAGTATGTCCTCTATAAAGTTGCTCTTAGTTAGAAACAAATTGTAGGATTTTACTAGGGTCGGATAGGCATTTCTGTTCTAGATTTCTGAAAATGAAAAGATTACTCATTTTGTTGAAAAGGAATAGCTGGTTGGAAAAATTAATTCGTTTGTTCCTGAATTATAAACTCATTTAGACTAATAATGAATGAGTTAATAGATAAAAAGATCAAGAACTGACCACTCATGAGACTGTGTTATAAAGCCAGGAATGAGAAGAAGCTGATTCTGTAAAGCAAAGCTAACTTGCAGAGAATAGCAAGACGATTACATGTTTGAGTGGCGGCACTGGGGCCAATATGTCCCATAGTCAGATGTTTTTCTTAATGCAGGTGATGGATTCAAGAATGTTCACTATTGATGTAAAATTCATAACTTAAATAATTCAATAAATAAAAGGAGAGTGAATCTAATCTAAGGATGGGGAGTGTCGTGAACCAATGTTTGAGATGAACCTAACCCTGATCATTTCATATTTATTCAGACACAGCCTGAATCTTGTTGTTTCTTACCTGTAACATCTACTTTGTACTTCGCAGGGTTGATGTTCATGGGTGATTGATCATCCTGTAGCGACGGTGGTATTGACTGTTCCCCAGAGGACAAGGAGTGTGTTCTTATGTAAGTCATAGTTGACATTCTTGTTTTTGATTGGGTAGTTTGCCTGTTCATTGATGTTCATAGTACTATAGAAGGTAGATAAATGGCCACATACCTAAAGAAAATCAAAGGGGACAAAAAGTGAGAGTCTGTTATAAACTAAGGATTATAATTAATGTAATTCAGTACAACTGTGGACAATTTTGAAAAGATAAAGATTGATGTCATTTTAGTCATTTTATAGATAAACTAAAAATGGGACATTTTTAATATCCCATTTTAGCATTTTTCATAGTTTACACAAACGTTCCTATATTGCTAGATAGCCTAGTCTGTGAACTCCCTGAGGAAGGAGCACATGTGAAGTAAATACTTGTCATTATCATAGTGGGTTCAAGTGGAATATTCTTCCGGCTTATTGTTACATCTTCATAGACTATATAATTTAAACAAAACGGTTCAAGCATGGACCATGACATAACTGAAATCAAATCTAGACAAACATGATTATTATTATATTTCACAACATTTTTGTAGTTCGTTACAAAAAAAGACCTAGCCTATTATATTACCTTGTCTATTATCTCTCTTGGAAATGAACCCATTGACAGATATTAAGACTATTCAAGAAACTTGCTTAGGGGCTATGGTGGATTGTTAACACATACTAATTTTATTATCAGTGGATAAGTATGCATAAACATCTTGTAAGTTAATATAGATACATATGTCTAAGTGTGGTCTCATTTTGAGTATATTTACTGGAACAAGAATTATTATGACATGTCTTAAATGTTATGATCCATTAATAAAAATAGACCAAGCTTGTGACCCAAGTCAGTAACCTGCATATACACATATGTGAATACTCATTGTCTTTATTTCTGGAGCTTTTTAGTTTATACTTGTTTTTGTTTTCTCTTTTAGTAAATTGAAAACATTATATAAATACATAAATCAAAACATAGGTAAGGAAGTTAGAGGAAGCTAAGCATGGACTACTTATGAGGATGTGTTTTTAAGCAGGGATTATAACTTAATCCATTTTAGTACAATGGAGCACGATTTAAAAAGAGATCAGTGTTTTCCATTCTCTTTTCATAGCTATGTATTATTCCATTTTGGGTTTTACTCCTGTTTATGCAACATTCCTTGATGGATAACAATCTATGGGTTAGATCCAAGGCTTAAATTTTACGTAGTTGTGTTTTTATAAGTCATTATCAGGGTTTTAGATGTTGAATGGGGTGATGACTTGATGGTTGTTCGTTGTTCCATCTTAAACGTATGTACATGTTAAATGAAGAAAAGGCCAAGCACCAATCAGTGATATGAATGGATTGATTGATCAGTTTTATGATTAAATTCATTTCTGCACCCCTGCAATTTATTTAAAAGGGAGATTTGGTATATTAAATCTATGGAAATTTCAATGGAGTGATTGTCTCATGCTTTTCACACCTGTCCTATATTCCACAGAATGGACATCATGATTGGGATTGTCTTTATTAAACTTTGTCAGGAGAGTAAAGATCAATGTGGCCACATGTTGTGGCTCATGCCTGTAATCCCAACACTGTAATCCCAGCACTGTAATCCCAGCCTGTAATCCCAGGCTGAGGTGGGCGGATCACCTGAGGTTGGGAGTTCGAGACCAGCCTGACCAACATGGAGAAACCCCGTCTCTACTAAAAATACAAAATTAGCCGGGCATGGTGGCGCATGTCTTTAATTCCAGCTACTCAGGAGGCTGAGGCAGGAGAAACGCTTGAACCCGAGAGGCGGAGGTTGCAGTGAGCTGAGATTGCGCCATTGCACTCCAGCCTGGGCAACAAGAGTGAAACTCCATCTCAAAAGAAAAAAAAAAGAAAACAAAACAAAAAAAGAAAAAACCAATGTAAGTACCTGTTAAAGTTCTTGCTATGGTTCCAGTGGTTTGCTTCCTAACTGTGTTATTTAGAAATTTGAAGTATATTTAATGAATGTCCTCCCTTCCCACTGGCCCTGCCAGGCATGCTGCCATCTGTTCTCTGGGACTTGTGAGTAGTACACTGCTCCTGTTATTTCATGTGCTTTGCTAAGTTGTTTCTTCTGTGTCTCAACTGATCAACACACCCAGACCTAACTGATTTCCAGGTTGGGGCTCTCCTAGAGAGTGCCTCTCTTGGTAGGAATAAACTGGACACAGACAAGAGCCTCCATGGTGTCTGCCTGTATAACCAAGTTTTCTATGAGAGGGACAATGGGTCATAGATTGAACACTTGGGCATTACATCTGTGAGAATAAGTCTATAGTAAATTTCAGTAAATTTGAGGGATCTAATTATGGGGTTTCAGTAGATCCTGGGGATTTATTGCATTATTCGAAGGAAATAAATGAAAGAATCAGCAAAACATACAGACACACATATAAATAATTAAAGATGAAGAGGATAAAGCTGGATTAATTGAGGAAAATGCTATCAGACAGGAATTTTTGGTTCTGTAATTCTGAAACACTGCAATGCATTAAGAAACCTGTACATCAAGGGTGTCACCTGTCTAGGGTAGGGTAATATAGAGTAGTTGTTCTCAAATGCGAGCATTGGAGTGACCTGGAGGGCTTGTAAAATACAGAAGGTCACCTACATTCTCAGGATTTCTGATTCAGTAGGTTTGGTGTGGGGTCTGAGAATCTAAATTTCTAATAACTTAATTTCTGTAGGTTCCAATAGTTTCCCAAATCATGCTGATGCTGCCTCCTGAGAAATATTTTCAGAATCACTGAGAAAAATGTATGAAATAGTTAATGTCCTTGCTCTGTGTCAGTGGTAAGTTCCAGTTTGTTTATTTTATTGAGAAAAAGAAGGTAATTAATTAATTAAGCAATTAATATTTATTTATTTATATTTGAGATGGAGTCTCACTCTGTTTGTTGCCCAGGCAGGAGTACAGTGACGCGATCTCAGCTCACTGAAACCTCCACCTCCCAGGTTCAAGCAATTCTCCTGCCTCTGCCTCCCGAGTAGCTGGGATCACAGGCGTGTGCCACCACGCCTGGCTAATTTTTGTATTTTTAGTAGAGACGGGGTTTCACCATGTTGGCCAGCCTGGTCCTGAACTCCTGACCTCAAGTGATCCGCCCACCTCAGCCTCCCAAAATGCTGCAATTACAGGCATGAGCCACTGCACCCCACCCAATTAATATTTAAAAGTCTAAGTAAATGAAAGGGGAACAACATGGCTCAATGGAGAAATGTCTAATTTATATAACATCATTGTTATATTGTACAAAATGGATGCACCTTAGGTGAGTTAAGCATTCTGAAAAGACCAGGCTTTCTAGGATACTGCTACATTTTAGGAGATTAGAAATCAGTGGAATTGGCACAGTCTTTGTCCGTTGAGTGGGTTTTCATGGGTGTTCATTGTACATCTTTAAAATGAGTGAATGACTACATACATGAATAAAATCAAACAAGGACAAGCCTATACTAACGATGAAGAACCAAAATTTAGGATTAATTTGATTTAGTGTTATTTAGGATGGTTTTTAAAAAAGATCAAGTCCCTATCACAAATTGCTCTGTTTAGAATTCTACTGCAGGTTTTCCCTAAGCATTCCTCAAGTGATAAAGATGTAAGTTACGAAGAAGGGACACATAGGAACTAGAAGCACTTGTCAGCGTTTTCTTCTGGTGGTTGAGTCGTGTTTATGTAGAAAGAATATACAAATTATGTGAAAAAAGGCTAAGGAAGGACCAACGATGCGAGTGGAATACATTCTGAAATGTGTTTTATGATCAAAATATCTGTGACCTACTGCGGTCCACTACAAAGAGGGATTTAAGTGTTTATATCTGTAGGAATGCCTACAGATAGATTTCAGTGATATTCAGGAATCAGGTTCTCAGTCTTTGGTGCTTCATGGATTTTGATTTTGTTGTTATTCAATAAGTGAAAGAATAAATAAATATGTCAGTGTATAAAAATGAATAGAATGAAGTTATCTAACTATGAAAGTATGGGGTGAGGCAAGAATTATTATTAATATAACATAGAACCACTGGAGTTCAGTAAGTAATGCTATCTTTACCCCAAAATGTAACCCCTTAATGCATCAAAGGGGTTACATTTTGGGGTAAGGATAAGTAAGCAAGATTGTGATGTATGTTCTTGCTTTGAGTCAGTGATGAGTTCAAGTGGCCACTTACTGCAGAGGGAAAAAAATAAATTATGCCATAAAATAATAAATACCTAAATGACTGAGCAAAGGAAATGGGGAAGGCATGTATCAGTGGAAAGAATATCTCAGCTTTCTGTTATTTGCTGTGCTTATATTCCTCAGAATGAAAGCTCCTAGGTGATTTAAGCATTCTACTGTGGCCATGAACTCTTATGTGTTAGGAGCATAGAAACCAATGTAAGAGTCAAAGCACGTGTCTTAGTATGAGTGGCTTGTTTAAAAATATTCACTGTACTGTTTACAAAATGTTTAGTCAAAGAAGTTGACTATGGTGTACTATGGCATTGATATGAAATGTATGTTAATTAGTGGATATATACAACACAAATTAATTAATGAAGGTTATATTTGCTGAGTGAATTTACTCTGTAGACAGTTATGGATACTTAAGAATACTGTTCTGTGGAATTTGTGGTTCATGTACATTTATTTTATTGTAATTAATCTATTGAAGAACTAATAAATCAACAAATATAGAAATGGATGAGGAAAAAGATGTCAAATCCTGAACTAGTGGTGATGGCTTGTGGCATATTTAGTCACAGATGATGAATAAATACATGCCTGAGACTCTGAGGTTAGTACCTAGACAGAGATCTAGTCTGTTATTTTTGATGGATGTAGTCCTGTAGGATGATTAGTTATACACAAAGGTGATGTTCTTGGACTTTTGTAGTTCATGAGTTTTGATTGTATTGTTACAAAGCAATCAATGACAAAATATATACAATTGCATGAAGATGAAGAGGGTGAAACATTGTCCAATTATGAAATGTGAGGTGAGGCCTGAAATACTATTAATATAATTTGAAAGTCCTAAGGTCCATAAGTAAATAAGTGGATCAAGGGTGTCACCTCTTTGGTACAGTATCATATAGACCAGGGGTCCCTAACCTCAGGGCTGCGGACCAGTATCAGTGCCTGGTGTGTTAGGAACCAGGCCACACAGCAGGAAGTGAGTAGCAGGGGAGCAAGCATTACCACCTGAGCTCCGCCTCTTGTCAGATCAGTAGTGGCATTAGATTCTCATAGGAGCAGAACCTGTTGTGAATGGTGCATGCCAGGGATCAAGGTCACATGCTACTTATGAGAATCTAATGCCTGATGATCTGAGGTAGAACAGTGATCTGGAAACCACCCCTCCCTGCCCTGGTCCGTGGGAAGATTCTCTTCTACAAAACCCATCCTGGGTGCCAAAAATGTTGGGGACCATTGGTATAGACAGTGATAAGTAACAGTCAGTGTTATTGTTCTGCATCAATGGCAAGTACCATCCTGTCCTATTTTTAGAAGAGACAAATAATAACATCAATTAGTAAACATTTACGTGAATAAATAAATGAAAGTTGGAAAGCCATTGTCAATGGAGAGAATGTCTCAACTTTTTAATCACTGGTTCTCCTTTATATTCCTCAAGGTGGAGGCTGTCTGCAGTAGGAGCATGGAGACCAACGTGAGTAACAATCACATTTTATGTCTTGGTTTGCGTGGTTTATCTAAGGGTATTCATTATATAATGGCATATGAAATATCAAACAGGGCCAAATGCACCCCAGTAATGAAGTTGGGATTGATGTAAATTATGTTCTTTGATATATATAAAACATTGAGGCTTTCTGTATCAATCAAGTTTTATTTTCTGGGTTGGTTGCAAGTTTGACATTGTTCCTGTTGTTGAGACAGAGAGAAAGAATACACATATATAATGAAAAATTAATAAATAAGTCAATGAAATTTGGAAAGGAGGGATAAATACAGATAAGGTCTTCATTTTTTTCATCACATGTTCTGCTTTGCAATCCTAGAATGGATGCTCTTAAACTGATTTAAGCACGCTTCCATGGTCAGAAGCCTTATGGTTGCCACAGGGTATTAGGAGCATGGAGACCAATGTGAGTAATCATCAAAGTTTGCTTCTTGGTGTGGGTTGTTTGCTTAAAGGTATTATTATTCACTCACTATATTATTGAAAAGAGTGAATTATAATCAAAGAAGACCAATTGTTGTGCAGTGACAAAATTGATATAAAGCACTATATAAATTAATGGGTATATGAAAAACTGAAGATAATAAAGGAGAGATGATGACATAAGATGACTTTATATACAGACTAGAAATATCAAGTTTCTCCTTGGGTTTTGTGAATATAGGGCTTTAAAATTATTAGTGAACGAATTAACTAATCAATGGAT
The DNA here is from genome assembly GCF_000001405.40 of Homo sapiens. Taxonomy (NCBI): domain Eukaryota; kingdom Metazoa; phylum Chordata; class Mammalia; order Primates; family Hominidae; genus Homo; species Homo sapiens. Next base: position 100,964,740 of record NC_000014.9, read on the forward strand.
AATGTGGAAGTGAGAGGAGAAAAAGAGAACCAATCCTGGATTGATGATATGATGGCCACTGGTGGCTTATGAGTCTTATACAGTGAATACATGTTTGAAACTCTGAGGTCTGTTAGAAAAGATACATGGCCCATTCTCTCTGTTTCAAATGATGCTACAGAAATAATTCAGAAATGTTTTTATTTGTGATAATTTCATTCTATTTTTATAATTGGATCAATGTGAGAATCAATAAATAAGTATATAAATAAAGATAAAGTGGATGAAGCATTGTTCAGGTATGGCAGGATATATTATTAATATGTATTGAAAACAGTGGCGTCCAAAGAGAAATAAATGGTACATGCCTGTCACCTCTTTGGACAATGATGACATAGTTAGTATAATTATAGACAATGTTCAATTTTTTGGTTAGTGGCAAGTTCAAAATTGTTCATTTTCTTAAGAGAAAATGAAATAAGTATACTCCAGAAAATTACTGCCTAAATGACCAACTAAATGAAAGGTGAAAGGCAAAGATAAATGGTGATAATGTCTCAAATTTGTTATCATCATCTCTGCTTTGTACTCCTCAGAATGGACGTAGTTGTACTGTTTTAAGAATTCTTCCATGGTCCTCTGCACCGTGCTTAGGAAGGAGCATGCAGACCCATGTGATTAATGATCAAAGTTCTTGTCTTGGTGGTTTGTTGAAGAGTATGTCATGTATTATAAAAAAGTTTGTAATAGGCTGGGTGCGGTGGCTCATGCCTGTAATCCAAGCACTTTGGGAGGCTGAGGGGGGTGAATCACCTGTGGTCAGGAGTTTGAGATCAGCCTGGCCAACGTGGTGAAACCCCGCCTCTACTAAAGATACAAAAATCAGCTGGGTATGGTGGTGGGTGCCTGTAATTCCAGCTACGCAGGAGGCTGAGGGAGGAGAATCACTTGAACCCGGGAGGCGGAGGTTGCAGTGAGCTGAGATTGCATCATTGCACTCCAGCCTGGGCGACAGAGTGAGACTCCATCTCAAAAAAAAAAAAAAAAAGTTTATAATACAGAGACGGCCAATGTTATTATCCCAATGATAGATATGAGAGTTATATAAAGTATTATACTGATAATGCATAGATGAAAAACTGAAGACAATTAATAAAACAGATATATCAATGTTAGAATGATTCTAGATACAGATATGGAACATCCAGGTTATTCTTGGGGTTTTTTTTGAACCATAGAGACTTATTAGTGAGTTAACAAGTCAGTCAGTGAACAAGATAGAAATGAGTGGAAAAAGAGGTGATCAATCTTGGATCGATGATGACTGCTGGTGGCGTATGAGTCTTACATGATGAATACGTGTCTGGAACTCTGAGGTCCATCACAGAAGTAGAGCTCCTTCCGTATGTTTGAAATGATCCTATGTGTATAGATGTCAGAGATACAGAATTTATTTGTTTATGGCCTTTGTTTTTACTTATTTTCATTGCATTATTATAGTTGCTCAATGTGAGAACCTATATATATAATTTATATATATTATATAAAAAGATGAATAATGTTAATCATTGCCCAATTATTAAAATCTGTAGTGAGGCAAGAAACATTTCATGTGTATTGAAAACATGAAGTCCAAAGAGAAATAAATGGGACATGCCTGTCACCTCTTTGGCCAATGATGATATAGCCAGTATAATTATAGAGAGTGTTCAGATTCTGGGCCAGTAGCAAGATTGAAATTGTTCATTTTCTTAACAGAAAATGAAATTACTATGATTAATGAAATGAAATTTCCTTAACAGAAAATGAAATTAATATGAAGTCCAAATAACGATTGCATAAATGACTAATTATGGGTGAAAAGCAAGAAACAATGGTGACAATGTCTCAAATTTGTTTTCATCTTCTCTTCTCTGTACTCATCAGAATGGATGTCCTTGTTCTGATTTGAGGATGCCTCCAAGGTCACATACTCTGTTTGCACCACGCTTAGGAAGGAGCGTGAAGACCAAGGGGAGTAATAGTCAAAGTCCTTACCTTTGTTTGGGTGGTTTGTTTAAGAGTAATCAACGTATTATTTAAAAGTGTGAAATACAGTCAAAGATGGCCAATGTTATTCCAGTGATATGGGAGTGACATGAAGTATTATATTGATGATGCATATATAAAAAACAGGATAGTTAATGAAACACCCAATGTTTGAGTGATTCTGTATACTGATAGGGAATATCAAGAGTGTTACTGGGTTTTGTGAATCACGGGCCTTGAAAGTATTATTAATGAATAAATGACATAATCAATAGACAAGGTAGAAATGAATAGCAAAAAAAAAGAAGATCAATGATGACTACTGTTAGTGTATGAGTTACACATGATGAATACATGTCTGAAACTCTGAGGTCCATCACAAAAGAAATCTGGCCCATTCCTTCTGATTCAGGTGATCCTATGAATATACAATGTGTTTGCTTTTGGTCTTTGGGTTTGTTCACTTCACTGTATTATTATAATTGGATCAATGAAATAATTTATACGTATACATGTACGTATATGAAGGGGATGAAGTATTGTCCAATTATAAAATAAGTGGTGAGGCAAGATGTATTATTATTATTATATTAAAGCATTATATTAAAGCTTTAATATATTAAATAAAAATCTAATATTAATATATAATTAATGCAATATTTAATATATATTAAATATGATAACATATTAAAATATTATATTAAAGCATTGAAGTCCTAAGGGAAATAAATGGTACCCCACTGTAACGTCTTTGACTAAGGATGATACAGGTGGTAGTTATAGATAATGGTCAACCTCTGGGTCAAGGAAAGTTGCACAAAGTGTTCATTTTCTTAAGAGAAAATGAAATAATTATCCTTCAGATAGTGATTTCTCAAATGTTTTCCTAAAGGGAAGATGATAAACACAGATCATGGAGGACTGTTTTATCTGTTTGTGATCTGCCGTCCTCTGTGAGCCTCAGGATGGATGTTTGCCAGCCGATTCCATGGTTACAAGCTCTATAGCTGCATCTATGTGTTAGGAGCATGAAGACCAATGTGGGTAATCGTTAATGCTCCTTCTTGTTTTGACCATTTTAAAATGTTATTTGCTATATTATTAAAAAGTATTAAACACAATAAAAGAAGGGGAAATATGCAATATTTAAAATCTGGATTAAAAACTTTAGGTTAATTAATGCATATGTGAAACATTGAGCTCAGTTAATGAAAGAAATATGGTCTTCGTGGAAATGATTATATGGATGAATGTTAGGGATATTCAAGAATCATATTCTTTTTTTGAAGACTTAGGTGTATTTCCTTGTTAGTGAATTAGTCAACAAACAAATTTAGATGGTAATAGAGAAAGAGGGCTGATCCTGGACCAGTGATGGTGACTGGTGGTGTGTGAGTCATGCACAGTGAATATCATGTGTCTGGAACTCTGAGGTCCAATACAATGGGATCTGGTCCATTCCCCCTTATAAATAGATGTCAGGATACAGGATATAGAAGGATCTTCTTCATGATCTTCGTGCTCATGAATTTAAAAAAATATTATTGTAAAAGAATCAAGGGCAGGATGAATAAATCAGTGTATAAATGAAGAAGATAAGGAGGTGAAGCATTGTTTATTACTAAAATACGTGTTAAGAAAAATGGATTTTAATTTAAATTGGAATGGATAATATAGGCATGGATGAAAGGTGTTATGTCTTGGACCAAAAATAACATAGATTGTGATAGGTTATAGTTATTACTGTCAGTTAGTTGCAACCTTGAAGTCTATTTTATTAATAAATATTACCATTAATTAATAAAAGCCAAAGTGACAATGTAAATGAATGGTGAAATGTATGGATTGATGCAAAGAATGTCTCAATATTTTTATCATCTTCTCCACTTTGCACTCTTCAGAATGGATGCACTGAGCTGATTATGAATTTAGCCCTGATGAAGACTTGTGTTGCTGTCATGATATGAAAGATTCCAGTGTGAGTAACAGCCAAGTTCTTGTGTTGTTTGGGTGGTTTGTTTAAGGATATTTACTATGTTACTGAAAATAAAAAAAGTCAAATAATGTGTATGTATATATAACGAATATTGGTGATAGAATTGAATTATGTGAACCATAAAATTTTTATAATTATTATACATGAATTACTGAATTTATCAACAAATAATGTCGAATTGCATGAAGAGAAAGTGGGCCCTTCCTGGACCAATGATGACAAATACCGGCGTATGAGTCTTGGATGATGAATAATACGTGTCTGGAACTCTGAGGTCCATCAGAAAAGAAAACCAGTTCTTTCTGCTCATGTATTTTCATTCTGTTATTATAATTGGATCAATAAAAGAATGAATCAACAAATATATAACTAAATAAAGATGATTCGTGTGAAGCATTGTCCAATTATAAAAATAGATGGTGTGGCAAGAAGTAATATTAATATGTACTGGAAACTCTGAAGTCCAAAGAGAAATAAATGGTACATGATTGTTAAATCTTTGGCTAAGTATGATGTAGACAGTAATAGGTAAATATCTGTGTTGAGTTTCTGGGTCAATGGCAGGATTGACATTGTTAGCCTACATAGGAGAAAAATAAGCATTATTACAAATTACTAATTATGTATGACTGACTAACTGGAAAGAGGAATTAAAGGACCAGTGGAAAGAATGTTACAACCTTTTAAAATCATTTGCTCTGCTCTGTGATCCTCAGAATGAACGCACTTGAGTTGATTCAAGCACGCTTCCATGGTCATGAGCTCTGTGGTTGCATCTGTGTGTTAGGAGCATGCAGACCAATGTGAGTAGTAATCAGTGTTCTTATACCAAATCCAGCAGTTTTTAGAATGGTATTTGCTGCATTATTTTAGAGTTTTAAATATAATCAAATAAGAGAAGTCTGCCCATGTTCAATATCACATTGATATGAAGCATCTATGCAAAAAGTAATGCATCTATGCAAAAGCTCAGTTGATGAAAGAAATTTGGTCTGTGTGGAAAGGATTATATAGATGGATGTTAGGGATATTCAGAATATAATTCTTATTTTTCTTTTCAGATTTTTGTGTATTTCTTTGTTAATACATTAATAAATAAACAAATTTAGATGGGAATAGAGAAAGAGGGCTGATCCTGGACCAGTGATGACCACTGGTGGCATATGAGTCATACACATGAACACCATGTTTCTAGAACTCTGAGGTCCAACACAAATGGGATCTAGTCCATTCCTCCTTTGTGAAGGGATCCAATGGACAGATATCAGGATATGCAAGGATCTTTTTCGGGATTTTTGTGTTAGTATTTAAAAAATATTATTGTAAAATAATCAAGGGCAGGATAAATAAATGAATGTATAAATGAACAGAAATGAAGAGAGTGAAGCATTGTTTATTGCTAAAATATGTAATAAAGAAAATGGATTATTAGTATAAGTTAGAATGGATAATATATGGATCGAGTTTATTATGTCTTGGATTAAAGATGAGTCAACTGTGATGGATAATAGTTATTACTCTCAGTTACATGTTTGAAGTTCATTTTATTGAGAGAAAAATAAGCAAATATTCCTATAAATTATTATTATTATTATTATTACTTTGAGATGGAGTTTTGCTCTTGTTGCCCAGGTTGGAGTGCAGTGGCACAATCTTGGCTCACTGCACCCTCCGCTTCCTGGGTTCAAGTGATTCCCCTGTCACAGCCTCCCAAGTAGCTGGGATTACAGGCACCCGCCACCACGCCTGGCTAATTTTTGTGTTTTTAGTAGAGATGGGGTTTCACCGTGTTGGCCAGGGTGGTCTCGAACTCCTGACCTCAGGTGATCCACCCACCTCAGCCTCCCAAAGTGCTGGGATTACAGGAGTGAGCCACTGCCCTGGTCCCATAAATTATTAAAAACCAAAAAGATGATACAAACGAATAGTGGAATATATCAGTCAGTGGAGAGAAATTCTCCATTTTTTATCATCTTCTCTGGTTTGTGTGAAGATGAATCAGAATGGATGCATCAAGTGGGCTTCTGCTTGATGGAAACCTGTATTGCTGTTGCGTTTGGAAAGAAACTAATGTGAGTAATAGCCAAAATTTTTGTCTTCCTTTGGGTACTTGTCTAAAGGTATTCACAGTATTATTAAAAATTTTAAATTATTATAAAATTAACCATGGCCCAATGGTTAACATAATATAGAACAGTATGTTTATTAATCAATAATGTGCCACACAGAGGTGAATGAATGAAAGCGACATTGTCTAATGTGGAAAAGGATTCTGTAGACAGATGCTTGGTATGTCTGGCATCATGTTCATAGGTTTTTGTGAATCATGTTCTTATTTTACTCTTATAAATTGATTAATGATTTATTCAAAACAAAGGTAGAAATGAGTGAAAATTGAGACCAATGATGGCGTGAGCCATATACAATGAGTAAAACATGTCTGGACTTTGATGTCCAACACAAAAGACATATAGTCCATATTCTTGATATAAGGCATCCTCTAGGCCCATGTTGGGAATATCCGAGGATCTTGGGCTTGATCTTTGTGTTCATATATTTTCATTCTAGTATTATAATTGGACCAGTGAAATAACCAATCAATAAGTAAATAAATTAATGAAGTATTGTTCAAATTAAAAATATGTAGTGAGCAAAGAAACACTACTAATATATTATGAAAACACTAAACTCTAATTTGAAATACATTTTACATGACTCTTACCTCCTTAGCTCAGGATGGTGTAGATGGTATAACTTACAGACACTGTTCATGTTCTGGATAGATGGCGATTTTGAATTTGTTCATTCTCTTAAGAGAAAAAAGTAATCTAAATGTGTGATTACTGAAATGACTGACTAAAGGTGAAAAGCAAGGATTAATGGAGAGAACGTCTCAGATGTCTGTTCTTCTTCATTTTAAAATCATCTATTCTGTTCTGTATTTCTCACACTGGACCCATCTGAGCTGATTTAAGAATTCTCCCATGGTTATGACTGTATGATTGAATCTCTGTTAAGACCAATGTGAGTAAGAGTCAAAATTTTTGTCATGGCTTGGGTGGTTTGTTTAAGGATGTTCAGTATATTATTAAAAAGTGTGAAATATAATCACAAAAGGCCTAATGTAAACATCGTAATTTGGGATTAATATGAATCATTATATTGATTAATGCATATATGAAAAACTGAGGATAAATGATAAAATTTAAATACTGACATGTGAATAATGATGGCTACCTAACAAATTGGTATGCTTTTGTTGGAGGTTTGTGAATCATAGGCTTTAAAAAATATTATCAGTGAATTTATGAATTAATCAATAAACAATGTAGTAAAGAATGAAGAGAAAGCGGGCCTTCCTGGACCAATGATGACAACTGCCGGCGTATGAGTGTTGGGTGATGAATAATACGTGTCTAGAACTCTGAGGTCCAACATACAAAACACCTCAATAAGCAAGGATCAGTGGAGGAATATCTAGTTTAAAAAAAATCATCTTCTCTTTTTTGTACTCCTCAGAGTGATAATCTCGAGGTGATTTATGCATTCTTCCATGGCCACCAGCCTTATGATTGCATCTGTGCGTCACAGCTTAGAGATCAATGTGAGTAATAGTCAAAGTTCTTGGTGTGGTTTAGGTGGTTTAAGGTATTCACTGCATCACTAAAAAGTGTGAAATATAATCACATAAGGCCTGCTGTTACAAATGACAAATATGAAGCATCATATTGATTAATACATGTGTGAAATGCTGAGGATAATTAAAGCAGGAGATACATGGAGATGAGATGGTAATATGTACAGATTAATAATATCAAGGCTGTTCTTGGGGTTTTGTGAATCATAGGGTTTTAATTTATTGTTAGTGAACTAATGATTAAATCAACAGACAATATAGAAATGAATGGAGAAAAGGATGCCCAATCCTGGATCGATGATGACCACTGGTGGCGTATGAGTCATACATGATGAATATGTGTCTGGAACTCTGAGGTCCTTCACAAAAGAAATCGAGTCTTTCTGTTCATGCATTCTTATGTTATTATTATGATTGGGTCAATGAAAGAATGAGTAAACAAATATATAAGTGAATCAAGGTAAAATGGGGGAAACATTGTCTAATTATAAAAACTTGTTGTGAGGCAAGGAATTTTGTTAATATATATAGAAAACACTAAAATGCAAAGAGAAATAAATGGTGCATAATGGTTTATTTTGGCAAAGGATGATATGGACAGTATTAATTAGATAATGTTTTTGTTCTGGGTCAGTAGCAAGTTCAAAATTGTTCATTTTAAGAGAAAAGGAAATAAATATACTCCAAGTAATGATTGCCTGAATTAATGATTAAATGGAAGATGATAAGCAAGGATCAATGGAGGATTTTCTCATTTTTTAAGTCATCTGTTTTGTTCTGTACTCCTCAGAACAGATGCTTTAGAGGTGATTCAATCTCTCATCCCTGCTCACCAGCACGTTGGCTGCATCTCGTGTTAGAATATGAAGGCCAATGTGAGCAATAGTCAATGCTCTTGTCTTTGTTGGTGTAGCTTTTTAAAAAAGATATTTCCTATATTATTAAAATGTGTTAAATATAACCAAAGAGACCCAAACATGCCAATTTTACTATCAGATTGATAGATGTATTATAGTGATTGGTCAATATATGGACCAAAGAAGGTCATTACCACAGAAGACAGTAATGAAGAGATTTAGTCTGTGGAAATGAATCTGTAGATGAATGTTAGAAATCTTTATGAATATTATTCTTGTATTTTCTGACTGATGTGGATTTCTTATTAATAAATTAATCAGTGGATAAATTTGTATTAGTGTTAAATCAAAGATATCCTGGACCAATTATGACTACTGGTGTGAGTCACGCATAATGAACACCACGTGTCTGGAACTCTGAGGTCCAACACAAATGGGATGTAATCTATTCCCCATTTTGAAGGGATCTTATGCACAGATGTCAGAATATATGAGGACCTTGTTGTTGATATTTGTGTTCATGAATTTTAGAAATATTATTGTAAACGAATCAAGGGCAGAATAAATAAATTTATAAATTAATAGAGATGAAGGGGGTGAAGCATTGTTTATTACTAAACTTCATAGTAAGGAAAATGAATATTAATAGAAATAGAATGGGTAATAAATTGATCAAGGATATTATGTCTTGGACTAAGGATGACATAGACTGTAATAGGTAACAGTTCTTGCTCTCATTCAGTTGCAAGTTTTGAAGTTTATTACTTGCAAAATATATAAATATTAGCATAAATTAATAAAAGCCTAAAAGGCAGTGTTAACAAATGGTAGACAACGTGGATCAATGGAGAGAACATCTCAATGTTTTTCTGTGCTTTCTACTCTTCAGAATGGATGCAACAAGCTCTTTGAATCATTCTGTTGGGATCAAGATTGTTGTGTTCCCTCTGTTTGGAAAGAGACCAAGGTGAGTTATAGTCAAAGTTCTTATCTTGGTTTCAGTAATTTGTTTGAAGATGTTCTTGGTATTACTATAAAATGTGTTAAATTATTCAGTTAGAGAGGAGAAATAAGTTCAAGAGAAATATTATACAACATGGTGCCTATAGTTCATTTTATACATCATATTCTTGAAAAATGCTAGAGAGTAGATGTTAAGTGTTCTCATCACAAAATGATAACTCTGAGATGTAATACATATATCAGTTAGATAGATTTAGTTATTCCACAATGTATATATACTTCAGAACATCATGTTGTGCATGATAAATACAAGCAATTTTATCTGTCAATCAAAAAATTTTAAAGTATTAAATTAATACACAGTTAACCACTGCTCAATAATGAGTATGACTGAAACAGTATGTTGTTTAATTTCTCATGTGCAACATTGAGGTCAATAAATGAAAGAGATCTAGTCTATGTTGAAGGTGACTCTGTAGATGTTATAGATATTCAAAGACCTTGTTGGTTTTGTCTGAACCATGTATTTGTTTTTATTAATGTCAATAATATGATCATTTAATTGATAAAAATGTAGGAACCCATGAAGGAGAGGAGACCCAATCATGGACCAATGATGACAAATGGTGGCATTGGAGTTATGGACGATGAATGATATGTGTCTGAAACTCTGAGGTCCAACACAGCACATAATTAGTGTATTCTCTCTGTTGAAATTGACTTACAGAGAAATGTCAGGAATATATAGATAATATCTATGTATTGATTCCATAGATTGATATTTATTATTACCATTGGATCAATGATAGATCCATTAAACTAATATAAATTAATGTATAAAGAACAAGAGGGTCAAGCATTGTCCAATATGAACATATGTGTGGAGTCAAGAAATATTACTAATCAAAATTTAAAGCACTGACATTCATTTACAAATAAATGGATAAAAGATATTACCACTTTTAGTAAGAATAATATAGAAATTGATAAGTAAGAGTTGATTTTATTGTTCTGGGTTAGTCTCATGATAGAAGTGTTCCTTTGCGTAAGATAAATACACACACACACACACACACACACACACACACACACAGTGAACAAATAATAAATACCTAAATGACCTAGTAAATGAAATACAGAAAGCAGGAATCAAGAATCAATGGAGATAAGGTCTTAATTTTGTTATCATTTGCTCTGCTTCATACCCTTAGAATGGATACGCTCAGGTGATTTAAGCAGTCTTCCATGGCCACGAGCTCTGTGGTTGCCTCTGTATATTAAGAGCACAGAGATTAAAGTGAGTAATGGCTGACATTCTTTTCTTGGTTTCAGTATTTCTTTTATCTTAAGATTATTCACTATATTATTAAAAAGCATGAAATACAATGAATGCAATTATAACCCAGTAATAAATATGAGATGTATGAAATATTATATCAATTAATGCATATATAAAAAATAGGATAGTTAATGAAATTTATGTTGATATGAGAATAATTCTATATAGAAATTAGGGATATAAGGACTCTTCTTGAGTTTTTGTGAATAATAATACTATAATTTTATGATTCAATGAATTAATCAATAAACAAATGTAGGTGACAATAGAGCAAAAGGGCCAATCCTAGATCAGTGATGACTACTGTTGGTGTATGAGTCATATACGATGAATACATGTCTGAAATTCTGAGGTCCAATGTGAAAGAGATGTAGCTCATTTACTCTGGTTTAAGTGACCCTGTAGCCAGTTGTCAGGAATATACAAGGATCTTGGTTTTGGTCTTTTCATTCTATGCAGAGGATGTCTTTTTTTTTTTTTTTTTTTTTTTTTTTTTTGCGCTGTTTTCTCTGATTTATATTTCTCAGAATGGACCCACTCAAGCTGACTTCAGAATTCCTCCTTGGTCACAAGCTTTTTGATTGCATGTCTGCATTAGGAGCCTAGAGAACAATGTAATAGCTAAAGTTCTTATCTTGTTTTGCATAGTTTGTTTATGGGCAGTCACTGTATTATTAAAAAGTGTGAAATATAATCAAAGAAGGTGAGCTGTAGCTTAGTAATAAGCATGGGATTAATATGAGATATTATTTTTTTAGTGTATACATGAAATACTACAATTATTATTAACATAAGAGATATTGAAGTGAGAATGGTTTTAAGTACATATTAGGGATATAAATCTCTTGCATTTTTGTGAATCACAGAGTTTTAAAATTATAATTATTAAATTAATCAATAAATAACTTAGAAATGAATTGAGGAAAAGTGGGCCCTCCTGGATCAATGATAAAACTTGCTGGCATATGAATCTTGGATAATGGATGATACGTGTGTGGAACTCTGAGGTCCAACACAAAAGAAAAGTGATTTTTTTTCATGCACTTTCATTCTATTATTGTAATCGGATCAATAAAATAAGTAAATCAAGATAAAATAGATGAGGCATTGTCCAAATATAGAAATATGTGGCAAGGCAAGAAGTACTATTACTATATGTTGAAAATATGAAATTCAATGAGAAATTAATGGTATGTGACTTTTACCTCTTTGGCTAATGATGCACAGTTTAAATTATAGACAATGTTCATGCTCTGAGTCTGTGGCAAATTTGAAGTTGTTCATTTTTAGAGAAAATGTAATATCCTCCCAATGAATGTTTGCCTTAATTACTGGCTAAACGGTAGACACAAAGCAGGGAACCATTGCCATAAGGTCTCAAATTTTTTATCAACAGTCCTACTTTGTACACCTTAGAATGGGCTCACCTGAGTTGTCTCAAGCACTCCTTCATGCCCTCAGGCTGTACAGTTGCATCTGTGTGTTAGGAGCTTGGAGGCCACTGTAAGTAATAGTCAATGTTCTTGGCTTGAGTGCTTTTTTAAAGGATAGTTACTACAGTATTAAAAATTATACAATATATAAAAGAAGGCCAACTGCAGCCCAGTGACAAACATGAAATCCATATGAAGTAGTATATTGATTAATTCATTGAATTAATTCATTTAAGAAAACTGAGGATATTTAGTAAAGGAGTTACATTGACCTGAGAATGATTCTATACACATATTAGGGACATCGAGGCTTTTTTCAGGTTTTGTGCATTATAGCACTTTAAACATATTATTAGTAAATTGCTGAATTAATCAATAAACAATGCAGAAACAAATGAAGAAAAGATGGGCCATTTCTGGACCAATGATGATGACTGGTGGTGTATGAGTTAAAGGTGATGAATAGTAAGTGTCTTTGTTAGTGGCAAGTTCAGAGTCGTTTGTTTTAAGAGAATATGAAATAAATATATTCCAAATAATGATGATTTAAGTGACTAAATGAAAGGTGAAAGGCAAGGATCATTGGAGGAATGTCTGAATTTTTAAATCATCTGTTCTGTTTATACTCCTCAGAATGGCCCCATTCCAGCTGATATAAGCACTCTTCCATGGCATGTGCACTATGGTTGGTTCTCTGTGTTAGGAGCACACAAACCATTGCGAGTATGCATTCATTTCCTCTCTTTACAAGGTGCAGTAAGTTGGTGTCAGTGATATACAAGAATCTTTGTGTTCATGCATTTTTTTTTTTTTTTGAGATGGAGTCTCTCTCTGTTGCTCAGGCTGGAGTGCAGTGGTGTGATCTTGGCTCACTGCAACCTCTGCCTCCCAGGCATCATCATTGGTCCAGAAATGGCCTATCTTTTCTTCATTCGTTTCTACATTGTTTATTGATTAATTCAGCAATTTACTAATAATATGTTTAAAGTGCTTTAATGCACAAAACCTGAAAAAAGTCTTGATGTCCCTAATATGTGTATAGAATCATTCTCAGGTCAATGTACCTCCTTTACTAAATATCCTCAGTTTTCTTAAATGAATTAATTCAATGAATTAATCAATATACTACTTCATATCAATTTCATGTTTGTCACTGGGCTGCAGTTGGCCTTCTTTAATATATTGTATAATTTTTAATACTGTAGTAAAATTAGCCAGTACAGATGGGGTTTCACCATGTTGCCCAGGCTGGTCTTGAACTCCTGACCTTGTGATCCACCCACCTTGACCTCCCAAAGTGCTGGGATTACAGGCATAAGCCACCACGCCTGGCTGTGTTCATGGATTCTTGAAAATTGTAAGGAATCACTGATAGAGTAGACAAACAAACACATAATGAATAAACATCAAGGTGGTAAAGCGTGCTCATTGTTAAAATATACAGGAGGGAAAAATAGTATTAATATAAATTGGAACAAGTGTATTTTGTCTTAGACTAATGGTGATAACAGAAAGTGAGAAGTAACGGTTTTTGATCTGGTTCACTTGTGTATTTCATGTTTGATTTACTAAGAGAAAAAGAAATAAATATTGATGTAAATTTATAAATGTCTGAATGACTATATAAAAGGATAGAGGAATCTGTGGCTCAATGAAGAGAATGTGTAATCATCTTCTGTGCTCTGATTTGCATATTCTTCCATACTTACAAACTCTGTGTTTATATCTGTGTGTTAGGAGCATAGAGACCAACATCAGCAATGGTAAAAATTATCTTCGTTTGAGTGATTCAAAGACAGTCAATCATGCTGATGTTTTATTTCAGATTGATATGCAGTAGTATTATGTTGATTAATGCTATGTGAAAAACTGAATTCATTTAAAGAAAGGGATTTAGGCTCTTTGTGATAGTATAGATGAATGTGAGTGATATTGAAGAGCTTATTTTTTGTGGTTTATGTGTATGTCTTTATTAATGAATTACTCAATAAACAAGTGTAGGTAAGAATGAAGAGAAAGAAGGCCAATCCTGGACTGTTGATGACAAGTGGTGGCTTATGTGGTTGTACATGCTGGTTGTATATGAAGAATATTACATATCTGAAACTTTGAGGTCCAAACACAAATAGAATCTAGTTCATTCCCGTGTTTAAAGTGATGTAATAGACAGATACCGGAAATATACAAGGAGTTTGTGATTAGTCTTGTGAGCATGAGGTTTAAAAAGATTGTAAAAGTGGCAATAGCAGAATAAGCAAATACATGTACAAATAAAATAAAACAAATAAAAATGAAGAGGACAAAGCATTGTTCATTGCTGAAATATGCAGTAAGGAAAATATTGCTAATGTACATTGGAATGGATAATAAATGGACCACGTGTATAATATTTCTGACTAAAGATGATAGAGACAATGGTAATAATTACTGATAAGTAATAGCCAGTTATTGCCCCAAGTCAATTACAAGTTTGAAGTTTATAAGAAGAAAAATAAATAAATATTACCATAAATTAATAAATACCTAAATGACTAGGTGAATGAAAGAAAGAAATTATAGATCAACAGACAAAATATCTCAATCTTTTTATCATTATCTCCACCTAGCACCCTTCAGTGCAGATGCAATTAGCTGATTTGAGCACTCTGCAACAACGATCAAGTTTCTCATGTTAACTCCGTTCAAAAAGAGACCAATGTGAATATAGTCTATGTTCTTGTCTTGGTTTCAGTTATTTGCTTGAGAGTATTCATGGTATTATTAAAAAGTATTAATCAAATAGTTATTTATGGCCCAATAACAAGTATAATGTGAAATATGATGTTGATTAATCCCTAATGTTGACATCATTAAGTGAAAAAGATGGAATGTGTATGGGAAATGGTTGTATTGATAGCTGTTAGCACTATTCTAGCATTTTATTTTTGCATTTTTCTGACTCACTCATTTTCAGTGAATTAGTGATTCATTCTCTGCAAATGTAAGATTGAGTGAAGAAAAACCTGGCCAATGAGTATGCATAGAACAACGATAACAAATAGTAGTGCAGGAGTCATAAACTATGAGTAATATGTGTGTGGAACTCTGAGCATCAACGCAAAACGTATTTAGTCTATTCCTTCTGTTTGGAATAATCCTACAGACAGATGTTTGGGATATATAAAGACCATGTTCTTATTTTAGATTCATAGATTAGATTTGTTAATATTAGGGAATTCATGATAGGACCATTGAACAAATATAAGTAGATAGATAAAATTGAAGAGAGTGCAGCTCTGTTCAGCTATAAAAGTATATAGTGGGGCAATCAAGATTATTAATACAAGTAGAGACAACTGACATCCATTAAGAATATATTGGATCAAAGATGTTCCTTCTTTCTTTGGCTTAAGATCATATAGACACTAAGAGTAAGAATCAATTTTATTGTTCTGAACCAGTTCCTCTAAGTTTGAGGTTGTCCCTTTCGTTAAGAGAAAAAACATATACTTCATGGAAAATTATGAAGTACCTGAATGATTAAGTAAATGAAATGCAGAAAGCAAGAATTATAGAGGATGAGGTGTCTGTTTTTTAAAATACTGACTCTGCTTTGTTTTCCTCAGAATGGGTGCACTTGAGCCGATTGAAACATTCCTCCTTGCATCTTTCTTCTGTGATTGCATCTATTTGTTAGTAGCATAGAGACCAATGTGAGTAATCATTAAAATTCTTCTCTTGGTTTGAGTGGTTATTTCAAAATACTCAATGAATTACTAAAAAAGTGCATACTATAATCAAAGATGTCGAGTAGTATTCTAGCAATAAATGTGGGACTCATGTGAAGCATTGTATTGATAATGCATCTATGAAAAACTGAGGATAGTGAATGAAACAGCTGTATCCATATTAGAATGATTCATTGTAGGGATTAGGAATCTCTAGGTTCTTACTGGGATTTCATGAACCATGATTTTAAAATTTATGGTCAGTGGATTAATAAATCATTAATAAGCAATTAGAAGTGAGTGGAGAGAAAGAGCACCTGTCCTGTGGATCGATGATGACTACTGGTGGCGTATGAGTCATCTACAGTGAATACGTCTCTGGAACTCTGAGGTCTGTCACAAAAGAAATCTAGCCCATTTTCTATGTTTGATACAATCCTTTAGATGGGTATCATGAACATAGACTGGGTTTGTTTTTGGTCTTTGTGCTCATACATTTTCATTCTATTTTTATTATTGGGTTAATGTGAGAATCAATAAACAAATATAAAAATAAAGATATATTGGTTGAAGTGTTGCTCAATTATAAAAATAGGTGGTGAGACAAGAAATACTATTAATATGTATTGGAAATAGTGAAGTTCAAGGAGGAATAAATGGTACGTGTCTGTCACCTCTTTGGCTAATGATGATATAGAGAGGATAATTATAGACAGTGTTTTTATTCTGGGTCAGTGGCAAATTCAGAATTGTTCATCTTTTTAAGACAAAGTGAAATAAATATACTGTACTCTAAATAATGGTAGCCTAAATGACTAAAGAAATGTGAAAAGCAAGGATCAATGGTGATAATATGTCAAATTTGTTATCATCTTCTTTGCGCTGTACTCCTCAGAACGGACATCCTTGTTCTGTCTTGAGAATTCCTCTAGGGTCACATGCTCTGTTTGCACCGTGCTTAGGAAGGAGCGTGCAGACCAATGTGTAATGGTCAAAGTCCTTATTGTGGTTTGTTTAAGAGTAATCAATGTATTATTAAAAAGTGTGAAATACAGTCAAAGATGGTCAATGTTATCCCGATGGTAGACATGGCAGTGACATGAAGTATTAATATAATACTGAGGATAATTAATGAAACAGATAATATCAATGTTAGAATGATTCTGGATACAGATCAGAAATATCAAGGCTGTTCTTGGAGTTTTTTGAATCATAGGCTTTGAAATTATTATTAGTGATTTAATGAGGCAACCAACAGACAATGTAAAACTGAATAGAAAAAAGGAGGGCCATTCCTGGATCAATGATGACCACTGGTGGCGTATGAGTCATATGTGATGAATACGTGTCTGGAACTCTGAGGTCCACCACAAAAGATACCTAGTCCATTCCCTCTGTTTTACATGAATCTATAGACTGATGTCAGGAATATAGAATGAAGTTGTTTTGGTTTCATTTTCATTCTAATGCAAGAATCAATAAACATATAAATAAAGATAAAATGCGTGAACAGTGTACAACTATAAAAATATGTGTTGAGCAAGAAATACTATTAATGTATATTGAAATCGGTGAAGTACAAAGAGATATTGTACATACCTGTTACTTCTTTGGCTTATAATAATGTAGACAGAATAAATTACAGATAATGTTCAAATTCTTATTCACTTGCAAGATCAAATTGTTCTTTTTCTTAGGAGAAAATGAAATAAATATTAGTCCACCTAATGAATGCTTAAAGGACAGGCTAAAGGCAAGGTGAAAAGCAAGGATCATTAGTGAGAATGTCTCAGTTTTGTTACCGTCTCTGCTTTGTATTCCTCAGAATAGATGGCTTGTGCTGATGGAAGGATTCCTCCCTGGTGACATGCTGTGTCTGCCTCTTGATTGGGAGCACGCAGACCTACGTGAGTAATCAAGTTCTGGTCTTAGTTTGGGTGGTTGGGTTAGGAGGATTTGATGTATTATTAAAAAGTCTGCACTGTAATCAAAAATGGCCAGCTGCAGCCCAGTGATAGAAATGGGAGTGATATGAAGCGTTATATTAACAATACATGTTTGAAAAACTGAGGATAATTAATGAAACATTTATCAGTGTGAGAATGATTCTATATGCAGATAAAGAATATTAATATTAATGCTGTTCTGAGGCGTTTGTGAACCAAAGGTTTTCAAATTACTATTAGCAAATTAATGAATTAATCATTAGACAAGGTAAAAGTGCCCAGAGAAAAATAGGACACATTCTGGATCGATGATGACTACCGGTGGCGTATGAGTCATATGTGATGAATACGTGTTTGGAACTCTGAGGTCCATCACAGATAAAATCTGGCTTATTCTCTGTTTCGAATGGTGTTACAGACAGATTTAAAAAATATAGAATGTTTGTTTTTTCTGTGTGATTATGAAGTTTTCTTCTATTTTTATAATTGGATCAATGTGAGAATCAGGAAACAAATATATAATAAATAGAAAATGATTGAAACACTGCCCAATTATAAAAATTTGTGGTAAGGCAAGAAATGCTATTAACACATATTGAAATCGTGAAATCTAGAAAGACATAAATGGCGTATGATATAGATAGTATAAATTATAGACAATGTTCATATTCTGAGTCAGTGGTAATTTTGAAGTTGTTCATTTTATTAAGAGAAAATAAATAAAAGAAATATAATCCAAATAATGATTGCCAAAATGACTAATAACAGGTGAAAATCAAGGATCAATGTTGAGAATGTCTCAATTTTGTTATCTTCTCTGCTTTCTGTCCTTTCAGAATGATGCACTTTTTATGATTTGAGAATTCCTTCATGGTCACGTGCTCTGTTTTTATCATGGTTGGGAGCCTGCAGAGCAATGTGAGTAGTAATCAACATTCTTATCTTGGCCCGAATGGTTTGTTTAAGAGGACTCAGGGTATTATCAAAAAGCCTATAATATAATCAGAATGGTCAACTGTATCTAAGTGATAGAAATTGGAGTGATATGAAGCATTATATTGATAATGCATATATGAAAAATTGAGGGTAATGAAACAGATATATCGATGTTAGAATGATTCCATGTACAGATTGGGAATATCAAGACTCTTCTTGGAGCTCTTTGAATCAGACTCTTTAATGTTGTTATTAGTGAATTAGTAAATTAATCACAAAAATACAGGCATGAATTGAGAAAAGGAAGACCAATCCTGGATCGATGATGACTACTGGTGGCGTATGAGTCATAGACAATGAATACGTGTCTGGAACTCTGAGGTCCATCGTCCATCACAATGGAAATGTATACATTCCTTCTGTTTAAAATGATGTTATAGACAGATTTCAGAAATATAGAATGTAGTTATTTTTCTTGGGGGTTGTGTATTTTTATTCTATTTTTATAATTGGATCAATGAAAGTAATCAATAAGATATAAATAAAATGGCACATAGTTTAATAATAAAAATATCTGGTGAAGCAGGATATTCTATTTATATATTAAAAACAGTGAAGTCAAAAGATAAATAATGGTATTATTTGTCATCTATTGGCTAATTATGGTATAGACATTATAAATTATAGATAATATGTGTGTTCTGGGTCAGAGGCAGGGTGCAAAAGCCAGGATCAGTAGTAGGAATGTCTCATATTGTTATCATCTTCTCTGCTCTGTACACCTCAGAAGGGACATGCCTTTGCTGATTTGAGGATTCCTCTGAGGTTGGGAGCTAAGTTTGCATCATGCTTAGAAAGGAGTGTGCAGACCTGTGTGAGTAATATTCAAAGTCTTTATCTTGCTTTGTGCATTTTGTTTAAGAGGATTCTATGAATTATAAAAAGGTGTAAAATATAATTAAAGATGGCCAACTCTATCCCAATAATAGATTTGGTGGGATATGAAGTATTATATTGATAATGCATATATGAAAAGCTGAGGATAATTAATAAAACAGGTATATTCGTGTTAGAATGATTCTGTATACATATTATTTAGACGTATACAGCTCTCCATAGGGCTTTGTAAATCATAGGATTTACAATTATTAGTAATGAATTAATGAATTAATCAACAAATGAGGCAGAATTAAATTGAAAAACAGATGATCCATCCTGGATCGATGGTGACTGTTGATGGCATATGACTCACATATGATGAGTACGTATCTGGAACTCTGAGGTCTGTCACAGAAGAAATCTGGCCTATTGCTTCAGTTTCAAATGATCCTATAGACAGAGTTCAGAAATATAGAACATAATTTTTTTGGCATTTGTGTTTATGTATTTTCATTCTATTTTCATAACTGGTCAATGCAAGGCTCAATAAACACATATATAAATAGATACAGCTGAAAAAGTGGAAGCATTGGCCAAGTATAACAATATATGATAAGGCAAGAAGCACTCTTTTTTTTTTTTTTTTTTTTTTTGACAGTGTCTCGCTCTGTCCCCCAGGCTGGAGTGCAGTGGCATGATCTTGGCTCACTGCAACCTCTGCCTTCTGGGTTCAAGTGATTCTCCTGCCCCCGCCTCCCAAGTAGTTGGGATTACAGGCGCCCTTCACCACATCTGCCAATTTTTTGTATTTTTAGTAGAGACGGGGTTTCACCATGTTGGCCAGGCTGGTCTCGAACTCCTGACCTCAAGTGATCCGCCTACCTCAGCCTTCCAAAGTGTTGGGATTACAAGTGTGAGCCACAGCATCCGGCCAGAAGCACTCTTAATATCTTTTGACACAGCGAAGTCCACAGAGATATAAATGGTGTCTTCTGGTGACTTCTGTGGCTAATGATGGTATAGACAGTACAAATTATAGACAACATTCAATTTCTGGGTCAACGACAATTTCAGAATTATGCATTTCTTTAGATAAAATGAATATACTGCAAATAATGATTGTCAAAATGACTAACTAATGATAGGTGACAAGAAAGGGTCAGTAGTGACAACATCTCACTTTTGTTATCCTCTTCTCTGCTCTGTATTCCCTAGAATGATTGCACTTTGCTGATTGAAGGATTCCTTCAAGTCCATGTGCTCCACTTGCACCATTTTTAGGATGGAGCCTGGAGACCTATGTAAGTAATAGTGGAAGTCCTCACCTTGCTTTGGGTGGTTTGTTCAAGAGGGTTCAATGTGTTACAAAAAGGTGTATATTATAATCAAAGATGAGCAGTTGTATTTAAATAAACATGGGCCTGATGTGAGGATTATATTGAAGATATATACATGAGAAACTGAGGATAATTAATAAAATAAATATTCCTATATGTTAGGAATATCATGGCTATTCTTGTGGTTTTGTAAATCATAGGGCTTAAAGTTATGGTTAGTGAATTAACAGATTAGTCAATAGACAAGGAGGAAACGAACCCAAAAATAGAAGATCAGTCCTGGATCGATGATGACTACTGGTGGCGTATGAGTCTTTTGCGATGAATACGTGTCTAGAACTCTGAGGTCCGTCACAAACAAAATCTAGCCTATTCTGTATGTTTGAAATTATTTTACAGACAACTGTCAGGAGTATAGAATGTATATGTTTTTGGTATTCATGTTTACATGTTTTGATTCTATTTTTATAATTGATCCATATGAGAATTAATAAACAAATACAAATAAAGATGAATAAATTCGAGCATTGTCCAATTATGAAACTAAGGGACAAGATAAGAAACACAATTAATGTATATGAAACAGCGACATCCACAGAGAAATAAACGGTACATTCCTGTGTCTTCTTTGGCTAATGATGGTATAGACAGAATAAAGTATAGGTAATGTTCAACTTCTGGGTCAGTGACAGTTTCAAAATTATTCATTTTATTTTCAGAAAATGAATTAAATATACTTCAAATAATGATTGCATGAATGACTAACTGATAGTTGAAAAGCAAATATCAATATTGAAAATGTCTCAATTTTGTCATTATCTTCTCTGGTCTGTATTCCTCAGAATGAACAACTTGTGCTGTGTTAAGGATTCCTCCATGATCACGCGCCCCATTTGTACACCATGCTTGGGAAGGTGCATGCAGACCAATGTTAGTAATAGTCAAAATTCCTGTGTCGGTTTGTGTGGTTTGCTAAACAGGACTCAATGTATCATGAAACAGTGTATTATATAGTCAACTATGGTCAACTATGTCCCAGTGATATTTATGAGAGGGATCTGAAGTATTTATTGATAATGCATATATGAAAAACGGAGAAGAATTAATGAAACAGATATATCTGTGTTAGAATGATTCTGTATAAAGATAGGGAATATCAAGTCTGTTCTTAGTGTTTTGTGAATCACAGAGTGTAAAATTATTCCCAGTGAATTAATGAATAAATTTAAAGACAACATAGAAATGAATGCAGAAAAAGAGGGTCAACCCTGGATCGATGATGAGCACTGGTGGAGTATGAGTCACATACGATGAATACGTGTCTGGAACTCTGAGGTCCATCGCAGAAGTCAGTTTCCTCTGTTTCAACTAACTCTGTAGATAGATGACAAGAATAGAGAATGAATTTTTTTTGTTTATGAGTTTTTATTTTATAATTGGTTCAATGAAAGAATAAAACATATATGAATAAATAAATAAGTTATGCATTGTCCAATTATAAAAATGTGTGATGAGGTGTATTTAATACGTATTTAAATTGATGAAAGCCAAAAATAAATCTAACATACCTAACCTTTTTGGCCAATAATGAAGAGATAGTATAAATTATATGCTATTTTCGTGTTCTTGGTTAGTGGCAAGTTCAAAGTTGTTCATACTTCAAATAACGATTGCCTAAATGTTTAACTACAGATAGGTAAAAAGGAAAGATCAACAATGAGAAAAATCACATTTTTGTTATTATTTTCTCTGCTCTGCACTCATCAGAATGGACGTACTTGTGATGATTTAAAGATGCCTCCAAGGTCACGTGCTCTGTTTGCACCATGCTTAGGAAGGAGCGTACAGACCAAAGTAAGTAATGGTCAAAGCTCTTGTCTTGGTTTGAGTGGTTTGTTTAAGAGGATTCAGTGTATTATAAAAACGTATAATACATTATAAAAATGTAATATATTGTAGGAATATATTATATATATTTCTATAATATAATGTAGTATAAAATACATTATAGGAAGATATAATACATTATAAAAGAGGTAATACATTATAGGAATATATTACTGGAATATCTTATATATAAAATATATATTATAGGAATATAATCTATATATAATATATTCCAATATATTATAGGAATGTAATCAAAGACGGCCAACTCTTTCCCAGTTAGAGGAGTGATAGGAAGTACTATATTGAAAACACATATATGAAAAATGGAGAACAATGAATGAAAATATATATCAACATTATAATGATTCTATGTAGGGATTAGGAATATCAAAGCTCTTGGATTTTTAAAAACCAAAGATTTTAAACTTATTATCAGTGAATTGAGTTAATTATTAGACAAAGTAAAAATGCATAGAGAAAAATAGGAAGAATCCTGGTTCAGTGTTGACTACTGGTGTCGTGTGAGTCATACAATGAATACATGTCTGGAACTCTGAGGCCCATCAGAAAGTCAATTTCCTCTGTTTCACATGATTCTATAGGTAGATGTCAGGAATACAGACTCAGTTTGTTTTAGGTCTTTGTGTGTTATGCATTTATATTTTATTTTATAATTGGATCAGTGAGAATCAATAAGCAAATATTTGAATAAATAAAGATGAATCAGGTTAAGCATTGTCCAATTATAAAAATATTTGATGAGGCAGCAAGCACTATTAATATGTACTGAAACAGTGATAGCCAAGGAAAAATGAATGATGCATGCCTTTGGCCTCTTGCGAGTGATAGTGTAGACAGTATAAACTATAGATAATGTTTAAGGTATGGGTCAGTGGCAAGTTTGAAATTGGTAATTTTCTTAAGAGAAAATGAAATACACTTCAAATAATGATTGCCTAAATGACTCATTAGATGAAGGTGAATCATGAGCGAGAAAGTCCCCTTGTATGCTCTGAACTCCTCTGTGCTTTGTGCTCTGCAGAATGGATGAATTGTGCACCTTGAAAAGTTCTTCCATGGTCACCTGAGGCATCTGCGTCATGATTAGGCTCCGGATGACTAATGTGAGTAATAGTTAACATTTTTTACTTCCTTCTGGTGCCATTTTAAGAGGACTCATTGTATTATAAAAAGTGTGTGACATTATCAAAGATGTCCGCCTGCATCCCAGTGAAAGATATGGAAACGATACGAAGCGTTGTATTGATAATGCATATATAAAAACCTGAAGATAGTTAATTAAGAGGTGTATCAATGTTGGAATAATTCAGTATACAAATTAGGAATATTAAAGTTATTCTCAGGATTTTTTTGAACTATAAAGTCTTAAAATTGCTATTAGTGAATTAACAAATCAATCCATAGACAGGGTAGAAATGAATAGAGAAAGAGATGAACAATCCTGGATCGATGATGACTGCTGGTGGCGTATGAGTCATATGCGATGAATACGTGTCTAGAACTCTGAGGTCCATCACAGAAGAAATCTAGCTCATTTTCTGTGTTTGATATAATCCTTTAGACAGGCATCAGGAATATTAGATGAGTTTGGTTTTAGTCTTTGTATTTACATGTTTTAATTCTATTTTTGTAATTGGCCAATATAAAAACCAATAAACAAATGTATAAATAAAGATGAGTAAGGTTAATCATTGTCCAGTTGTAAAAAATATTTGGTGAGGTAAGAAACACTATTAATATGTATTGAAAATAGTGAAGTCTGAAGAGAAGTACATGTACATGTCTGTCACCTCTTTGGCTATGGTGATATAGACAGGATAATTATAGACAATGTTCAAATTCTTGGTTAATTGTAAGCTTGAAATTGTTCATTTTTTAAAGAGGAAATGAAATAAGTTTACTCCAAATAATGATAGCTTAGATGACTAACTAATGATAGGTGAAAAGCAAGGATTGATAGTTAAAATGCCTCTCTTTTGTTATTATCTTCTTTGCTCTGTACTTAGAATGGACGTACTTGTTCTGATTTGAGGACTTCTTCATGGTCACATGTTCTGTTTGCACCATGCTTAGGAAGGAGCATGTGTACCAATGTGAGTGACAGTCAGATTTCTTGCATTTCTTTGGGTGGTTTATTTAAGAGGACTCAATGTACTGTGAATAAACATGTAATATAATCAAAGATGGTGAATTTTATCTAGTGAGGGATATTGGAGTCAAAAGAAGTATTATATTGATAATTCACATATGAAAAACAGGATAACTCATGAAACATTAATATAGGAATTATTTGGGATATCTTTTTGGGTTTTGTGAGTCATAAGGTTTAAAGTTATTATTAGTAAATTAATGAATTAATCAACAGACAATGTAGAAAATAACAGAGAAAAGAAGGGCCAATCCTGGATCGATGATGACTACTGGTAGCATGAGTCATATACAGTGAATACATGTCTGGAACTCTGAGGTCTGTCTCAAAAGATATCTAGTCTATTTCCTGTTTCAAATGATCCTACAGACAGATGGCAAAAAATAGAATGTATATGTGTTTGGTTTTCATGTTTATGAATTTTTATTTTACATTTATGATTGGCTCAATCAGAGAATCAGTTAATAAATATACAAATAAAGATGAATAAGGGCCGGGCATGGTGGCTCACACCTGTAATCTCAGCACTTTGGGAGGCCAACACGGGTAGATCACTTGATGACAGGAGATCGAGACCTACCTGGCCAACGTGGCGAAACCCTATCTCTACTAAAAATACAAAAATTAGCCAGGCATGGCGGCATGTGCCTCTAATCCGAGGACTTGGGTGGCTGAGGCACATGGATTGCTTGAACCCGGGTTTCAAAAATTGCTTGAACCTGGGAGGCTGCAGTGATCCGAGATCACGTCACTGCAGCTTGGCAACAGAGCAAGATTCTGTGTCAAAAAGAAAAAAATAAAAAGGATAAGATTAAGGATTGTCCAACTATAAAAATATGTGGAAAGACAAAAAACACTATTAATACATACTGAAATTGGTAACAACTAAAGAGAAATCTTGCATACCTGTTACCTCTTTGAATGAGATAGACAGTATAAATTTTGACCGTATTCAAGTTCTGGGTCAGGGACAATTCCAAAGTTCTTTATTTTCCCTTCCTTTCTTCCTTCCTTTCTTTCTTTCCTTTCTTCCTTCCTTTCTTCCTTCCTTTCTTTCTTTTCTTTCTTTCTTTCTTTCTTTCTTTCTTTCTTTCTTTCTTTCTTTCTTTCTCTCTCTTTCTCTCTCTCTCTTTTCCTTCCTTCCTTCCTTCCTTCCTTCCTTCCTTCCTTCCTTCCTTCCTTCCTTCCTTCCTTCCTTCCTTCCTTCTTTCTTTTTGAGATGGAGTCTTGCTCTATCACTTAGGGTGGAGTACAATGCCACGATCTCAGCTCACCGCAACCTCTGCCTCATGGGTTCAAGCAGTTCTTGTGCCTCAGCCTCCCTAATAGCTGGGATTGCAGACGCGTGCCATCATGCCTGGCTAGTTTTTGTATTTTCAGTAGAGATGGGGTTTCTCCATGTTTCCCAGACTGGTCTTGAACTCTTGACCTCAAGTGATCCACCTGCCTCTGCCTCCCAACATGCTGGGATTACAGGCATGAGCCACCACATCTGGCCAGTTATTCATAAAAAAATGAAATATACCTCAAATTAATGAACATATAAATGAGTATAAATGTTTATACATTTATTAATTTGAGGTATATTTGAAAAGCAAGGATCAATGGAGAGAAGGTCTCATTTTTGTTGTCATCTCTTCTGCTCTGTACTCAGAATGGAAGCACAGAAGCTGGTTTTAATAGTTAAGAGCTGTATGGTCCATCTCTGTGCTAGAAGCTGGAGACCAATGTGAGTAATAGTCAAAGTTCTTGTCTCATCTTGGGTGTTTTGTTTAAAGGTTTATAGTGCATTAACAAAAAATATGAAATATAATCCAATAAGGCCATGAGTAGCCCAGGGATAAATATGGAATGGATGTGGAATGTTACACTGAGGGATGCTTATATGAAAAGCATGTCCTGTATTATTAAGAAAGGTAATAATGAGGGGATATGGTATTGTGAGGATGAGTGTATATACAAATTAGAGATATCAAGGCTCCTCTTGGGGTTTTGTGAGTGATAGTGTTTAAAAGTTATTAATGGTGAATTAATGAAGTAATAAATAATGTAACAATGAATGAAGAGCACCAGAGCTAATCCTGGATCAATCATGACTACTGGTATTGGATGGGTCTTCGTCAGTGAATGCCTATCTGGAACTCTGAGGTCCATCAGAAAAGAAATATAGTGTTTTCCCTCTTTTGGAAGTGATCCTATAGACAGACGTCAGGAATATGCAAGGGTCTTGTTTTTGCTCTTTGTGAGCACGAGTTTTCAATCTATTATTATAATTCAATCAATGAAGGAACCACTAAACAAATATACAAATAAAGTATGTTGGATGCGACTAAGCGTTCTCTAACTGTAAAAATAATTTGTGAGGCAAAAAAAGCTATGATATGGCCAGGCATGGTGGCTCACACCCGTAATCCCAGCACTTTGGGAGGCCAAGGTGGGTGGATCACCTGAAGTCAGGAGTTCGAGATGAGCCTGGGCAACATGGTAAAACCCCATCTGTACTAAAAATACAAAATTAGCTGGGCGTGGCGGCGTATGCCTGTGATCCCAGCTACTTGGGAGGCTGAGGCAGGAGAATCACATGAACCTGGGAGATGGAGGTGGCGGTGAGCCAAGATCACACCACTGCACTTCAACCTGGGCAATAGAGTGAGAAGAAAATCTATGATATATATTGAAAACACCAATACCATTAGGAAATAAGTGGTATGAGGTTGTTATTTATTTAGTTAGGGATGTTATAGACAGTGGTAAATAATAATGAATGTTTATGCTTTGTGTCAGTGGTGTGACTGATACTGTCTGGCTATGTAGAGTAAATAAAATATATGTTATCTCAAATAACCTATGTGACTGAATCAGTGGAAGATAGAATGCAAAGAGTAATGCAGATAATGTCTTAATCTTTTCTGATCATCTCTTGTGCTCTGTACTCCTCAAAATAAACACACTCTGGCTGATTTTATCATTCTTTTTTAATGGTAAGATCCATGGTTGCGTCTATGTGTTATATGGTGTGTGGAGACCAATGTGAGTGACAGTCAACATTCTTGGTTTCAGTGTTTTTTAAAAAAGATATTCGTAGTATTATTAAGAAGTGTTAAATACAATCATTGAAGGTAAACTCTGGCCCATTTGTAAAAATAGGATTAATATAAAGCATTATGTTGATTAATGTATATATATAAAACATTGAATTTAACTAATGAAAACATTGAATTTAATTAATGAAAGAGGTGTATTGCTGTGAGTAATATTGACATAGACAGATATAAGAGCTATTTAAGGATTTTACTCACAAGTTTTTGTGACTCTTAGGTAATTATTTTATTGTTAGTGAACTGATAAATTAATCAATAAAAACACGTAGACACGAATTAAGAAAAGGAGGTCCAAGCTTGAGCAAGCGATGACAGCCGGTGGTGTGTGAGTCATGGAGGATGAATACTAAGTGCCTGGAACTCTGAGGTTCAATATAATAGAAATCTAATCTATTCCTCTGTTGAAAAAAATCCTTTAGATAGATGTTAGTGATATCAAGGCTGTTTGCTTCCAATTTTACAGTTCATGGATTGTGATTGTGTTAATATAAATGAATTAATGAAAGAATCAAACAAAGATTTGAATGATTAAACATGAAGAGAGAGAGAGGCATATTCTAATTGTTAACATATGTGGCAAGGAAAGAAATACTATTAATTAATTTGGAATGGATAATAAATGGGCCAGTGGTTTTTAACTCTCTGGCTAAGAATCATAGAGCCACTGATAGAGCAATAGCACTGATTATTAGTTATCAAAGGCTATGTGATTTTTAGGTCAATTCTCAGGTCAACTGGGTCAATTGTAAGTTCAATATTTATTTTATTAAGGGGGAAATAAGCAAATATTAACAAATCAATAAATACCAACTGACAGAGTAAATGGAAGGTAGAATGAAAAAATTAATGGATAGAAAATCTCAAATTTTGTCTTCTGCTCTTCCTTGTAATCCTCAGAACAGTCACTCCCTGCACTGATTCTGCCATGACCACTTGCTCTATGGTTGTTTTAAGGAACCTACAGACAAATGTGAGTAATCGTCAAAGTTCTTGTCTTGGTTTGGGCCATTTAAGAGTGGTCAATGCATTATTAATAAGTAGAAAATATAATTAAAGAAGACTAACCGTGTCCCCAAAATGAACATGGGGTTGATATGAAACATTTTGTTGAGTAATGCATGTTTGAAACAATCAGGTCAGTTCAAGAAACATGTCTAATTTCTGTAGGAACTGCTCTACAGATAGACAACAGGGTTATCACAGCTCTTGTCCTATTTTTTTTCTGATTCATGTCTATTTCTTTATTATAAAGTAGTAAATTAATAAATAAATGAAATAGACAAAGTCTAAATGAAAAAAATGATTGATGGTCTGTGGCCTGGCCCAGAGATGATGACTCGTGGGTATGAGTCAAGGATGATGAGTAATAGGAGTCAGGAAGTTTAAGCTCCGATATAAAAGAAATCTAGCCTATTGATCAGTTGGAAATGATCCTGTAGACAGTAGTTAAAAATATTCAGTTATCGGCTGGGCACGGTGGCTCACACCTTTAATCCCAGCACTTTGGGAGGCCGAGGTGGGCAGATCACAAAGTTAGGAGTTTAAGACCAGCCTGACCAACACAGTGAAACCCCGTCTCTACTAAAAATATACAAATTAGCCGGGTGTGGTGGCGAGTGCCTGTAATCCCAGCTACTTGGGAGGCTGAGGCAGGAGAATTGCTTAAACCCAGGAAGTTGAGGTTGCAGTGAGTCGAGATCGCGCCACTGAATTCCAGCCTGGGCAACAGAGTGAGACCCTGTCTCGAAAAAAAAAAAACAAAAAAAACCCCCAAAAAATCAGTTACCCTATTCTTGTGCTCTTGTAATTCACGGATAATGAATTAATGCGTGAAGAACTCAAGTAAAAGAAATAAGTGAATAAAAACATGGCCACACCTGGACCAACTATAACATGTGTAATGAAGCAAGTCACAGTACTGATCTATTGCTCAGGGAGTGGGAATTGTGTCAGATTTTTAATCTCTCAGAATGAGAAACATGTAGACAAATGTATGAGCTGTCCATGTTTATATTGAGTTGTCTTTGGTTTCCTGGTTGTCTTATCCTTAACTAGGGATGTTGTTTATATAAATAGAAAGCTATTTTTAAAGAGGGCCAGTGACAATAATTTGTTCTATAACAAGAGCTATTGTGCTCACTAAATTCCATTACAAAGTGACATCATCTGTTATTACTTTGGTAATGATCAACTATGCATGTGCTACGATGATCCATGCTGTAGTTTAGATCATGTGTAAGGATACTGATTTTATCTTAATAATGAACAAATGCTTAAGTTAATAATAATCAATTAGCTAAAAAGGATAAAGCAAGGGCCAGTAGCAAACATGTCTGGAAATGATGGTTGTGATGTAACTGGGTCCGGAGAGTGTATTCTTCTTAAGGCAAGTATTTTGGCTCTTACAAGTGTTTGCATAATTAGGCTATACATAGACGCACAGTATCAGACACATTCTGGGTTTCTGAGGGTTTACATATGTTCTGTTTCTTTACAAAGAATGAATAATTCGCCAAATTGGTTTGTGAATGAGTGAATGAAGTGATAGCAAGCACTGTTCATTGGTATGAAATTGCTCTGAAACAAGTATTTAGATGAATCTAATTGTGCATATGGGAGGTCCAAAGATTTAGGTTGTTGAGTGCATGGGTGGAGGCATTGAAGCTGACGTGTTTTGTAGAGAACTCTCATTCTTGATTCAGATGTTGGATTCAAAGGCGTCCATTTATTTTATTTAAGTTCTGGGGTACATGTGCAGGATGTGCATGTTTGTTACATCGGTAAACATGTGTCATGGTGGTTTGCTGCACCTATCAACTCATCACCTAGGTATTAAGCCTGGCATGCATTAGCAGTTTTTCCTGATGCTCTCCCCACCCTCCCCTGACAGGCGCCAGTGTGTGTTGTTCCCCTCCTGTGTCCATGTGTTCTCATTGTTCAGCTCCCACTTATAAGTGAGAACATGCAGTGTTTTGTTTTCTGTTCCTGCATTAGTTTGCTGAGGATAATGGCTTCCAGCTTCATCCATGTCCCTGCAAAGCACATGCTCTCATCCCTTTAATGGCTGCATAGTATTCCATAGTGTATATGTATCACATTTTCCTTATCCAGTATTTGGGTTGATTCCATGTCTTTGCTATTGCGAATAGTGCTGCAATGAACATACATGTGCATGTATCTTTATAATAGAATGATTTCTATTCCTTTGGGTTATATACCCAGTAATGGAATTGCTGGGTCAAATGGTATTTCTGCTTCTAAATCTTTGAGGAATCACTACACTGTCTTCCATAATGGTTGAACTAATTTATATTCCCACCAACAGTGTAAAATCATTCTTATTTCTCTTTAACTTCATCGGCATCTGTTTTTTCTTGACTTTTTAATAATCACCATTCTGACTGGTAGGAGATGGTGTCTCACTGTGGTTTTGATTTGTATTTCTCTGATGATCAGTGATGTTGAGCCTTTTTTCTTGTTTGTTGGCTGCATGTATGTCTTCTTTTGAGAAGTGTTTGTTCATGTCCTTTGCCCATTTTTTAATGGGGTTGTTGGTTTTTTTCTTGTGAATTTGCTTAAGTTCCTTGTAGATTCTGGATATTAGACCTTTGTCAGATGGATAGATTGCAAAAATTTTCTCCCATTCTGTAGGTTGTCTCTTCACTCTGATGATAGTTTCTTTTGCTGTGCAGAAACTCATTAGTTTAATTAGATTCCACATGTCAATTTTTGCTTTTGTTGCAATTGCAAAGGCATCCATTTTAAATGCAAAATTAATAATTGAATTAATGTGACAAAAAAGAGGGTTTTCTGGCCAGTTGTAAAAAGAGCATGACCCAATTATAAAAATTAATCTAAACTTGCTCTCCTTTCATTTATTAGAATATTAGAGCACAGTCAAAATTTAGGATGTTTCATTCTTTTTACCATTTGCATTCTACCCTCCAGAATGGATTATCATTGGTGAAGATCTTAGCTGGTAAGTCTCTGGGAAAAAGGCTATAGACCTATACAAATAATGCCCAAAGTTCTTGTCCTTTGGTGGGGTGTTTACTCAGAGGTATTCATTGTATTATAAAATAATGCATAAATGACTACATCTATATACAGAATTAAAAAAGAACAGGGATGAGAGTGTGTTACACACCAATAATTAGAATGAGTCCAATCAGAACATCTGTGGAATTATATATTTTTAATATCCCAAAACACTGAGTTTTATGAATAAATTAATAAATCAGGAATGTTCCTTCTTTTGGTAAGTATCATATAGACAAAGAATAGTAATAGTCAACGTTTTTGTTCTGGGAGAATGGTGAGTTCAAGTTTGTCTTGTTAAGAGAAACAAATAAATAATTTCACAAATTTATCAATACCTAATTATAAATAGCTAAGCAAATTAACGGGGGAAACATGGATCAATTGAAAGAATTTTTGATATTTTCACTCCCTTTTTGTAAGGAATATTCCTGCATATTTTGTGTATACATTTTTAAAGGTATAAAAGAATACATGTTTATTTTTCCTTTTTTTCACCATCTGCTTTCAGTTCCATAGAAGGAACACACTTATCACTACAGTGATTCTGTAATGATGAAGACCTTTATGGGTCAGTGTGAGTAATGATCCAAGTTCTTGTCATTGTTGGGATGGTCCATTTAGGGTATTTAGTGTATGATAAAATAATACGTAATATAATCAATGAAGGCTACAGAAAAACCAATGATAAGATTGTATTATAAATCAAGGTTCATGATGACTACTGTTTTGCACAACAGAAGCCCTTTTTAAAAGAAGAGCTCTACATTTTTAGCTCTGTGGGTATGGAATATGGAGTCAGATGTATGTAACTCTCATAGGTTTTATGTTGGGTGGTTCATTTAAGGGTATTCCTGATATTGTTAAAATGGATAATATGTTAATTAATAAGATGGAGCTCCATTCACGAACCAGAGATAACAATGTGGCATAAATCATTGTTTGTGTTCAATTTCTACGATGGTTACTTCACGTTTACTAAGTCGAAACCTAAATCTAGGTCTTTTCAGTTGGTAATTTCCTCTTTCATTTGGTAATATCATCTACAGGATGGGTAGACCAGAGCTGATTAAATTATTCTCCCATTGATGAGGAACTTTACCTTATCCCTCAGAGTAAGGAGAATGTCATATAATGTAAGTAATAAAGTTCTTGAGTTGGGTTGTTGGTTCATGATTTCTACTGTCATTTAAAAAGATAATTAAATTTTAAAAGGTCATACTAGGCCTATGATGAGAATGTGTTGTGGACCGAAATTAATCCAATTTAGCACAAATGAAGTGTAAGAAAAAATTTAGCTTTCCCATTCATTTTCAATAGTTAAATGTCACATTGTATGTTTGTCTCATTGATTATTTAAAGACTCTTCTCTTGATAAAGGCTGTTACTCATTTATGGAGTCAGTATTCTAGTTGTTGAGTAGGATGGTGGTTCAAGTTTGTTCATTTGATATCTAAAAGTTGTTCAAATTAAATGTAGAGGGGCCATGTCTGGACCAATGATGTGAATGGAATGCATCTGAATAAAAATTATGATCAATCAGTTTTTGGAACAACTGAGGTCCACTGCAAAATGAAGAACTAATATGTAAACCTTTGTGGGAATAATGTCAGGAAAGTTTGAGAATCTAGTTCTGGAGCTTGAGAGGGTTCACAGGTACTGATTTTATATGATTAGCAGATCCACTTGTGTGGATCAACACACAAGTATATTCATGAGTAAAGAAAAAGAGGTTAAGACATGGACCAATTCTGAGGGCATGTTGTAAAGCAAGGAATATAATTAATTCAATTCTGAAATACCTTGGTCCATCAAGAAAAAAAACAGATTAAATTTGTCACCACTTTGGGTAAGAAGCATCTAGATAGAAGTACTTAATAGTCAATGTTCTGTTCTTAGTTTGCTGTGGGTTCCCAGATGTTTGATTCATTAAGACAAAAAAATTAAAATTAAACAAACAAATACGTGTATAACTAAATAAATGGGTGCCAAGTATGAACCAATGATAAGGGTACTTCATTATTTTCTATATCTGCTTTGTAACCCCACAGAACAGAGGTAACTTGGCTGTTTTAATAATTATTTAAAGGATGAAGATCTTGACTGTTACCCATGTGGCAAGGAGAGTGTAGAACAGGGTGAGTCAGATTAAGTTTTTATTCTTGGTTTAGCCTTTTGTTAGAGATGATGATTAATTATTATTTGAAAAGAAGAAATGACTTTATGCAGTCATAAAATCCAAGAAGACCATGCCTGAACCAATGATAAGAATGAATCCTGCCAAGTGTCATGGTTAATTCATTTTGCAAAACGAGATCCATTTAAAAAGAGGTTTGGTTTGCTATCTCTTAGATTAAGGAGATTATAGGCAGATTCTAGCCTTGGTCAAAGATCTTGTTTTTGGGTTAGTTGTGGTTCTCTTGAGTTTTGTTATTTTATTAAAAATAATAAATAGTTAAACAAGTACAAAGCATTTATGCTAGTAAAATTACAATGGCCACTCATGACCAATTTGGAGATTATATCATGAAACAAGGATTTGTTTAACTTTGGTTAACTGTTTTATCACTGTTTGAGGAGGTCATGGAAAGATTTAAATGATAGTCAATTTCTCCCCTCTTTCTTGGGAGTAGATTCTTTGTTGTTGACTTTGTTTTTGAAAATGAGTGACTGACTAAATTAATGAACGACAAAAACACTAGAATGGACAAGAATATTCAAATGATGACATTTCATGAAGCAAGAATTATGATCAACACAATTCTGCTTCCCTGAAATCCATTTAACAGAAAAGAGTCAATCTGTTTTCTCTGTGTATAATGAGGTCAGAAACAGGTGTTAAAATATTCAGTGTTCTTGTTTTTGTATTTTGGTGGGTTCATGGAGTTGATTATTATGATTAAGGAAATAAGTATATGAAAAAGTAAATTACAAGAGGGTAAATCATGAACCAGTGATTAAAATGTGTTTTGAAACAAAGATTGTAGGTATTTCAGTTCTGCACTGTGGACTTTTATGAAATGAAACCTTAATCTTTTGTATCTTTATTTTAATAGTACATAGTACCATTCTGCATATACTATGGATATATTTTAGACATTTTCTCATGCTACTTACATTCAGTTTTTTTCACTATCTGAGTTATAAATTCTAGTGAATTGATTTATTTGGAGGTGGTGGTAGGAAACCCCTATGCCCCATATTTTAAAATTTTCTGGCAGCTGATATCTAAGAGAGTACTAAAATGACTAATATTAAGGTATTAATTTCAGCTCAACAAGTATTGATGCTAACTCTTGTCAGACCCCATATGAGGAGTGAAATTTATATATGAATTTAGTCTAGTTCCACTCATTGAGTAGCTCTGTGAGATTAGATGGAGACCCACTTACAAATGCAGCAATTCAATAGAATAGGGCAGGTAGATGGGTTCTCTGTGAGACTAGAGGGAGACCCACTTATACATGCAGCAATTTGATAAAATAGGACAGGTAGATGGGCTTTCTAGAAGCACAGAAGGTATGCCTTCAGCTCAATCTCAGTGTCAGTTGAGTTGTGGAAGAGATGACTCCTGAGCCAGTGACAGACTCATTAGTCCATAGCTCCGCAAAGCTGGGGACCACACTCCTCTCCTTCACTGCTCTGCCCCTTGTGCCTTACATGGACAGCACATGCAATAAGCATCTGTTGAATGAATAGGTGAATACATGGTGAATAAAAGAATGGAGGAGTGAAGCAGTATATGAACAAATGAGTCTTTGAGTAGACAAAGGAACGAATAAATGAAGTAATGAAAATGGGAATGAGTACACGAATGAGTGAATGGATCAATGATAGGTCCATGAGTGACTGAATCAGTGATAAGTGGATAAATGCATGGCGAGTTAATGAGTGGGTGAGTTCATGTGTAAGTAAAAATGTCACAAAGTGAATGAGTGGATGATGAATGACTAAGTCATTGAGCGAATGAATGGAAGATTAATAGGTCAAGTAGTCAAGAAATGAAAGACAAACATGTAAATGGATGAGTGAATCAATGGGTCCATGAATTCTTGAATGAATTTATGAATTAACAGATAAATGAAAGTCAATGAGTAATGAGAAAATAAATGAATAGATGAGTCTATGTATGAATCAATCAATGAGTTAATGACTCATTGAAGAACCAAATGAATGAATTAATCTAGGAATTAGTGAGTTTACTAATGAATAACTCAAAGAAAGAGGAAACAACCAAATAAATTAACTGGATAAATAAGTCAGTGAATGAAACAAATTATGAGCGAATAGATAGACAAAGGGATGGATAATTGATGGATATATTACAGCTAGTGAATAAAAGAGTGAATTAGTGAGTGAGCAAATGAGTCAGTGAATGAGTATGTAATCAAGGAATAAATTAGCTCTGGGAATGAGTAAGTGAATAAGTGAATGAGTCAATAAATTAGTGAATTAGTCACTTATTGAAGCATAAGGCAGTGAGTGAATGAACTCACACTGGGACTCTTTCCCTGACTGTTCAACAGAGAGTAGTCATGCCCCAGCTTCACACCACAGCATAAATAACTCAATCAGAGCACCCACCCTACGCTATCGTGGGCGTTTGTTTACATGTCATCACTAAACTGATGTGCCGCAGGGGCCAGGAACTGGGTCAAATTATTCTCTGTATCCCTGGTGCCTGCCCAGCTCTGAGCCTCGGAAGAGCACAGTAAATTGTTGCTGAATGAATGAACGATAGCTAAAAATACATTGGCTTTTTTGGAACCAGGATGGCCCATCTGAGAATGGTCTGGGAGCTGTTCTTTGGGGAGATGTGCTGTGTGTCAGATGGTTTGTGGCATCCTCCTACGCAAGTCTAGATTCTGCCTTGAATCCAGCTTCCTGTGTCCAGTGCCAGACAGCGAGACAGGATACTGGCAGTTCGGACTGCCCTGGACATTGCCCCATCCTTGGGCAATGCTGGCATGGCATGGTGAAATGAAAGCCCTAGGTCTTCCCGAAAGCTGCCCTTGCCTCTGCCAAGACAGGAGATCAGAAATAACCCGGTCTTGTTTTTATGCCTCCAGCGAGTGGGCCCACTCCATGCCTTTCCAAGCAACCACATTCCTCCTTGCTGTAGTTGTGGGACACTGGGTTGAAGCACCCCTTGACCTTTATCTGGTAGATGAGAATAACAATCCCTGTCTGGCTGGGTGGATGTGCTGCTTTACGGGAGATTATTTAATACATGTTACATAGGTAGCATGGTACCTGGGAGGAAAGAGATGTCTCAGAAATGTTACATGCCAGTTTTCATCATCCCCACCTAACGTAGCTATATTTGATTATTTCAAATGCATTAATTTAAAAGCTCTCAAATGGATGTGATACTCAAATTCCCCTCTTCCAGAAGATTGGAGAGTTCAACTGAGTTCTAGGAAGAACACCAGTCTGGATGGTATTCTGGGCTAGTCCAGACCTTCAAGATGGCATGGCACGCCCTTCTACCAGGGAACAGACAACCAGAAAAATGAATTGGCAATACCCACGCTCTATGTAGGACACATACACAAGACCCACCCTTCACCTCTCTACCCTTCCCTCCCTTCCTTCATTCAACACATAGGTATTCAGGGCCCACTGTATGCCTCACACTGACCATTTCTTGTCTTCTCTTGTCTTGGCTGGCTCCTGACCCTGGATTTCATCTCTCACTGGTGTTCTCACGTCCTTCGTTTGAACTTGGCGATTGGTTCTTGGTCATCTGGTGTGGATACTGCCCTCTCCTTCGTGAGGACTTGATTTGGGCTTCCTACTTCAGAGCACGCCAAGTAGACTCCCCCTTCTTAGTTTGGGGTATTGGGACCCCTATTCTGACTCTTCCAGATCGGCCGTTTTCCATCTGGGTGAGCTCCAGCCCCTTATAAGAGGAGCTTAGGCTGTGTTGGTGGCAGGGAGACCTCTGAACGCTGGGGTTGGGCAGCAACGTCAGCACAGAAGGCTTCGGACTAGACTCTGAGGTTTGCTTGGTGCCTGGAAGCTGATCTAGGAGAGAGGAGTTAGGTTGTCACTGCCCCTCTGTCCACAGAATTCCTTGGATAATGAGGCAAAACAACCTCAGAGCATTCAGCAACTTACAATTAATTTAGTTTTCCCATCCCTCCCACTGGTTACTCACCTGTGCTGGGCCTGACACAAATGTCACCCCCTCTCCTATCTTCACAGCCCCCTGCCCTCTCCCCTAGCTTCCTTTCCACAGTCCTCTGTTCACACCTGCCCTTTCTCACTCCTCCGTACTCATGCCAGAACCCACATCACATTGTCTGCTATGAGCTGCCAATTTATCCCAAAGGGCTATGAGCTTCTTGAGGACAGGTGTTCTTTTTATGTCATTATAGCCCACAGAAGGTCTAGACATCAGGGAATGTTAGGTGAATTAGGTGTTCATCCAGTCATTCATTTATGCAAAAGGTATCGGGCCCTTTCTGTGTGCTACAGGCTGGGTGGTAGAAATAAGTAACCTATCTTAAAAGAAGTAAGAGAGACACCACCTCTGCTCTTATAGAGCTCCAAGTCTTGGGTGAGAGATTTTAAGCAAATGTTTCTGGCAAAAGAATTTAATTACACTCGTGATAAGTGCTATGAAGCCATGGCTCTAGGGACTGTCATTCGCTTGGCCAGCTGGGTTGGTCCTGATGCTCACAGGAAGTTCCCCTTGCTTCTCTCCTTGGCTTTGAGGAGAGACTGAGAGAAGGACAGGACTCTAGCCATGGTCAGAGATGGCCAGTGGCTTTGGCCCTCTGGGGTCAGGTCCGTGGGGTGTTTGGACATCTAGGAGGAAAGAGAAATGACTGGACCTGGGGGTTTGTGCTTGGCTGTTACTTGAGTTCTGCTTGATAATGACCTGGGCGGTTGTGAGCCGTCAAACCCTGCCCTTCACTCAAGCACCTCACTTGTTAACAAAATCTCTGCTGAGTGTCAGGGTTTGATCTTCCCTGGTCAGCTTCCAAGTATTTCTCTCAGATATTTTGCCAAATGACAAACTAAAGGTAGACTGGAATATGAGTTGACCTTTTCTTTTTCTTCCACTGCATTTCATTCTGAGTTTCTTAAAGTGGTTGCCTGAGAAACAGTGATATCCTGCAGGCAGCCGGGCCACTGGGCATGTGCTGTTCCAGGCATCATCCCAGCTGCCTCCTCCTTCTGCCTTTGCTGTTCAGTCTCCACCAAAGCACCCATCTCTCCTCTGTAGCACCTCCAGTGAGCTCGCAGGTCCCTTTTCTCATCTGGACCACCATGCCGCCCAGGCTTCCCTCATCTTGGGCTGGTCTTTCTGCTCCCACCTCCACTCTGTTCTCTTCCTGGGCGATGGAGTTAGAGCGGTCTTTCTAGAATGCATGACCCAGAGTCCCTGCTCCTGAGAGCCCGCTCATGGCTCCCACAGGCCCCAGGATGGAGGCCCAGTTCCTTCCCTCCTGCCACGCCTCCCACTACATGCCCCCTGCCCTTGTGTGCTGCCTGGCAGAGCCTCCCCGGGTCTCCGGGCGTGTGTGTCTCTATGCCTTTGTCCCTGATCCCCTCCCTGTGGTCACCCTCCCACTGCTCCATAGATGCAAGACTTCTCTTGCTTCCCTCCCCAAGGTGGGCTATGTTGCCCCACACTCTGAACTGTTACAAGGCCATGAACTTGACCTTCATTCATAACATCTGTTGTTTGGTCATGATTTGTTTAGGTGTCTGCTTCCACAACCAGACCTTCAGCTCCCTGGGTATAGGTGCTCTGTCCTGGGCACCTCAGACTCCCCCACTGTCCAGTACACAACCCAGTGCAGAGGAGCTGATCATTAAGAACGTTAGTTGAATTGAAGGAATGAGTGGATGCACAAAAGGATAGTTGTATGGTCATACTGGGGCACAAATTATATCCCTGGCAGAGAACTGGGGTCCCTGGCATGGCGGAATAGCACCTCCTTCTCCAGCCAACTCCACTTTGCCTTCCACCTGCGACTCATTAAGAGATATGTAACCTTAATCCTTGAAATTGCCTGGGACGGAGCATGTTTTCACTCAATGGCATGAACATGGGGATTTTTTTCCTTTCTTAAATAAATCTCACTCCCCCAGGAAGCTTGGACAGGATGTGGGCAATCGAACTAGCTCTTGAAACTGAACGTTTTGCAAAAGGCCCCTTTCGAAATTTGAAACCCTGTGGCCACCGGCCAGAGCTGAGTCTGGCTTGTGGGGTTCGCGGGGGCCTCCTGAAAGAAGGGAAGGAAAGATTGAAAATAAACCTAGGCTGATGGTTTGTGAGACAGAATTCCGAGGTCTGGTTTTGCTTCTCTGATGAAACTTGAGTGAGCTTGGCTATCCTCTTTAGCTCTTCTTTCGAACCTTTGGCCGAAGGCTCCAACCCTCCCAAAGGCAGAAGGGAGCTTAATTTGTCCTGAAATGGATGGGACAAGTGTGCAGGCACTAGGTGGGATGGGAGCTTTATCTCAGTTTGGGAGGAGAGGGAACTCAGGGCCAGGGCCAGCGATTGTACAGTCCCACTCAGAGGGCGGAGTGGCTGGAGGCTGACCCTTCTCCCAGGGAGCAGGCGCTGGGTGGACCCTGACACTGGGGAGAATGAAAGGAAAATTGTATCATGCCTATTGTGTGCCAGGCAGAGCTAGCAGTTCCCCTTTCATCTGGGCAATGTCCCGGGCGGGTGATGTCAGTTCCTCATTGTGCAGACAAGGAAACTGAGACCTGGGGCCCATCCCATCCACGATCAGGGCCCAGGCAGCTCCGACTCAATGTTCAGTGCTCTCTGCAGGCGTCCGGGCACTTGCCATGCAGAGCAGTGACCAAGGATCACAGATGCAGTGGGCCGGGGGGGGATGGCAGAAAACAAAGGGTTAGGGTACCCGGATGCCAGGTTCTCAGTGCTGGTGTCCTCACAACTGGCTATCCCTATGCCCCTGCTGTCCTCAGTGGGTGGACACTGGACCTGGACTGACCCCTGGGACAGGAGGATTCAAGGTGTCTTGTTCTCTTTTGATTTCTTTTATCTTTTCTCTGCCAGGAAAGATACTGATCTCTGTTCTTGGTTAAGTTCCAAGAACCATCTAAGTTTCGTGCCCCTCAGCTGTAAAAGGGAAGTACATTTCATTTGTTTATTCTGTAAAACTCTCGGTGTGTGCCATGGCCATGCACTGATGATGAGCACATGTGTGCGGCCCCTGCCCCCGTGGAGCGCATGCATGGTCCTCCAGCCAGAGACCGCGCTGGGAGAAATCAGGGGTTCACTCCTGGTCGGAGGTGAGCATCTGCCTCTGCATGTAGGAAGGCATCTCATGAAACCCCAAAGGCCTGGCAGCCCCTGCACATGGAAGGAGTCACTCTCCTCCATGTGGGGTGAGCCACGCTGGCCTTGTGGCATTCACATGTTCCCTCCACCTGCTTCTCCAGCGTGAAGGGGACCTCAATGTCCTCTGATGACCTTCTTGAAGAGAGACATTTCCTTCCTTCATTGGAGGCTTTAGACGGAGCCAGTGACAGCTCAGCTCTGGCTGTTTCCCATCTGTGAAATGGGAAGAGGGAGGATGGCACGAGTCCCTTGCCCTCACCAAACTGGCCGCTAGAGAGAGGAAAGATGTTTCCATTCTGATCCCCACTCACCTCCACCCCATCCTTCCAGGCTTCTGATCCTCATTGTAATTTTGGAGCTATTTGGTGATATTGTCTTTGTCCTTGGATCCGAGGCTTCTCCTACCAACTCATTGTTTTTTCAACGTGACAAAATAAAAGCCCTGAGCTGGGCGCGGTGGCTCACGCCTGTAATCCCAGCACTTTGGGAGGCCGAGGCAGGTGGATGACGAGGTCAGGAGTTCAAGACCAGCCTGACCAACATGGTGAAACCCCGTCTCTACTAAAAATACAAAAAATTAGCTGGGCATGGTGGCATGCACCTGTAATCCCAGCTACTCAGGAGGCTGAGGCAGGAGAATCGCTTGAACCCGGGAGCCGGAGGTTGCAGTGAGTCGAGATCATGCCACTGCACTCCAGCCTGGGCAACAAGAGTGAGACTCCATCTAAAAAAAAAAAAAAAAAAAAAAAGACAGCCCTGCTCCTGCAGCAGGGACCGAACCCCATCCCTGACAGATGTTTCTGGTATCAGCAACAGCTGGTGACCCCGGCCGGCCCCCTGCCAGCCGGGGCTGCTGGCGGCCGCCCAGAGGGGAGAAAGGCCCTCCTGGGCACACACGGTCCTGCTGCGGGCTCCCTTGCCTCAGCTGCCCACCCCCCAACCCATTGCTGCTGGGCTCCTGGCTTCATTTATTGATGGACTCTCCTGTGGGGTTCTCCGGGGAACCCCAAGCCAGAGTTCAGACTTCATAAGGGGCTGCTTAACTGACACCCTCTGTCACAGGGTTCCCCTGTCCTCCTCTGCGACCCTGGCCCCTGGCCCACTCATTTGCGCGCAGCTGTGCTCTACATTCCCACCCCCTGCTCCCTGCAAAACCCCACTGCCCTGCAGGCTACAAATCCAAAGATTGGGTGCTCATCAGAGTTGGAGAAGCCATATTGGAGGGGAGGGGTCCCAAAGGTAGCAGCAACCCCTTTAAAGCCATGGAGTTGGGTGCCAAGGGCCACCCGGGGCCCTCTGGTCCCCTGCTGCTGCATTAAAGGTCTCCTGGCTTCTTCTCCTTCCAGGCTTCCTCCTTGCCATCCTTTCTCGGGGACTGTGGCTTGGTCATGATGTGTGGCCTGGGTTTGGATTTGTATTGTGAGGAAGAGGAGACAGAGTGGGGTGTGTCACAAAGGCTGAGATGAGCAGGAAATCAAGCCTTG
Source organism: Homo sapiens (assembly GCF_000001405.40). Classification (NCBI taxonomy): domain Eukaryota; kingdom Metazoa; phylum Chordata; class Mammalia; order Primates; family Hominidae; genus Homo; species Homo sapiens. The sequence goes on from NC_000014.9 coordinate 101,007,791, forward strand.
CTAGTTGGTTTTCTGGAGTGGAATTGAGCCTTAAGAAATGAGATTTGTGAGGGCCAGGTGTGGTGGCTCATGCCTGTAATCCCGGTGCTTTGGGAGACCAGGTGGGAGGCTAGCTTGAGGCCGAGAGACCAGCCTGGGTAACATAGCAAGACCCAGTCTCTACAAAAAATAAAAAGATGAGCTGGGTGTGTTGGTGCATGCCTGCGGTCCCAGCTACTCAGGAGTCTGAGGTGGGAGGATCTCTGGGGTCCTTGGGATGCCCCCCTACCCCCACATCTAGCGTGGCTTTGTGCCACTGCACTCCAGCCTGGGTGATAGAGCAAGGTCCTATCTCTAAGAAAAGAAGAAAGAAAAAAAAATGAGGCATGTGAGCTGGAAACAAGGGAAGCAGAGGTGCTTCATGTTCCCCAGCGCAACCCCGCATGACCCCCCAGGGAGCTGTCCCTCCTTCCCTGCTTCCCTGACATGGGTGGCGTCTGTGCTGCCACACTGGCCACTTTGCTGAAGCCTGCCAGTGTTGCCGGCGGAGGGGGGGTTGCGGTGCCACTTGCCTTCTTTACAGAGAAGGAAACTGAGGCTCAGATGAGTGCAGACAGCCCAAGCCTGTATCAAGTCTGGGGCGCATCTCACATCCCCACACCTGCCTCCAGTACTGCTCACCGCACCCGGGACACACAGGTAGGGGTTTGAAGCAGAAGCTGGCAGCGGCTCTGTCTGCAGAGGCTGGTTGCCTTGTCTCGCACCTGTGGGCTTGGGTCAGGGCCTCTTTCACGTGAAGGTTTCCATCCCGAGAGCACTGCAGCACATGTTCATGGTTTGCTCATCAGGACGAAAGAACTTACAAAACTTTCCTGTCCAAGTTGACCAACTTGGTGATTTTTCATAAAGCCCCGCAGCAAGGCATCTGGAAAGCTCCTTTCCTGCTCCTGACAGTCACCCCGAACGGCATGTTTCCAAATCCACAGAACATATGGGCTGCAGAGCTCAGAGCCTTGCTCCTGGCCCAGCCAACAGGATGCTCTCTTCTTTCCCTGGCGTGGGTACAGGGGCCACTCTCAGCTGCCTGGGCTTGCCCCCAGCCCTAGAGCCTTGCCTTTGGTACCCACTCGCTTGCCTCCAAATTCCTGCGTCCATGACCTCAGGGACAGCCCCCCTTGGTGCTCATCTGTTATGAATACCAGCCCATTTTTTTCCCAGCAAGGAAAGCCTGGCTGAGTCAGTTCCTGGGCCAAGATTGGCATGGAAGGAACTCTACTGATAGGAGCAGGCAGTGAGCATGCAAAGCACAGCTCCTAAACCCAGGGTCAGGTCATAGCCAGTGGCTGTCAGAGCCTCAGATGGAAGAGCCAGCGGGAAGCCCCCGGCCCACCTGGCTGTATGGGACATTGACCCGGCACAGGGAGAAGACCCAGGGGGATGTAAGTTAGTTACTCTTCTAGCTCTGGGTTGGAGGCTGGGCTTATGCATGGGCACTGAATCCTTAAAAAGTTAAATGAAGATACTAAAATAGAGCCACTCATGGACTCATGTTGATTGGTGTCAGAATAAAGACTATAATCAGTCCAATTCTGTGTATATTTCAGTTTGAGGACAATGATAGTAATAACAAAATATAGCAATAACTTGACTGGTCTAAACCTCAGTGCATTGCTCTACTTGGCCAAACCTATATACCCCCCTTCCCCCATGTTCCTTTATCTCAATGAATGGCCTCAGTAATCCTGAAACCAAGGTCGGCTGCATCTTCTTCCTCCCTGCACCCTCCAGGAGCAATCCATCAGTAAGTCCTATCAGCGTGACACCGTGAATGCCTCTCCTCCTCGCTTCCTTCCAGTTGCCCCTGCCTGGTCACAGGCCTCATCCTCCCTCTCTGGCCCAATTGGATGCCCTCTGCTTGCTTGCCTCGTCTCTGACTGTATCCTGTGGGTGACATGCATGCATACCCGGTACCACTTAAACCCCCCATGGGCTCCAGGGGCCCCACTTGTGGTGTACCAAGCCACTCTATCCCCTTGGCCCTGTGTCCCTTCCTTTTCCTCTCTTGCTCCAGCCTTACTTGTAATTCTTCAGTTCACACCTCCATCATGTCTGTGAGTCTCAAGATCTCCTAGCCCTTCTCCAGACCTGTTCAAGACACCCCTAGCCCTTCTCCAGACCTGTTCAAGACACCCCTAGCCCTTCTCCAGACCTGTTCAAGTGCCCCTTTCATCACTCCCCATGTGCAGTTCCATAGTTGTCCATTTCACATTGACTTCCATGTATCTGGAGGGCAGGAGCCAGCTCTGACCCAACTTGCCATTCCCAAAGTACCCTCTCAGTGAATGTGGATGGGTCCCCCTGCCTTGTTAATAAGTCATGTGATTGAGCAGATTGTGTGACTTGCCCCTCTTGTCTTGGAAGGTCATCCTGCCCAGAGCTTGTGAAGGTGCAGTGGCCTGAGCCAGGCTTCCAAGAGGACAACCGTGATGGGCTCTGTGTGCGTTGCTGGGTGAGCTCTGCCTTTCCTGGTTACACTCTGAAATACTTGTGTACCTGTGACTAAGGGCCAAACTCAGACTAGATGATAGGTGATCAAAGATGGGCTTTGTGACAGGCTGGAGTGCCTGCGATGGCCTCAGACAGGGGCTGGAATGCATGTGCTTCTCACCAAGAACATTAGCAAGCAGAGGCTGGGTCATTTCTGACAGCTGCTTCTCTGAGCGGAGGGCAGGGCTGGCTAGAGAAGTCCCTCATCTCTGGTCCCACCTAAGTGGTGGGAGGCGTGTTACTTTGCAGCTGACCAGATGCCAGCTTGAGATGGGGCTCAGAGTAACCTTCACATCCCTGCCCGAAGGCTCTTTTAAAAATTACGTAGCTAATTGCATTCTATTAACTTATTACCGTAATGGAGAGTGCAATAAGCAGGGGCCATGTACGTTTTCCCCATAAAATAACCTAAGCTAATGGCTAACATTTATTGCACCTAATTTTTACAAATATTTTTCCCATTAAAAAAGAAATACATGTTTATTATAAAAAGCTTGAAAAATATTGAACAGAACAAGTGTAAGAGCAAGACTCTCCCTAGTTCCCCCACTCACAGATCACCATTGCCAACATTTTGGTGGCCAGCCTCCGCCTTTTGTTTTTTTTCTATAAATTAGGTGTGTACGTGTCTGTGTGTGCTTAATTGAGTTTATCATTGCCATCCTGTCTTTTATTTCCACTAATTATATATCCTGAACATTTCCCATGCCATTAAGCAATTCCTTATCTTGTGCTTTTTAATGGTTACATAGGATTCTAGCAAATGGCTATATTGTAATTAATTTAATTGGTTTGCTTTTATTGAATATTTAGATCCATTTAGAGGTTGGATTGCATAAGTCTGGGAGGACATCTTTGTTTATTCATTGTCATATACATGTCTGGCTCATTTTCTGCAGTTCATTCTAAATGTGGAATGTCGTGTCAAAAGGTGTGATCATTTTATGGCCAAATTGCCCTCTTAAAGCTTGTATCAACTTACGTTCTCAGAATTAGTTTGAGAGGTACTTATTTCTCTGGGAATTATCAAGGTTGTTCACCTTTGCCAATTTGTCAAAACACAGTATTTCGTTCTTTTCATTGGCAGTTCTTTTATTACCTGTGATAAAAAAAAACATTTCCCCCGATCTCTTTTGGTTATCTGTATCTGAATTGCCAGTTCAGGTTTTTTTCATTTTTCATTTAGTTTTTATTTTTGTCGAAGTCATGCATATGCATCGTTTTAAGAGTCAGATAGTTCTACATGATCGTTGTAGAGCATCAGGCCTCCAACTCTCCCAACTCCACCCTAATATTCTGCTTAATGGAAGCAATAGTTTTTAACTCCTTTAACTATTCTCTTGACATTTACATCCATATGTTTAAGTAACATTGTTTTTCTCTTCTACTTCTTGATTTTCTTTTTCTTTTTTGAGGCTTAGGCATTATCGTGACTTTACAACTGTAGAAGATGAGGATTTGACTCCTTGGCCTCACCGCCCCCTCCTCCCTTCCTTCTGTGCACCATCCTCAATATATTTAGTACATAGTTCGGGTTTGATCCAAATTGAGAGTTCATCTTTTTATGAGAGTGTAAGCATTCCTGAAATCTGAGCAACACAGCACTACAATTTACCTTTCCTTCATGACTATTATTTTTCTCTTGGAGTTAATACTTGTATTTTTTTCTCTTTGATTGGTTAATTTTTTTTAGGAGCCTAGCTGATTTATCCCTAGCCTCTCAATATATTCAAACACATTATTTTTAATTTTTTAAAAGATATGTTTTATCCTATCTAGAAGTATCTTCCTAGAGCCTTCTGGCTGGTTTTGTTATGAACTGGGTAATCTTTAGGGTTCTGGATACCATCTTGGAATCTCTTTCACATTCTCCTTCTGAGGATTCCTTTGATCCTCTCTCCTTAGCTGGATTTTGTAGATTACCTACTTTTGTAGATTCCATGTTTTCATTCTTTTTGATTTACTCCTTTGTTTTGCTAGAGTGCATCCTCTAGCAGTTTCTGTAGAAATGCTTAATGGAAGGTAAATTTTTAGAGATCTTTCACATCTAAAAAGGAAAATGTCTAGCCCACACTGACATTGAAAGGTTGGCTGGGTATAGAATTCGAAGTTGGAAACCTTTGTTTATTTTGGCTCAGATTTTGAAAGCACAAATCATTATCTTGTGGCTTTCAGTGTTATTGGTGAGATGTCTTAAGTCTTTGTGATTCCTCATCCCTTCTATGTGATTTTTTTTTCTTCCTTTCTGGAACTTGTAGAACTTTCTCATTGTCTTCCAGTGTTTTAAAATTTCATGTGTTTGTGTCTTGATGTGTATCTATGTTTATCCATTTTTCCAGGTTCTTTTAACCTTGAAGATACTTGTCCTTCAGTTCTAGAAACTTGTCTTGAACAACTGGTTGGATCATTTCCTCACATTTGTTTTCTCTTCTTAGCATTTTCTTTTCTTTTCTTTCTCTTTTCTTTCTTTCTTTCTTTTTTTTTTTTTTTGATGGAGTTTCACTCTGTTGCCCAGGCAGGAGTGTAGTGGCATGATCTTGGCCCACTGCAACCTCTGCCTCCTAGTCTCAAGCAATTCTCCTGCCTCAGCCTCCCAAGTAGCTAGGATTACAGGCGTGTGCCACCACGCCTGGCTAATATGTGTATTTTTGGTAGAGATGGGGTTTCATCATGTTGGCCAGGCTGGTCTTGAACTCCTGACCTCAAGTGATCCACCCACCTTGGCCTCCCAAAGTGCTGGGATTACAGGCATGAGCCACCGTGCCCAGCCTCTCTCTTCCTAGCATTTCTATTGTTTGTATGTTGGAACTCCTGACTAGTTTTGTAATATTCCCATATTTTTCCTTTGATTTTCAACTTTTAATATTCATGTTCTGTTTCTAAGAAGGATTTCCCTATCTTTATGTTTTAACTTATTTTCATTTCTGCTTTCATATTTCTAATTTTTAATTTTTAAATTATATTCTAAATATTATATAACAATTTGTTTTATGAATGCAATTGCTTCTTTAATATCTCTGATAATATTAATAATAGGTCTTTTGAAACTTTTTTCTCCCTGCAGAGCAGGCAAGCTTTGTTCAGTTTACCACTTAGAACTGGAAATCGTTTACCCATGTTGCTCTGTAGGTGTGTTCATTTTTAATTTTGATTTTGTAAGGCCTTTTTAACAAGAATAGTAACTCTTTTTATATCATATGTTACCAGGATCCCCCACTTTTTCATCTGCCATTTCATTTTGTTGATAAATTATTTTTTATTTTAAAAATTACTATGTTCTAAAAATTTATCTTTAATTTTTCCTTACAGTTTCTTCACTTGAATTTTTCTTTTAGCTCAGAAAGTCCTTTCCCAAACTGAACTTTAATTTTTTTTTTAGTTCTTTCATGATTTCATCTTTTATATTTGAATCTTTACTTATCATCTTAATTATTGTGAGAAATAACTATTTGTTCCACTTCCACATTTAATACATGCTAGATACTTTTATAGCTCGGGTTCTTGTTCTGGTTTTCTATTATCCATTGCTTTGTCATTGCTTTATTTTAGTATATTGTATTGTTAAAATGTGTTATTACTCAGTAGCAATAGTCTTCCTTAATTCTTATTTTTCAAGATTTTCTCCGTTAGTCTTATTTGTATATTCTTTCAGATGAACTGTAGTGATATTGTAAAGTTAAAAACATTCTTTATGGATATTGTGTGGAACCTTATAAAACTGTCAATTAATTTAAAGAGAGTTGATATTTTTTGAAACAGGCTTTGCATGATATTTTGAGTTTTATGTATACATATATATTCATAAGTTGTCAAATTCGACAGATTCACAATTTGTTATTTTTATCTCAAGGAATTAAGTATGGCTTCTATTGTGAATTTGATCCACTTTCTTTATATTTTCTAACTGGTTGTTATTGGTATGTAGGGAAATGTCTGTATATTTATTGTTACTGTTCATCTCACTGAATTCTCTAATTTGTTCTACAAGTTTCTAGTTGAGTGTTTTGGAACTTCTAGGTAAAGAGTCATTCATGGCTGGGCATGGTGGCTAACGCCTGTAATCCCAGCACTTTGGGAGGCCCAGGTGGGCGGATCACCTGAGGTCAGGAGTTCGAGACCAGCCTGCCCAACATGGCGAAACCCTGGCTCTACCAAAAATACAAAAAACTTAGCTGGGCATGGTGGTGGGTGCCTGTAATCCCAGCTACTCAGGAGGCTGAGGCAGGAGAATTGCTTGAACCCGGGAGGCGGAGGTTGCAGTGAGCCGAGATTGTGCCACTGGACTCCAGCCTGGGTGACAAGAGCGAAACTCCATGTCAAAAAAAAAGGGTCATTCATATCTATATATAATGCAATTTTTGTCTGTCACTTTATCTCATCTATTTCTTTTCCTTTGACTAGATCTTCTAAAACATTATATTATTGATAACAGAAATCTTGTCTTGTTTCTGGTTCACTTTTAAGTATGGTTGCAAATCATTTTTTAGTTGAGATTTTTTAAATAAATGAAGTATTTATACCTAGTTAATATAAGACTTTAAATCAGGATTGGAGTTAGAATTTTATGAAATGCTTTTTTGATATCTGCAGATATCATGTTGTTTTTCTCTGTTGATCTGTTGATACAATAAGCTAATGTTTCGTAACTTTGAAACATTTTTGATTGAATTCTACTTGATTATGGTGTATTGTTGTTTTAATACACTACAAGATTTGCTGGGCTAATATTTCATTTAGAATTTTCCAAATCTATTTGTTGTTGAATTTGGGTGTCAAAGTTATGCTGACTTTGTAAAATAAATTAGGGAACATTCCATCTTTTTCTATGTTCTGTACCATATATGCATTATTTGAATGATTTAGTCCACGAAAGCTTGAAAGAACTCACGTATGTAACTATCCTGGGATAAGTCTTTGGTAACGTCTCTTATTTCTTCTGTATTTATTGGATTCTTTAGGTTTTCTACGTCTTTAGAATTTTTGCTTCTTTTTCTAACATAGCTCAGCGTTTAAATGCGCAGGCACTGGAATTAGACAAATCCAGTTTAAGATTTTGGCTCTCTCATTTTCCATATGATGGGGAAACTGTGTCACCTCCCTAGTTCTTAGTTTCCTCACCTGTTAAATGGTTAAAACGAAAGCCTCCGAGGGCCCTAACAGGACCAGCGTGAGGATTCAGAGATAAAGTACCTTGCACTGGTTCTGGCACATAATGAGTGCTCAATAATGTTTTTAGATATTATTTATCCTAGAAAATAATAGATTTTTCTGAGATTTAAAAACTTATTCACATAGGATTATAAATAGTATTTTTATACTAGAATTTTAATGTATTTCTATGATTACTTCACTTTTGTCATTCTTAATTTTGTATGTGCATACTTTATCTCTTTTTCATTAGATGACCTAGAAGAATATCTATTTTAGAGGTTTCTCAAAGAATCTGTTCTTGGGATAACTTGTCAGTTCAACTGGTTTTTGTGTGCCTGTGTTCAAATTAAATAATATCTGTCTTTATTGATTTCTTTCTTCTGCTTTCTTTAAGTTTGTTTTATGGATTTGTCCATATATGCCCTATTGTTATTCTTCTTTAATAATGAAAATATTTCATGGTATGAACTTGCTTCTGTTCACAATTTTGACTGCATTTTCATGTGTCTTAATATGTGGTCTTCAGAACATTAAAATATTTGTTATAAGGCTTCTTGTTTCTTCTTGTTATTGGAAGAAATGATTATCTGAGTTAAATGTTCAAAACTAGAGCTGATTTTAAAAAATTAATTTCTAATTTTTTAAAGTTGTAAGTTGTTTATACTTTTAATTCAATTGTGGTTATCTTTTATTGTGGCTTGAGAATGTGGACACATACATTCTACTTTGGGGGAATTTATTGATGCCTTTTTTGTGCATAATATAATTGATTTTGTAAATGATTTTTGTGGACATTTAAAAGTAGGATGTACTTGTTTATAAGGTATGGATTTTGATGTAAAGACATTTAGTTTTATTAGCTTTTTAGTCTTTATTTGGATTTTCTTAGTAAAGAATTACATAATCTATAAGCAACCGTATTTTGAATCTCAATCTAAGAGTTTACTGGATGTACCTGGTTTTTGTTTGTTTCATTACATTGGTTGGAACTTTTTGGACGGTGACCTAATGTTGATGAGATGAAGGGGCTTCTTTCCTGTTTTTCTCATGTTCTGTTAAGTTTGTTGTTGCTTCTAGATTTGAGGTATGTTCATCACTGACTTCTTACTTATTTGATATTTTTAGGACTGGAAGAGTTTTGGATACGATGTTTCTATTCTTTTTCCTTGTTTTGGTGCTATTTTATTTCTAATGCAAATGTTCATGAATGCTATGTCATTGTTGTGGATTATACCTTCCCCCTCAGAGAGGTGTTTAATGACCTGAAATCACAGAAGCACATCTGTTTTCTTTTCATTTGTGTTCCTAAGCTAGGTAGCCTCACTTTCTCATGTAATTGTTTCTGCAAAGTGTTGTTTGAAAGTTGAACTGGAGACTTGCATGTTCCAAAGAATTTTGCTCCTCGAGAGCTCAATCTTCCAGGCAATTTCTAACATTCCATGGATGTTCTTTAGTTTTGTTCTTTTCAAACACTCAGTCGACTGCCTTAAATTCAATTATCAAGGCCAAGGACTGGCCACGTTGGGTCCGCCTAACGATGTCCATGTTTATACTAATTTCTTAAGTATATAGGAGATCGGTGCTCTTACCACAGGTATCAGCAACTTTGTTTTTCCATTTTCCACTTATTTATAAAACAATGGGAGCAAAATGTAATTAAATACTTGCTTTCAAAGGCAGCCAAACCCTTTATTCAGACCAAATATTACCCAGAAGCCCCATAAGTAAAATAGATCAAGTCAGGGCTGCCTTGTTTCAGGGCTGTGCTGTGACCCCAAGCTGTTGGTGCTGGGCACCCTCCTTAAAATGCTATGGGGGACCCCAAATGCCCCTGAGAATACCCTTTGAAAGCCTCTGCAAAGAAATATTTAAAATTGCACAAGCAAACTGAAAAAAAATGGCTATGTAGGCAAAACTGGGGGTGCCATTGACTGCTTGCTGGCAGTCAGCTTCTGTCTGCATTCCGTGGTTTGGAGGATGTCAGTGCATGATTGTGTGGGCTGCCTGGGATTCCAGTGCATGGAAATTGAGGCCATCCTATTTATCTGTGCCATCCCTCAACTTTGAATTTTCTTGAGTTAATTTATTTAAATTGTGTCTCAGATAGAAAACATATAGTTTCAGTTGGAGTCTTTTGACCCAAACTGAGCATTCTTTTTGGAAAGGATGTGTAACCCATTTACGTTTTGTGTCTTATTTGTCATGTTTGCGCTTAAAAACAAAAATGTACTTAATGCTTGTTTTATTTTTTTCACCCTTTTTTCCCTGCTATCTTTTGTTATCTCACAGAGACTACATTTTTTTTAAATTTTAATTTTCTCTGTGATTTGGAAAGTACATAACCAGCTTCTATGTCTGTTAGTGCTTACATTTCAATTTTTGAAAAACTACGCTTACATCTATTATTTCTCTATGGTAACAAATGAAATAGTATTCTCTGACTTTGCCCTTTGTGGAATAATTAAGTTTCATATTCATCTGCTTCCTCCCTTTCCTCCCACTGTTACGCCCTCCCAAACGCTAAGGAAGGTGTTGAGTTTTATCCCTGCCTTCTCTACTCACCATCCCCCCCAGTCCTGTGCCATGTGCTTTGGGGGGCACAAATGGCCTCTCTCTGCCTCTGTGGTCTGCCCCCCCGCAGTAGGTGGGGCTACTTACTGTTTCTGGACTATAGATCGTGTAGACCTTGAATCCTACCACTTCATGCACTCTGAATTAACTGATCAACGTCATGTGGGTTGAGTATCTGTTTTTCCCTTATCCAGCCTCTGAGCCCCTGGAAGGCAGGAGCACTGAGTCAGTCTCAGCCTCTGCGCAAGGCATGCTAGAAAATGCATCGATGGTTGAGTATCCGAGAGAGTACCTGAGCGAGCCAATGGGAGGATGCGTAGCTGAGGAGCGGATGACTCTGCGGAGGAGTGGGTTCTTCAGGGAGAGGGGTGTGTGCAGGAGTGGATGAATCTGTGCACCTTTGCAAGAAAGGATGGATGAGGGAGTGGAACAGTGACTGGGGTCTGGGGAGTGAGAAGGGTTGCCAGCCATCTGTGGTCAGCAGGAGCTTCCAGGCCCAAGTTTGGTGTGTTGGGAGGCTGGGTGAGAAGGTGGGTCCACCCACCTCTCTAGATACCCAAGAGGCTAGTGGGGACCCAGGCCAATTTCTCCAGGAGGACATGGATGCTTTTGGGGTCTATCTCTTGTACTCCTTCCTTCCTCACCATGCTGTGGCATGCACGGCCTGTGCTGGGAACTAGGGGTACAAAGCTGAGGCCAGCACAGCCCTTTCCTGCCCCAGAGGAGTTCCCATACCAAGGGGGGACCTGAGTGAGTTCCCCACCCGCCCCCCGACTGGAGCCTCCCCCTTGGCTCTTATGTTCTAGTCCCTTTATGTTTAGATACCTCAAGAATCCGCCTTAGCTCCCCTCACCTACCTGCCATCTTCTTGGCGGCTTCTCTGTATCTCACTTCTTTGTGGCTCCCAACCCCACCACTCCACCCAGAGAGCTAGGTACAGATCATCAGGGGCCTCCACCAACTGGCAACTCAGAATCTCCACTCGGATTTCTTGGTGGCACTTCAACTTCAGCACACTTAAAACTAAGTGTGCCCCGCCAGCACGTGGTCCTCATCTAGTGACCCCCAGCTCCAAGAGCGGCCCCACCCTCGGCCAGCTCCCAGGCCAGACACCCGCAGGGACATCCCATGTTTTCTCATGACCCACCATGCCTTGTCCACATCTGGGCTGTTGCCAAGTCTCTTGTGCTCTTCTTCCTAAATATTCGGAAACATGGCCGCTTTCCTGTCTCCATGACTCCTACCATCCTCTCTTTGGGGTTCTGTACTCTTTCTTCCTGCTCCTACTCCCAGCAACATCAGCCAGAGATTTCACATCAGCCAGAGAAATCTTGTAAAAATAGGAAGCTCGCGATGTCCTTTATCAGCTAATAATGGCTTCCCCTTAGCCTGAAGAGAAGTCGGAATTTTACCTTTGTTTTAAGGTCCTGAATGATCTGGTGCCACCCAGATCCTCAGACTCACTTCTGGCACATTTCTGGCTCCCCACGCTCAATTCACATGGATACTCTTTCGGTTGCAATGCTCCATCCAGACCACACTCCATCCAGTTCATACTCAATCCAGTCTACGCCCCATCCAGTCCACACCCCATCCAGTCCACACCCCATCTAGACCACACCCCATCTAGACCACACCCCATCTAGTCCACACCCCATCCAGGCCACACTCCATCCAGTCCACACCCCATCTAGACCACACCCCATCCAGTCCACACTGCACACAGTCCATGCCCCATCCAGACCACACCCCATCCAGTCCACACTGCATCCAGTCCATTCCCTGTCCAGACCACACCCCATCCAGTCCACACCCCATCCAGACCACACACCATCTAGTCCATGCCCCATCCAGACCACACACCATCTAGTCCATGCCCCATCCAGACCACACACCATCCAGACCACTACTCCATCCAGTCCTCACTGCATCCAGACCTCAGTCCATCTATCTAGTCCACACCTCACCCAGACCAATCTCCATCCAGTCCACACTCCATCCAGTCCACACCCCATCAAGATCACTACTCCATCCAGTCCACACTCCATCCTGTCTACACCCCATCCAGTCCACACCCCGTCCAGTCCACACCCTGTCCAGTACACACCCCATCCAGTCCACACCCCATCCAGACCACACCCCATCCAGTACACACCCCATCCAGTACACACCCCTTCTAGTCTACACTCCATCCAGACCACACCCCATTCAGTCCACGTTGCATCCAGTCCACACCCCATCCAGACCACACCTCACCCAGACCACACCCCATCCAGTCCACACCCCATCCAGTCCACACCCCATCCAGACCACACTGTATCCAGTCCACGCCCCATACAGACCATACCCCATCCAGACCACACCTCACCCAGACCATCCACGCCCCATCCAGACCATACCCCATCCAGACCACACCTCACCCAGACCACACCCCATCCAGTCACACTGCATCCAGTCCACACCCCATCCAGACCACTACTCCATCCAGACCACACCCCATGTAGTTCACACTCCCCCAAGTCAACACCCCATCCAGTCCATGTTCCATCCAGTTCATGCCCCACACAGACCACGCTCCATCCAATCCACGCCCCACCTCGACCACTACTCCATCCAGTTCATACTGCATCCAGTCCATACTCCATCCAGTCCACTGTCCACCCCGACCATGTTCATCTGACCCATGCTCCATCCAGTCCATGCTCCATCTGGTCCTCTGCTTTTACCCTACAGTGTCCACTCTTGTCCTCTCTCTTCTTGGCTTAGTCCCCTCATCCTTTATCTTCTAATCTAAACTTCTGAGAAGTTTTCCTGATTGGCGAGAGCCTCTTGTTAAATGCTCTCTGCTCCTTCACAACACTTTGGCCTCCTCACATTTTGAAACCAATTCTCTGCAATAACTACTTTAATGTTGGTTTTCCCCACAACGCTAGCAGCTGCAGGAAGGCAGAGACTGTGTCTTATTTACTGGTCTAGCTCCAGCACCTCACAGATGTTCAGTAAACACAAGTTTATTTCTACGAGTGACCACATGGAAAATGTGAGTGGGCTGGAGGAGAGGTGCAGGCAGGGTGCTGTGGAGGGTCAGGGATGCAAAGGCCTGAGTTGGCTGAGGTGGGGTCGGGCTCGTGGAAGAACTGCCATTTGGTTGGGCTTCAGAGAGATGTAAGCAGACACGGGGTCTGGGTGGAGGAGTAGTGCCAGCAAAGGCATGTGGACAATGCACGGGGTATGGAGGGTAATCTCTTAGACTAGACTAGCTCACACTTGGAGGGAGCAGGGGAGCATGATGCCTTGAATGACTTCCTAAGGAGTTAGGACTTCAACAACTGAGTTGCAGGGCCCCGTCTACACTGGGGTTCAGGACTTTAGAGGACAACCGAGCTGTCCTGCAGGGCTGCTGAGGGTTCTGCCCTTGTCCTTTCCCTGGAGGCTAACAAATCATTGCTTTGCATTCCATTCACATGGGATAGTTGTGCCATGAAAGGGGATGGAGAAAATCAAGGAAGACCTCCTGAAGGAGGTGGAGAGGTTAATCAGGAGCTGGAGGAACGCACTGCCCACTCAGCTCTGTGGTTTGAGTCTCCAAAGGTGGTCTAGAGCATGGCGAGGACCATCGGAACTTGGGTGAGCTAGGGAAGTTTTTACCTAGAGGTTGAGGGTCCCCTTTTATATGATGAACTGTGCTCTTGGAGTGTCCCATTTGCCATGCAGAACAAAACACTGCCCTTTATCTTGATGAAGAGATAGTTGACCACATAATGGCCAAAGCATGGTCAGTATTGTACATTTTGCCTTGTCGCAGTCTTTCCAAGTTGACATGGCCTTCCTGGAGGAATTACCACTTAGGGTAGAGGCACCCCTTCCCCCATCAATGCCACTGCCCCACATTGGAGGAGGGGTTGTTTATGTTCACCATGTGCCTGCTTCCAATGCCAAATCCAGCCTCAGAAAGCTTTCTGGAAGTGACGCCAACTTCAGGGGCAAGGCCCTGGTTCTGGGGTCAGCACCATTCCGTGGTTCCTGAAGAGATGGTAGACTATGGAACGTAGGCGTTATGATTTCTGACCTATGTAACATGGTCCACTAACTCTCAGTATCCAATCCATCCTCGGAGGGCTTCCTGGAGGTGTTGCCAACTTCAGGGAAGAGAACACGTGGTTTAGCTTCAGCACTGCTCCACGGCAATTTCTGTGGCTCATGGTTGATGTCTGACTTGTGCAACAAGGCCTGGCTCTTCTGGGCACTAAATGCACTCTCTGGGGAGTTTTCTGGAAGTGATGCAACTTGGGCTCAAGACACCGGTTCCAGCCTCAGCCGTGGTTCTGGAAGAGATGATTTGCCATGTGGCCTGTGCGAAAGGAGGGATTTGTGTGAGATGGGCTACCACTTCCCAGTAGCCTGCCAGCTTTGGAGGGCTTCGTGGAGCCAATACTACCTTCAGGGGGACCCACCAGTCCATCCTTCATTCCGCTGTGTGGCATTGAAGAGTTGCTTTCCTGTGTTGAAGTTTTCTGTTTATACCAATGTCCACCTCTGATCAATCTTACATTCAGTCTCAGGGTTTTCCGGAGGCAGTGCCAAGTCTGGGAATGAGACAGTGGTTCTGTCCTTAGGGAGGTGGTTGACCAAAACAACTCCTGCTTTGTTCATGAAGATGGCATGGTGGTTACTGCTCAGAATCTAATCCAACCTAAGAGGACCTCCTGGAAATGCCCTTGGTATTGAGGCAGATATGGCCTTAGGGCACTTTTTTTTTTTTTTTAATGCCCAAGACTAGAGCTCACTAATAGGTAAGATCTGGGCCTCAGGTGCCCAGTACTGTTTCCTTGGCCTGGTTAGTGTAACTAGATGGATGTTCTTTGGTTGCACGTGGGCCATTTTGTATTTCTGATTTTCTCCCCACTCCCCTAACCAGCTCTGTTAGCCATGTGCCATGTCCTCCCTCCCATCTACCCACTCCTTCAGACCCAGCACAGTGCGCCTGGCACACAGCAGGCACTTAATCAGTATTTATGGAGTGATGAAATCCATATCATCGTCCACTTCTTCTCAGTGGGACTTTCGGCCTCGAAGGGCTTCCTGGAGGAGTTGCCAGTTTTGGGGATGAGCCACTGCTTCGAGCATTCATGTCAACCCCCGACCATGAAGACGAGACTCCTGGCCTGTGTGTGCTTGTCGCATGATGCATGTGCTGTGCTCAACCTCCCTTCTGGTTCCACCCAGCTCAAGGCCTTGGAGGGCTTTCTGGATGTGTCCTGAGCCTTTGTCCTCGGCATCTCTGTGTGGTACTTGGAGAGATAGTAGACCGTATAGCGTACGCTTTATCTGTGACGTATGTAACACGGTCCACTAACCCTCAGTATCAAATCCATCCCCGAGGCTCCTGGAAACAACGCTGTCTTCGGGGAGGAACGGTTGGACCCACCACCACTTCTCCATGACACCCGAAGAGATGATTTTCTGTATGGCATGTGTTTTTCTGCATGATGCAAAATGGCATAATCTCGCTCCTCTTAAATCAAGTTCTGCCTTGGGAAATCGCGCCATCCCTGGGGAGGAGACCTTGATTCTTCCCGGAATCAGTGCCATTCCATGGTGCTCAATGACGTGGTTGACTACGCTACGCTTATTCAGTAGACACCGTGACCTGCTTCTTCTCAGCGTCAAATGCAGCCTAGAAGAAGCGCCCTCAGGCAACTTCGTGGACATGAGCCTTCTTCCAGCCACCACCACCACCATCGTGCGGTACTTGAAGAAATGGTTTACCGTCCCACATACATTTTGAATATGTATGTGGGATGGTAAACCGCTTCTTGGTATCCAGCCCAGCCATCCAAACCTCCCTGGAGAAAGCCTGGAGTTAGAGGAGAGCCACGGGTCTCGGCATCCGCCATGCCATGGCACTTGGTGGAATGGTAGACTCTTAGATGTGTGCTTTCTCTGTCAATGCTTGTGATGCGGTCTTCTCCTCAGTGCCAAACACAGCCTCCAGTGACTTCCTCAGGACAAGGATGACCTCCAGGAAGGTGTCCTACTGCCCACGTTGGCACATCCCTCTGGAGTAATTGAAGAAACGGTGGCTGGTGCCGCAAATGTTCATGAACGAGGGATGTGAAACAGGTCACCTCTCATCCTCAGAGCCCTCCTCAGATGACTTCAGGACAGTACGCCCATGTAGGAGCAGATATGGGTCCAGGAGATGATGCCACTCCAGGTACTTGAAGACGCACTGACTCGTTTTTGTCTTTGCTGATGCGTGTACAGTCTATCTTTTTTCCATCTCAAGTCTAGCCATCTCGGGGGAAGATGTCCCAGCTCTGGACTCAGCACTGATCCTCATGAAGAGCTGCTCGACCCCATCGTGTATGTTTACAGAGGAAGTGCCTCCATGGCCCACTTCTTCCCTATCTCCATCCCAGAACCCTTGCTTGGAGAACTTGCTGAAGAAGCTGCCAGCCTCAGGGACAGAGCACTGGTTCTGGCCTCTTCACTGACCTCACGGTACCTGAAAAGGGTTCAGCCACACTGCATGTCTTTTCCCCATGACGTATGTAACATGGTCTACTTCTTTTGAAGTATCCCATTCAGCCTGGAAAGTCTCCAGGGAGGTTATGTTAAGCTTAGGAGACAAAGCACCAGTTCTGGTACAAGTACTGCCTCGGGGTACTTAGTAGAAGTTGGCCATGCTTCATATGTTTTACTTACAACGCATGTTACTTCGTCCACCTTCCTATAACAGCGTGCACCTCGGGGGGCTTTCTGTAGGCAGGAACGAGTGTCAGTCATAGCACTAGTTCCAGCATCATCTCCATTCTTGAGGGGCTCCTTTGTGCTGCGTCCACTGCATCTGCGGCAGACATTGCATGGTGGCCTCTTCTCAATACTACATCAGGCCTCAGAGGGCTTCCTGGAGGTGATGCTAGTGAGAGGAAAGAGACACCGGCTCTGACCTCAGCCCTCTCCAAGGTACCTGAAAAGATGGTTGACCATAGAACATGCGCTATCTCTGTGTCGTATGTAATATGGTCCACATCTTCTCAATATCAAATTCAGTCATAGAGGGCTTCCCAGAGAGAGGCAAAGTCACCTTCGTGGGAGACACACTGATCTGGCTTCAGCGCCATTCCACAGTACTTGGAGAGATGGTAGAGCATAAAGCATATGCATTGTTGAATGACAGATGTAGCATGGTCCACTCATTCTCAGTATCAGCCAGCCCTGGGGCTTCCCGGAGGCCATGCCGACTTGAGAGCCAGGCCTGAGTGGTAGCCAGGGTGCAGTGCAGGTCACCGGGTGGTTGGCTGCAGACCCAGTCCTTTATTTATTACATTGGCCATTTGGTCCACCAGCCAAGAACTCAGTACCGGTCCCACCCTTACAGGGCATCCTGGAGGTGGTAGTGGCATTGGATGTGGGTTTGTGGTCATTGCCACATTGCCGGTGGCTGGTAGTTCATGATGCGCATTGTGAGGCTTTCTGGAGGTGATAGCAGGTGAAAGGAAGAGAGCCAGGGGTCAGCGTCACTTCCTGGTATTTGAAGATGCGGTTGACCATGGTGTGTACGCTTTATTTGTGACGTAGGACACATGGTCTACTTCTTCTCAATATCACATCTCGCCTTGGAAGACTTCCAGGAGGTGATATCAGCTTTGCGGAAGAGCCACTGTCCTGGTGTCAGTACGGCTGCTGCTTGGTACTTGGAGAGAGGTGGTCCGTGGCGCGTTCGCTTTATTTATGGCGCACATTACACGGTCGACCTCTTTGCAGTATCTAATCCCGCCTTGCAAGCTTTCCTGGAGCTAACATCAACTGCGGGGGTGGGGGCCACTAGGTCTGCGCTCAGTGTGACCCAGCGGGGTTTGTGATGTGTTTGTCTTGTGTGTGACGATAACTCACGTGTGGCAGCCTTCTTCTCAGCACACTGCTCTGGCTTGGCAGCAGGGTTAACTTGCGGACAAGGAGCGTGGTGTCAGCACGTGCCTGGATACATGAGATGGTTGACCAGAGAGCACACGCTTTATTTGTGCCGTTTGTGACCTGGTCCACTAACCCTCAGTATCTAATGCCCCCTTGGAGAACTTCCTGGAAGAGGTGTCAACTTTTTGGGAAAGAGACAGTAAACTGGGGCCAGCTGCACTCTGTTAGACTCTGAAGAGAGCATCTGCGAGGCGTTTGCGACATGTATGCCAAATGTGGCTGAGTTGGACTGATTTTCACTCCGATCTCTTTCCTTGGAGGGCTTCCTAGATGTGGAGGCATCCAAGTTCAAGGGAAGGGGCATGCTGTCTATACCATCCCAAAGTCCTCCAGTGATCAGCTGACCTGAGTGTATGCACTTTAATTTACAACCAAGGTCGCCTGGCCCGTCACACCTCAGTCTCCACTGGGTCCTTAGCAGGACCTTTGGTGGAGTCAGCCTTGCTTTGGGGCATCTGTGCCTCTCTTGAGTAACTGAGAAAAGATGGCCCTGGAGGTTAACCCTAAACGCGATAGCTGCTGTGACCAGCCTTTTTATGGCATCACCACCTCTGGCTGTGATGTCAACTTCCAGACGTGATGTGGGGTCTGCTCCACTGGGGTACTTGGATAGATGGTTGGCAAGCAGCATGCATCCAACTCTTGGCTTCTTCCGGCAAATCAACTAACTAACGCTCAGTGTGCAATTCCATATTTAACAGGACTTCCAGCACTGAATGTCAAGTCTGGGGAAGAATCAGTGGTGTTCTTGTCAGTGTTAATCAGTGGTACCTGAAGAGAGGTTTTCTGGGTTTCTGTTTCTTTAATGAGGACGAAACACACCTGGTTAACCTCTTTTCCAGTATCAAATCCCATCTTGGAGGCCTTCTGGTCCAGACCTCAGCTTCAGGGAAGGGCGTTACTCTCAGCTCCAGTCCACTGGACAGAAATCTATGGTTAACCACGAAGCCTGTGCTGTATTATTTTGACTGATGTCATCTGTTCTACTAACCCCAGTGTCCAATCCGTATTTAACAGGACTTCCAGGACTGAATGTCAAGTTTGGGGAAGGAATCAGTGGTGTTCTTGTCAGTGTTACTTGGTGGTACCTGAAGAGAGGTTTTCTGGGTTTCTGTTTCTTTATTGAGGACGAAACACACCTGGTTAACCTCTTTTCCAGTATCAAATCCCATCTTGGAGGCCTTCTGGTCCAGACCTCAGCTTCAGGGAAGGGGTGCTGTGGACATAAATAAGGAGACACGAGCAAATGGCTGATCACTAAGCGTGCCCCATGTTTCTGAATTTTGCCACCGATTGCGCTAACCCTCAATGTCTTATCCCTTCTTAGGAGGACTTTTCAATGTGATGGCAGCCTGGGGGAAGACAGTGTCACCACGACAGTGTCACGGAACATGCAGGTGAGTTGTCTGTGGTTGCCTTCGTTGTGCTCCCAACGGATCGTGTGTGTAATTCAGGCTCTTTCGGCATCTGACCCTGCTGTAGGGGGATGCCTCGTCCTTGCCACACTCAGTGATGGGCTTGAATGAGCCCAGCCCACAGCAGGGGAATGCCAGCATGCCCTGGACAGATAGTGCAGGTGTCCTGCACGCCTGCCCCTAGCCTGCAGTTTATTCTGAAAGGATGTCCTGGATATAATGACACCTTAGGGAAGAAAAGCTGATTCTGAGGTCAAGAGGAGACCTTGGGGGCCCTGGAATTGGCCCAGGTTGAGACCTGTTTATTTCTCACAGGAATTGTGGAGTTGACTTCCTTTAAATCTGGAGGAATCCTTGATGTCATGCCAGCTTGAAGGGAGGGCATTGTCACCAGCCCTGATCCAGGGGAAGGGAGTGGATGGCCCACCACGGGGCATGTACCTCCCCAGGAACACACCTGCTCCACTGACCAGCACATCTGACCTACCCTCAGGGTTGTGTTTCTGCAGATGGTCCTTCTTTGGGGTGCTCAAGGAGAGGTTTCCTTTGGCATATCTGTTTCTTTTATATAAATCATTTCTGTGGACCACTCTTCAGTATCAAACACCAGTTTGGAAGGCTTCCGGATAAGACAGTTGTCAGGCCCAGGCCAGGGTGAGTGGGCCGAGATGGGTGCTTCCCCTGTTCTAAGCGTCCTGTCTGGCAGTAATGCTTGGTGCCCGATCCTTTCCAGGAGGACTTCCTGGAGGTGATGCCAGCCTCTGGGGAAGGAAAAGGCTCCCTGCCAGCTCTAAAGCCAAGGCACAGAAGTAGGTTTTGCTGGTGCTGCATTTGTTTTGATGGCACTTAGCTGTGACTGTGGGTCCTCGGCTCATCTGTGGCATTTGGGGATGGGACTGTGAGGGAGGAGGGCCTCAGGTTCTGGAGAAGGGCCAGGTATTTCCATGTCAACCCTGCTTTTTATAACCAGAGAGAACATATGAGGTAGCACCAATGACCTCCGCCACCAATCCTTCCTATTAGCTGATACCCAAACACCGTTCCTTCCAGCCGAAAAGAGCCCTCATAAAGAGAGGGCAGAGAGAGTGTGTCAAGGCCATGTGACAGCAGGCAGTATGCTGTTGCCTCCGGGGTATCCAGGGTAGGCGGCTGCTGGGTCCATGTAGATTGGGTGCTCTGCTGGCTACGGAGGGGTCAAAGGACAGGTGGCAAGGGTGCAGAGCCGCAGCCTGGCCCTGGGATTTTCTTCTCAGACCTCTGCTCCGGGGTCCACCTTCGGGGGAAAAGAGGGCACAATTTTACAACTTTGTAAGAGGAAACCTGAAGTTTTCTGACCCCTGATTCTCCCCAGCCCTGTCAGGATTGATCTAACTCTCTGTTGAGATGCAAAAGAGTCTGGAGATAACAGTACTCCCCCCACCATGAAAACAATTATTGTCAAAGGAGTTTTATAGCAAACAGAAAATCCGGCCCAGAATTGGCTAAAACATTTGGGGAGCTCACATCAGGAAATGAGATTCGTTTTTATTTCTTGATTCTGCTGAATTGGATTGAAGGCAGCAGAAGGCATTAAGTGGGATTTGACCTGGAGGAAGGTGGCCTGGCGGTGCTCCTGGCTTCCCCGACCCTCCCTCCCTAGCCGTGTGTAGCAGGCACTCACTTTGCTTACAGCTTCCTCGGTGCCATGTATCTGTTTTTGGAATCACACCTTGCCTGGAAGGCTGCTTGGACCCATGGCCAGTGCCACACAGGGGCCTGGGCACCGGCTAACTGCAGACCCAGCCACCTGCTTCTTGACCACAGAATTCGAGATTTACTCATGAGCTCTCTTGACGCACTGACTTTGGGATGCAAACCATTATGACTAGGGGCACTTCCCGTGGCCTGGACTTCCACAAGGAAACCCTGGTTCCACCGTCAGGAAAGCTCCAATACCTGGAAAGAGGTTGTACCTAAAGTGTTCTCTGTATTGGCGGAAAATGTTTCCCGGGCAACCTCTTTTCATTGTGAAGGCTTGAAGAGCTTTTGGCTGACTTCCCAAAAGCAACCTGGGACACGCAAATAGAAGCCATCTGACGTCTGGTCTACCCAGTGCCATGTAGATTCGGGGAATCTTCCTGGAGGTGACACCAACATCGGCGAAGATTCGGCAGTTCTGTTTTGATTTTTTTTGTTTGTTTTTTGATCAGTGCTAATCTTCGATACTCGAAGGAGAGGTTGTCCGTGTTGTCTTCTCTTTATTTATGATGAAACATACACGGGAAACCTCTTTTTTAGTATCAAATCCCACCCTGGAGGCACTTCCTGTTCCTGATGCAGCCTTCAGGGAGGGACGTTGCCGGCTCCACTCTCGGTAGGCGCAAGCGAGGCTGACAGCGTGCCATGCGTCGTGGGGGTGTGGCTCTCAGGCCCCAGCCATGGAGGGCCCCTAGGAGGGGAAGCTGAGTTTGGAGAAGGGCCTGTGCTTCTGTGGTTGAAGGAGGTTGCTCATTGTGGTGTTTGTCTATTTGTTGATTCACGGTGGGTGGCGCCTCTTCAGTGTGAGATCTTGCTTGGATGGCCTTCTGGACACGCTAGCAACGTCATTGAAGGGACGATGGTGCCATCTGCTCTCCAGGGTAGCTGAGGGGATGGTAGACCGGTGACGTGCACTTCATTTACGATGTAGGTCACCCGTTTGACTATCCACCAGCGCCCGGTCCATCTGTGGGATGACATCTTGGTGCACATGGCAACTTCGGAGAAGATGTGGGAGGACGTGGGGCCCGTGGGACTCTGCAGGATTTTAGGAGGGGTTTCCCTTCGGGGCCCCCTCCTCCTACCTCGTTAAAATCAATATAAGCAATCATCAGTGAATAATCTCTCTTTTGGTTTCAAATCCTGCCCAGGAGGGCTGATAGTCTGGCCACAGACAATGCCAGGATTGCAGAGGCCTGGGCTTCAGTGCCCCATCAGGGAAAGTCCCACCCCACACCACATGCTGACTGCAGGAGGTGTGTGTGTGACCTGGTACAGGGGTGTGGTTTATCCTCGGAAGGGTTTGAGGAGTGTTGTGTGTGTGCAGGACAGGGCAGGCGTTGGGACAGCTGTGGTAGTGAGGGCCACTTTATTCTGTGCTACATGAAGAGAGGCTGTCTGACAAAGCTTGCCATGTGTTTGATGAATGCTACGTGGCCCATCTCTTTTCCATAGGAGGACTTCCTGGACATGAAGCTAGATTCCGGCAGGGCCACTGGTGTCAGCAGCACTCCTGGTGAGTCGTGGATGGGGGACTGAGGAGCTGGCAGCGTGATTGAGATGAGCCCTTCCTGTGTTGGGACCACTCAGAATCCAGCCGCTTCGTGGGCAGCGTTCAGTCCATGCTTGGGGAAAGGGCTTTGTTGCCGTTGCTCATCTCTGTCTGTTGTTCAGCTCTGCTTGCCTTACGAGGCCCCAGATGCCCTGGATGCCCTCAGTGTCAGACTGCGGAAGATGTGTCCCGGCTGTGACACGCGCTTCAGGGGAGGGCTGTTGGCGTCAGGTCCATGGAGAGGTATGGGAGTGGACATCTTGTCTGAGAGCAGACATTCTATTTCGGGTGTGTGTCTTGGTCCGTTCATCCTCAGTCTCCCTCCCATACCTAGGATGGCTTGTGGAGAGAAGGCCTGCCCTGAGGGCTGAAGTTGGGACCCACAGCTCTCACCCCGGCCTTGGTATGCTCCCATGGCTACGGCAGAGGCACAAGAAAGTAATTAGAAACGCAGAAACTCCTTAAGGCCAAGGCTGGGAACTGCTATATTTCTACCCACAGATCATTGACCAGAACAATTACACGGCCGAACCCAAGGCAAGGGGCGGGGAGGCCCACTCCACCCGGGAGGGGGTTGTGGTGAGGTGTGAATGCAGGAACCGGTGAGGATTTGCCACCACCAAGTCAGTTGTCCACGTGGACCACCTGAGAACTTGGGTTTTATTCATTGCTCATTCATCCCTCCCTAACCCGCAGCTTCCGGTCTGCCCCGGGGGCTCTTCTCCGGCTCAGGCTGATCGACAGTGGTGACGCTGTGCCAGGACCCCTGGTCATTCCATCTGTTTGAGGCAAATGTTAAAAAATCCCTTGCGCTACCCATTCTATGACGACTCCCTTGGCTCAGAGGCTCCATCAGGGCAGACACTTTGCTGTTTGTCCCTAAAGGGTGGGTGGTAGATCTCATCCATCTTATCTGGGGAGTTATTGTGACTCTCCTGGTCCCTCCTCATGTATCCTCAGGAGGACTTTTAGGATGCAAAATCACTGTTTCTGTGCCATTGTCATATTCTGTGCTACTGGAGGAGACTTTTTGTTATTGAGAAATTGAACACATCGTGCTCACAAGCAGCTCCAGGACACAATGCCACCTGTGCAGAGGGGGCAGACCTGTTAGATGTCTCCCAGGTCTTGAGGGGGTTGTATGCACGGCCATATCTTTGTCACCGGTTGCCCGGTGCGCATCAGGACCCATGTGCTCTCAGGAAGCCCGCAGGAGTGATACCAGCCGCGGAGAAGCAGTGTTGTCAACGGTGCTGACGTGCGGTACTTAATGAGAAGTTGCCCGTGTTTTTTTCGCTTTATTTGTGACGAAACATTCGCGGTGCACTTCTTTTTCAGTATCCTATTCTGCCTTGAAGACGTCTTGGTTTGGGTGCAACTTCAGGGAAGGCACATGGGCCCCTGTAGTGGACGCTGATCAGGACCTCCCTACCCCATGTCTTTTCTCCTTCCTAAATTTCTCCTTGTTTTTTTTTTTTTTTTTTTTTTTTATGAAAGCTCCCGTCTTCCCGCCGTGTGCTTTGATTGCATTGACCCTGCCCCACTTCCTCCACCAGCCCAGGCTTAAGCGAATCTCTTGATCTCTTCTCCTTTGCCACTGCAATTGCTTCCGGAATAGGCCCATGACCCCACTGGGCCAGTGATAGGCAAGGAGATGCTTGCTGCAGCTTCTGGGAAAGAAACTGTTTCTCCCTTTCCTGTGATAGCTGCCAGAGTAGACACTGTCTATTCCATTCAGCTGGGAATAGACAGTGAACTTTGACGTGAGCTTCGAAGGTCCCACAGCCGTTTAAGGACTGAGAGGAGAGGGCTTGGTGCCACGCAGACACAGCAGAGGGAGTCTGTACCATGAAAGGCATCTTGGAGACCTAGAGAAGAGCCTGGATGATATCATTTGAGTCCCTAGATCAAACCCTGCCTGAAGCTTGCTCTGTCTCTGTACTTTTTAGTTATATACGTCTATAAATCCCTTACTTGTTTAAGCCAGTTGGAGTTAGATCTTATCTTACTTGCAATACAAACAGATGATACCACAGTGTGTTTTCCAGTGTGACTGGGAAAGCCTGCATTTTTTTCAATGATGTGTTTCTCACGGTTTGCCTATCTATCTTCAGTGTCCTATTTAAGGCAGGGTTTTGGTGGAAGGTGACTTTTCTTATGGACTTATGCTTTCAAAGCTTTGTCTTAGTGATTTAATTTATGGTTGACAAATGATGCACAATTACCGTGTTTTGTGTCCAGCAATGGGTCACTGGGTCCTCTCTGGAAGGCCTGATGGATGGTGGGCCCCAGAACTTCTGCCCCGATTCACTCTCCCTCGAATCCACCTCTCTCTGGGAGGCTGCCCTGCAAGTGATGTGGACTTGGGGAAGCCGTTGTCCTTTCCTGGCCCCTGCTGTCCTTTGGCTCTCTGTGGGTTGGCTGTATTTGTCACAACTCACACTTAACTGTCAGTGTTTTAGAACCAAGCCATGCCTCCAGGGAACCCGGAGCACTTTAGAGAGGAGGTGCAGTGGTCAGCACCATGCAAGGTGCACAGAGAGATGGGTCCACCGAGAGCCGGGGCTGCCTTGGTGGTTTGTTTCTCCTGATTCGATATCTTTGTCTTCCCATCTCCTTCCTGGAACCATGGGCTCATGGAGGAGATTCTATTTTTGGGTCCAGGACCATCCCATTTTCTCTGAAGTGATGCTCTCCATGAGCATTTGCAGGGTTGATAGTAAACATTCCGAAAGCCGTCTGCCCTGATTATTGAATTCTGCCCATGAAGACTTCCTGGGATCCCGAAGTAGAGGGAGTCTGGGATCGGTTTGCTTTATCCGTGATGACTGTCCGCCTCTGCTCAGTGTCAGCCCAGCCCTTCGAAGCATGTCCCCCACCTCCCCTGGGGTGAGCCAACTTACCTGATGCTTTTAGGCTTAATTGAGCATAAGTTTGATTGGCAGCGTCTGCCCGGCCCTGCCCTCACGCCCTGACCCTCAGTGTCCCTTCACGCCCAGGTGTGCCTCTGGCAGGGAGGACGTGCTCATCTCTGGTACCTGAAAAGAAGTTGCCCATGTTATTTTCGCTTTATATGTGACGAAACAAACATGGTGCACTTCTTTTTCGGTATCAAATATCTCCTTGAAGTGCCTCCATCCCCGACGGGACCCTGAGCATGGGACCTGGTGTCACTACCTCTCTTGGTATGTACATGGAGGATTTGTCCTGGCAGCCCCTCGGTGACTTTGTGTGTTGGTGGGCTCAGGGACCATGCTCAGTCCTCAGTCCTCAGTCCACGCCCACCTCTCGGACAGGCACAGTTGGCGAGGCCTCAACCACATGCCAGTTCCCCGCTGCCAGGGAGGCTGGGGAGATGCACTTCCAGGCTCCATTGAGAAGCGTTCCCCAACATTTGAGAAGAGTTCAGATCATAGCAGCCAAGAAAAAAATAAAAAAGGAAGCAGCTGCCACAACAACAAAAACAAATAAGCAATGAAGACCCCTGCCCCCATCCGCTCTCTCCAGAGGCTTGAGGGGATGGCTGAAGGGGACATGAGGACATGCCATCTGGGGGACTGCCACCCGCACCTCCACAGAAGAATTGATTGGGGGTAGCAATTGTGGCAGAAGGCGTCCCTGTGGTTCTGGGAGATGGGATTTCTCAGAGTGGTGATTTACTGGAGCCTAATCCTCCCTGCCCCGCTCTTTCTTTACTTTTCTTTTCTTTTTTTCTTTCTTTTTTTTTTGACACAGAGTCTCGCACTGTCTCCTGGGCTGGAGTGCAATGGCACGATCTTGGCTCACTGTAACCTCTGCCTCCCAGGTTCAAGCGATTCTCTTGCCTCAGCCTTCCAAGTAGCTGGGATTACAGGCGCCCGCCACCAGGCCCAGCTAATTTTTTGTATTTTTAGCAGAGACGGGGTTTCACCATGTTGGCCAGGCTGGTCTTGAACTCCTGACCTCATGATCCACACCCACCTTGGCCTCCCAAAGTGCTGGGATTACAGGCATGAGCCAGTGCGCCCAGCCCCCGCCCCACTCTTTCTAGGTGCCAGTTCTGCCTCTGAGAGATGTGCTCCTTGATCACCAGCATCAGAGAGATGGTGTCTGACATTGGTGTCTGCCCCAAATCGGGAGCAGTGAACAATGGCTGACGGCAGAACACATGCCTTCCCGAAGACACTGCTGTCCGGGTGTCCAGTCCCCACATTCAGTCCATCCTTGGGCCCTGGAAGAGAAGAGGTTTCCCCAGTGTGTTCATTTTATTTGTGACGAATCATTTTTGGCCACTCTTTTTTCAGTATCAAATCCCACTTGAAGGGAAAGGCTGTTTGAGCTGGGAGCTTTGGTGGCATCAGCAGCTCTCTGGGGTGAGTGATGGGTGTTGCCCAGAGAGCATACGCGTCATCCCCACGGCCACCTGGTCCTCTGAACCTCAGCATCCCTGTCCCCCGAACCTCAGCATCCCTGTCCCCCAGGAGGGCTTCCTGGAGCTCTGCCAGCCAGAACTAGAGGCTGTGGGACTGCTCTCCGGGCTACACTTTGGTACTGGAGGAGAGGTTATCTGTGTTTTTTCCCTTTATTTATGATGAAAAATATGGTGCACTTCTATTTGAGAATCATGTGCCATCGGGAAAGGTCAGAACCCACTTCTGGAAGGAGATGCTAACGGCAGTCCATTGGTGACACTGGGACCATGCTGGCCTCAGCAGGTGCCCTTCAGACAGTGGGCAGCTGCTCCACCCATCCTTTGGGCTCTGGCCTCCCTCCAGAGAACTTCCCGGTGGCAGAAACACTTTGGAGAAGCAGCACCGGTCTTCATGTCAGGACATTCCATCAAGAAAGGCTGTCCAAGCTGTGGCCTGCATAGTCAACCTGTTTTACTCATTTGAGTGCCACCTTTCTAAATGATGGGGTGCCCACTTCAGGGAAGGTGCAGCTGTGGGAGCAGAAGGCAGGCCCCACAGTCTGTATATGACACGTGCCACTTGGCCGGTGGACCCTCAGCCTGAGGACCTCTGGAGGGGACACTGGCTCTGAGTCCCCTGTGGAAGGGGAAGCACAGTTGTTGGATGACGCGACATGGACAGTTCTCTTTCGACCAGATCCTTGTCTCCCATCGAGGGGGGATTCTGCTCTCACTGCTGCTTATGTCAGGAGAGGGTCACTGTTGCCTCCATCACCTCAGGTACGTCAGAGGAGGGCCTCAAGGAAGCCTTGCATCTCTGATGGTACGTATCCTTGTGTGTTAACCCTTGCCGTCTGTTTCCTTTGCAGGAGGACACCCTGGGCTCTGGAAGAGAGACAGCACCCCAGAAGCCGGCCAGGAATGGTTGGAGGGAGGCTATTGGTGATGTGTTCACTCTGTGTGTGGCAGATACCCCACAGTGGACCTCCTAAAGCACTGAGTGCCTCCTTGAAGGACTTGCTGTACGTGGTGTGAAGTTCAGGAACACAGTGTGGGTGTCTGTCAGCCCCTCGCAGAGGGTATGTGCGCAGATGGTGGAACAGCTGGCAAGTGTTTTCCTTTATTTGTTTTTTCTTTTGAGAATTGAGACTTTATTGAATGAATCACCATATAATCCTGTTTCCTAAGGTAAATCTATACATAAAAAGTTAGGTCCTACACCACCAATTTCTTGTTAAGAAATGGACCAAGAAATATGAACAAAACCATGTGTAACACAGTTTTCAGAGTTTTAGAAGAATGGCAAAATATACACTAGCTTGTCTCTTGATTGCCAAAGCTTAAACTCTAAAGAATAGGGAGGACATAGGTATACACTGGAAAAAAAAATGGCAAATACGTGAGGAGGATGGGAATGTTTGTGACTACATGGGAGGCAAACTGATTTTTTTTTTTTTGAGACGGAGTCTCACACTGTTGCCCAGGCTGGAGTGCAGTGGCGCAATCTCGACTCACTGCAAGCTCCGCCTCCCGGGTTCATCCCATTCTCCTGCCTCAGCCTCCTGAGTAGGTGGGACTACAGGTGCCCGCCACCACACCCGGCTAATTTTTTGTATTTTTAGTAGAGATGGGGTTTCACTGTGTTAGCCAGGATGGTCTTGCTCTCCTGACCTTGTGATCTGCCCGCCTCAGCCTCCGAAAGTGCTGGGATTGCAGGCACCCACCACCGTGCCTGGCTAATTTTTGTATTTTTAGTAGAGATGGGGTTTTGCCATGTTGGCCAGGCTGGTTTCGAACTCCTGACCTCAGGTGATCCGTCCACCTCGGCTTCCCAAAGTGCTGGGATTACAGGCGTGAGCCACTGCATCTGGCCAGCAACTTTTTGCATCTAAAAGGTGGATGTTCCTTCTATGCTTACAGGATTTATGGTTAATCACAGAGGAAGTACCATCAGGGAAGCCCATTCCAGGAGGAAGTGGGGAGGGGGCAGGTGAAAAAAGCGGAAGAAACCAATTAGGGGCATATGCAATTAAGGACAAGTCCTGAGCAGGGCTGCTGCAGCCACATCCCACAGCAGGGCCTGGGGAGTCAGCTGCACCTAGAGCTGAGGGCCCGGGGCAGACACGGATGTGTCAGTTCACTAGCCTGGGTACCCTAGCCAGGCCCCTCAGGGAGGGATGCCAGCCCCTTGGAAGAGACAGTGTGTGGGCTGACCTTTCTCCCAACACAGGGGAAGAAGAGTTCCTTGGCTGGTTACTACACCTACCCCAGCTCTTCCAGGCTGCCGCTGTTTCAGTTACCAAAAGAAGACCCCTAAGCCCAGCCAGCAGCTATTCCTCAATCACATGTCCCCCTCCTTCAGGACCATCCTGGCAAGACCCACTCCTTGGGACACGAATGATGTCTGGCCACACAGAATACATGTTTATGACTCAGACCGTCCAATTCCCTAACCAGCTATGTCCCACTGGTTCTCAACAGGGCCTCGTGGAGGCAGCCCCGACCTGGGGGAAGTGGCCTTGCTCTGGCTGGTATGTGCAGAATGCTTGTCCATGTAGACGTGCTTTATTTATGCCAAATCGTGCTTGGGGGCTTCGGGGGATCAGACTTGCTTCCTCAACAAGCTGTGACTGCAGGGGAGGGACTGGCTAATAGCAGACAATGGGTGTTATCTGGTCCACTCACTGATCCATTCGCCAGTAGGAGGAATGTCTAACTCTGCATGTGTGAGAAGTAGTGGTTTTCAAGTACAAGACTTTTTTGAACCAGTTCCAGCTTTAGAGAAGTGAGATTGGTGTAGGTTGTCCGTGTGTGGAATGTGAATGGAGGGTGGGACATGGAGCATACGCTTTGCTTGTGGAAAATGTCTCCTGGTCCTCAGAACTGAAGCCGTTTTAGCGGCACTTCCTGGAGTGATGGCACCCTTGCGAGATAGGGTTTGAGT
This sequence comes from Homo sapiens, assembly GCF_000001405.40. Classification (NCBI taxonomy): domain Eukaryota; kingdom Metazoa; phylum Chordata; class Mammalia; order Primates; family Hominidae; genus Homo; species Homo sapiens. The sequence continues at coordinate 101,038,057 of NC_000014.9, forward strand.
CTGGGATTATTGGTCCTTCATTTTTTGCTATGGGAGGCATGTGTTGTCGCTATTTTAGTAAGCCTCTGCATCCACTCCACCCCAAAAATGATTTTTCTGGAAGCTGTGATCATTGTTTTTGGAGGGTGGTATTAGTGGTGGTGGTGGTGGTGGTGGTGGTGGTGGTGATGGTGGTGGTGGTGATGGTGGTGATGGTGGTATTGGTGGTGGTGGTGGTGGTGGTGGTACTGATGGTGGTGGTGGTGGTGGTGGTGGTGGTGGTGGTGGTGGTGGTGGTACTGATGGTGGTGGTGGTGGTGGTGTTGGTGGTGGTGGTGTTGGTGGTGTTGGTGGTGGTGGTTGTGATGGTGGTGGTACTGGTGGTGTTGGTGGTGGTGGTGTTGGTGGTGGTGGTGTTGGTGGTGGTGGTTGTGATGGTGGTGGTGGTGGTGGTATTGGTGGTATTGGTGGTGGTGGTGGTGGTGGTGGTACTGATGGTGGTGGTGGTGTTGGTGGTGGTGGTGTTGGTGGTGGTGGTGGTGGTGGTGGTGGTACTGGTGGTGGTGGTGGTGGTGGTGTTGGTGGTGGTGGTGTTGGTGGTGTTGGTGGTGGTGGTGGTGGTGGTGGTGGAGGGTGGTGGTGGTAGGGGCTGGTGAGCATCATGTTTTGCTACCTCTCTCAGTTGTATTTAAAGAGACATTGTTTTTGACCTGTTTGCCTATTCCTCAGTCTGTCACACCAACATGACCAGTCCTGCCGATTGAAACTTTCTGGACACAAGCTTCAGTCTCTGGAAGATTCTTGGGTGTCCTTCTCCCTCCAAGGTATGTGAAGGATGCTCCAGCCCACAGTTACATGACATTGGTCATTAGGTGCCTTGGGAGGGCTTCATGGAGGCGATGTGACTTTAGGAACCTGACAGGCTTATTTTCTTTTTGTTTTTGATATTTTTCGAATTCAAAGCATAGAATCCCTACTTTGCCTGCTTTACTTGTGGCAAATTTTTGATGTACATTCACTTTTTTTTTTTTTTTTTTTCAGAATTAAATGCTACTTTGGAAACGCTCTTGACCATGAAGCCTCCATTAGGGAAGAGACATTAGGGTTACCCCCACCCAGACGAGTGACAGCAGGGCAGACCCCAAACTTACGTTTGCCTGCATAGGAGTTCCATCTCTGGATGTGAAGAGGCCAGGGGTGGGCCCTGCGCTTCCCACGTGGGACTCGCAAAGTGCTCACCTGCTTCTGTTACCTTCTGTCTTTCATGAATCATGTTTGCGTTTGTGCTCTCCAGGGCTGTTCCCACTTTTCCCATCTAAAAGGTGGATGTTCCTTCTATGCTTACAGGATTTATGGTGAATCATAGAGGAAAATCCGCATTTTCAGTATCTAAGGCTGCTTTTAAAACATTTCTGAACATTTCTGAGAGGAAGGTTAGCTCCCTCCCCCATGCGGAGAGTGATGGAAGGTGAATCCCAGAACCTAAGCTCTTGTTAGCAAGGTCTGTCCTGGGACATGCGTCCTCCGCAGGGCCCATGTCACTGCCGCTAGCCCGGGAGGCCCCTGCCGACTGCACCTATCCTGTGCTGTCTTTAATTTTGATAGATTGTGCTTAGGTTCATGCTTTCCAGGACTCAATCCTTCTTTGGTATTTAAAAGGTGGATATTCCTTCTATGTTTATGTTATTTATGGTTAAACATAGAGGAAATTCCACGTTTTCAGTATCAAATGCTGCTTGGAAACATTCCTGGACTGAAACCACCATCAGGGAAGAGACAATAAAGTCCCCCCCCCCACTCCAGGGTAAGTGGAAAGTCGGTGGACCTCAGAACATGTGCTGAATTCGTGCCATATGTCTGCGGACCACCCACCCGCCTTGAGGAGACCCCTCTCGCAAGCTGCCCGCTCGGCCAAGCGGCTGGGCTCCGTCGTCATTTTCTCCATGAGGCCGAATGCTCTCCTCTGTGCTATGTTACTTTTGTGTTTGATGGATTGTACTTAGGTTCGTGCTTTCCGGGATGAAACCTTCTTTGGTATTTAAAAGGTAGATTTTCCTTCTATGGTTACGTGTTTGATGGTTAATCATAGAGGAAAATCCACGTTTTCAGTATCAAATGCTGCCTTGGGATCATGGCTGGACTGAAGCCACCATCAGGGACGTGAGGTGGGGCTGAGCCCTCCAGGGTAAGTGGAAAGATGGTGGGCCGCAGAACATGTGCTGAGTTCGTGCCATATGTCTGCTGACCATCACCTTTAGAAGCCCCCTTTCGCTGAGGAGCCAGCTTGGTGCACAGGCTGTGGTGTGTTGTCACAGCTATGCTACGGGACTGAAAACGGTTGCTTTACTGTCTTGCTTCCATTTTCCATGAACTGTGTTCAGATTTGTCCTTTCCAGAGCCCAGTCCTTCTTTGGTATTTAAAACGTGGATATTCCTTCTATGTTTACGTGATTCCTGGTTAATCATAGAGGAAAATCCATGTTTTCAGTATCAAATGCTGCTTTGGAAATGTTTCTGGAAGAGACCGTAGGGCCTGAGTAGGTGCAAAGATGGTAGGCCGCACGTCGTATCTGAATGAACGGGGTATGCCCGAGAACCATCTCGAGACGCCAACTTGGTGAAGATTAAATTGTGGGTCTCGTGGTGCCAGTTCTTCCCTGGAAGCTCGTCTGCCTCATGTGACTTTCTTTTCTGATGACTCAAGCACAGGTGCACGCTTTCCTGGATGGAATCCTTCTTTGGTATTTAAAAGGTAGATTCTCCTTCTATGAGTACATTATTTATGATTAATCATAGAGGAAAATCCACGTTTTCAGTATCAAATGCTGCTTTGAAAACCTCGGAGGACGTGAAGTCGCCATGGAAGAGGAGATGTTATCTGTACCCCTCCTGGGTACAGGACGGACAGACACAGAATTGTACTTTGTATGAAATACGCCGTCAGCTTCTCTGCTGTTTGCTCACTGCCCTTGGTGCACACATAATGTGTTGTTACAAGGCTGTGTTCTCAGTATTGCCTCATTGACCTTGAATGAAGTTTGTTCTCTGTATGTTTACCATGATTGCAATGCATTTTCTGGAATGAACCTCTTTTACTGTGACTAGTTGTACCTTAGAGAATACCTGAGTGGGCTGTCAATTTCAGGAAGGGGCACTGCTTCAGGGGCTATGGAAGGAATAGATGTGTGATTCACCCACGGGCCTGCACTTCACACCTCGGTGTGCTGCTCTCACCATGCAGATCCCATCTGTGTCTCTAAGGCTTGCTCCTGGAGCTGGTGGCAACTTAGTCACAGAGGAAATGGCCTTCCTGTCACTGCCATCATTTGCTACTTGAAGAGAGGTAATCCTTCACGCATTTGCTTTACTTGCAATGATTATACAAGGGCAGACTCTCTCTGGGGAGCAAATCCTGCCTGGGAAGCCTTCTTGGGAACAAGGCTGACTCCAGCAACCTGTTAGATGGCCAGGATAGCCCTGGGGTGTGGATGGTTGACCACAGGGCATGTGCCTCTGTCTTGCTGTTTGTGACCTGGTTCTCTGACCCTCCTCATCTCATGCTTCCTTCCAAGAACTTTCTGGAAGAGATGCTGGCTTTGGAGATGATATAGGGTTTTCTCTTCAGACCACCTGTTCTGCCTAGCAAAAAGGGCCTACCTTGGCCGGGCACGGTGGCTCACGCTTGTAACCCCAGCCCTTTGGGAGGCTGAGACGGTGGATGGCTTAAGCCCAGGAGTTCGAAACTAGCGTGGGCAACTTGGCGAAACCCCATCTCTGCAAAAAATACAAAAATTAGCTGGGTGTCATGGTGTGCGCCTGTGGTCCCAGTACTTAGGAGGTTGAGGCTGGAGGATCACTTGAGCCCGGGAGTTGGGAGGTTGTAGTGAGCCAAGATTGTGCCACTGCACTTCAGCCTGGCTGACAGAGACCCCTGTCTCAACACAATAGGTTAAAAAAAAAAGAAAAGAACAAAGGGCCTCCCTTGATGGGCCCTACTTATCACAAAGCATCCATGGGCTGCTACTCCGGCAGGTCTGCCCAGCATGATGCCAGCCTCTGAGAAGAGGTCTCGTGGTCAGTGCATCTCCCAGATACATGAAAGAATGACCGTCAGCAAAGTCAATGTCTAATGTAGATGTGGGTCATCTGGTCTACCCACTCTCCATACCTAGCCCATCCTTGGAGTGACTTTTGGACCTCACTGTCCACTTGAGGGAAGGCCAGTCCACAGGAAGGAGGCCCCAGAGCACCCAGTGTGGCTACAGGACTTGCTGCTGGGACCTCTAAGCCCCACTGCTCTCTTAGTCCATTGGTGTCCTTTAGGGATTCTTGCCAATGGAAAGACCCTTGGATTCCTGGTGTTAGCATGTGTTTATTCAGAGAGAGTTGGCCCATGAGAATCTCATTTTCCTTTGACGAATCTTGCCCTAGATGAATACTTCTGAGTAACAACTAACTGCTCAGATGGCTTTCTGAATACAATGCCAAATTCAGGAGAAGGGACACTTGTCATAGTGCTGCTTTGTGATTTGCAAACGGAGTGCGTTGGATTTCTGTTTCTCTTTTTTCTTTAATGATGCATGTGACTGCATCTTCTAACCTCCCTTAGCCAGTGTTCACCAGGAGGGCTTCCTGGAGGCAGTGGCTTTGGGCAGAGGCAGAGGTTCTTCTCCCAGGGTGTTTTTGCAGGCCCTAAAGGGATTTCAGCCATTTTACATTTACATTATTTCAAATGGTACAGGATTGCCTGTCTTTTGGTAACCAATCCTGTCGTGAAGAGATGCTGGGAAGTAAAGTCAACTGTATGGCAGGCCCCAGCTCCAGGGCCAGCCAGATGAGGCTTGTCACCTGGCCCCTCCCCCTTGGTCTCAGGCCTCGCAGGAGGAGATGTCCACTCCGGCGAAGACCCGGCATAGTCCTCACCTGCTCTTTGAGCCACTCTTTGGTACTTGAAGAGAGGATACCCTTTGTATGTTCACTTGATTAATGGCGAATATACAGGGGGAGACTCTTATTTGCGTATCAAACTCTGTCGAGGAAGACGCTCAGACCCTGCTGTCTCCAGGACAAAGCCTCGGATGTCAGCCCCTCTCAGGTACGGCTTGGCTTCCCTGTCTGGGAACGTGAGCTTGGCTGTGATCCTAGCCCTTGGGTTCTGCCTTCGCTCTCTGTGCTGGTTCTTCCTGTGGACTCCCTGGAGGCAGTGGGAGAGGAGGGTCCTTTTTGTGTGCACTGAGTTTAATGGTGGTTTGCTTTTTTTAAGGATAAATCACATGGATCTGCCTCTTCTCCATACCAAGTCATACCCAGAGGGCTTCCTGCGTCCAGCACTAACCTCGCACCTCTCCGGACACACGAATGGGTGGTGGATGGTGGAGCGCAGAGCTGATGCTGCTTCTCACCTGCTACTCCCCTGACCTGCCACTCCCTGGTGGTCTCCATCCTTGAGAGAGTGTCAGCCTTGAGGGAAGCACATGGATGTCAGGTTGTTCTAAGGCAAGTTACTGGTGGAGCTCCCTGAGCCTGCCTGTGCCCTCTGGGACTGTCGCTGGACTCCAATGGCCAGTCCTCGGAGCACATTGTCCAGTGATTGCACCTGAGTGTGCCTTGGGCAGGTGTGTCTGGTCTTCAGGACTCCTTTGTCGCTAGAGTCTGACGCTGGGGCCCTCTTTTTGTTTGTTTCGAGGTAGGTACAGGTGACACATTCTTGGATCTGGTCATCTCTAGGACAACCAGCCTCAGAGGAGAGACATTGTCTCAGCGCTCTCCAGCTCTGAGAATGCCTGCAGATGCCTTCTTCTCTGATAACTCCATGTCTTGCCGGGCTGAGCCCTCACACCCTGTGCCCCTTTGGAGAAAGGTGATGGTTCCATTGTCCATGTAGCTTGTGGGTATTTGAAGCAGGTTCACCCATGCATGCTGAGCACACTGATAGTCATGCCTACCTGTTCCCTTGTTTAGAAGCCAGTCTCGCCTGCAGGGAGTCCTGGATGTGCCACCTTTCGGGGCCAGGCCACAATGTGCAAGGTGCAGGCCCAGCTCCAGGGTCAGCCAGATGAGGCTTGTCACCGGGCCCCTCCCCCTTGGTCTCAGGCCTCGCAGGAGGAGATGTCCACTCCGGCAAAGACCCGGCATGGTCCTCACCTGCTCTTTGAGCCACCCTTTGGTACTTAAAGAGAGGATACCCTTTGTATGTTCACTTGATTAATGGCGAATATACAGGGGGAGACTCTCATTTGCGTATCAAACTGTCGGAGAAGACACTCATACCCTGCTTGTCTCCAGGACAAAGCCTCGGATGTCAGCCCCTCTCAGGTATGGCCTGGCTTCCATGTCCGGGAACGTGAGGTTGGCTGTGACGCTGCCCCTGGGTTCTGCCTTCGCCCTCTATGCTGGTTCTTCCTGTGGACTCCCTGGAAGCAGTGGGAGAGGAGGGACCTTTTTGTGTGCTCCAAGTTTAATGGTGGTTTGCTTTTTTAAGGATAAATCACACATTGATCTGCCTCTTCTTGGTACCAAGTCATACACAGAAGGCTTCCTGTTCCCAGCATCAGCCTTAGAAGGGGGACCTGGATGTTGGATCATTTCAAGGGGAACACAGACAGCAGTGATGGTGGACCACGGAGCACTGGCTCTGTCTATGCTGTTTTCGAGCCTGGTAGGCCAGCCCCAGGAGGGCTTCCTGGAGGTGGTATTGACCTTGGGGAAGGGGCTGAGGTGTGCTCATCAGCGCTTTTTTTTTTTGATGCTTGGGTGTTCATGATCCAGCTCGCAGTCCCCAGGCTGAATCTGTAAGAATGGTTTGCTTCTATTTGTCATTTGTGATTGCCCATGAAGGCAGCGCTGGGGATGAGCCGTGGGAGCTGTCAGCCCCGCACCAGGTGCGTGCATGTGGGAGGTCAGAGGGCGCCTGCTTCTGCCTCGATGTCTGTGCCCCGTCTCTGACTGCTGGCTTTCTGCTCACACCTAGGATGGCTGCCTGAGAATGGGACTCTTGTTCTGTGTTTGTGGAGACACTCCTTGGGCCGTGTGACTGCCGGCTTTTTACACCCCGACTGCCATGGGGGTCATCTGGACCCGAAGCCAGCTTCAGGAAGGACATTCGCAGCATCCTCAGCCCAAGGAAAGCGAACGTCCAGCTGAAGAGAGGTGAGCACCACGCCTGGGTAATGAGTCACATAACCTGCCACCTGGACCAGGCGGCTCCCGCTCCTCTCCCCTTCTTGAAGGAGAGACCACTGTGGGGAATGGGCTGTGGGTCTGCTTCCTCAGTTACTTGGGGGTACGTGGGGTTTACTACTGTTGACCCTGTGCTCTTTCTTAGCATGGCTTCATGGCCACGATGCCAGCCTCTGGCAGGGGTGGGGCAAGGGCTGGCATGGAGAATGACACTGGTGTCAACGGCTCTGTGAGATGGATGAAGGGATGGTGACCACAGGGCCTTTGCTTTGTCTAAGGTGTAAATTCATCCAGTGCCTGGGACCTCGGTGCTGAGTGCATCCTTAGGAAAACTTCCTGGAGAGGTGCCCACACTGGGAAGGAGATGGTGGTCCCACCCCAGGGAATTCCTATAGAAAGTGAGAAGCTGAGCTCTGCGTGTGCCCAGGAAGGCCCGTGGGGTGGATCTCCTTTTCAGGAACAAGTTCTAATCTGGAGTGATGCCTGGAAAAGAGGCTGATTCTGGTGAAGGGGCACTGGCGTCTGCCCCTTCCTGGCCCCTTTGGGATGGAGAGCTGACCTATGGGCACACAGCTGGCAGGTGGTGTTTGCCACCTGGTCTGCTGATCCCGCATCTCCCACCCCCTCCCCCGCCAGGATGAACCCCGGGAGAGGAGGCCGGCCCCGTGAATGATAGTGAGGAACCTGCCCAGTGCTATTGTTTGGTACTTAAAGCGAGGTTGCCCTTTGTATATTCGGTTTATTGACATGGAATATACAAGGGCAAGCTCTCTGTGAGTATCAAACCTTGTCTTGGACCCAGTCCACACTCAGCAAGGGATGCGGTATGTGTGTGCATGACCGTGTGTATCCGTTTTGTGTGTGGCAAATCGTTCACGGGTCCCCACTTCACAGAGAGGACTTCACGGGCACCTGGATGACTTTAGGGAAGGCAGTGGCCTCTGGGACATCCCCTCTCCTGGTGCAGTGTGGGCGGGGCCAAAAGCATGCACGATGTGTGTGGTCTGGGTCCCTGCTTCCTGAGCGGGAAGTCATCAGCCCGGGCCGATGGCTGGGGTGGCGCTCGTGTGGGGTAGTGGCTTTGTGGTCCCTGCTGTTACTCGGTCCGTGAGTGTGCATGTTCTGCTTGGGGTATGTGACCCGGTCCACTAACCCTCAGCATCTAATTCATCCCCAGGACCGCGCCTTGAAGACGTACCAAGTCCACCCAAGGCAGTGGCTTTCTTTTCCGTGCTAACCTTTGGTACTTGGAGAGTGGTTATCCCTGTCCTGTTCGTTTTGCTCATGTCGAATCGTACAGGGTCATCCACTTTTTCAGTATCAAGAGCGCAGACTCTGGAGCTCGATTTCCTGTGTTTGGATCCCACCTCTGACATTTACTAACCGTCCAACCTTGGGCAAGGATCTCATCGTGCTGTGCCCATTGTCTCACATGTCAAAGGGGAATCACATTGGCGTCCATTTCTTGGGGCTGCTGGGGCTGAACGAGTTAAGACTTGTACACGGCTCAGAGCAGAGCCCCGTGGTCGGCACTTCGTAGGTGGTAGCCAGGACCCTTGTGTGCTGTGAAACTATCATTGGTGGTGGTGGTGGTGGTGGTGGTGGTGGTTTTATGACTAAAATCTCTCCATGGGTTTTTGGAACAGTGTCAAAACATGGAAGTCAAGTCCTTCATCGGGTATGGAATGGACTAGGAAGCCCAGAGCATACACGGTGTTTACAATGGGGGCTAGTGATGCTCTTGATGCTTGGCAGCTAAGCCATTCACACAGTGGCTTTTGATACAGAATGCCACATGCAGTGGGGGTCAGCAGGGGTGCCGAGAACATTTGCTCCACTTAAGAGAGACAGTCCCTGGGTTCTTGACCTCGGCCACTATCTACGCTTTGAAGGAGTCTTGAGCGAGGATGCCAAGCTGAGTGAGGATTCTATGGCATCTTGCTTCCCTGGTGCTTAAAGAGAGGTCAAACTTGGTGCATGCATTGTGCATGCCTGTGTGTGCGTGGTGTGTGTGCATGAGCGAGTGTGTGACTGGGTTTGCCACGAAGCAGTCACCATCTAACCTTGAGCCAAAGACCTGGAGGTGGTGGTCCGTGCTGCTGTTTCATACTTGAGGAGAAATTATCCTTGGTGTGTTCGCTTTATTTATGATGAATCATACAAGGACAATTTCTTTTTGAGTATCAAATCTTGCCTCGGCAGACTTCCTGGACGCCATGACAAGTTCTGTAAAGGGATGCACGCATCAGCCCTTCCCAGGGGCTCACGCCTGGGTGGGGATGAGGGCGCATGCAGTTGGTTTGTGGTGGGGACACTTGTGCCCTAACCTCAGAACCCTGGAGGCGGGGCCACGCTTGGCAGGGGGCCACGGGACTCCTTGGTGCTATCAGGGATTTGCATTGGCCATGGGTGTGTGTTGTGGGTGACGCAGCATTCAAGCTACTTATCAAATCCTGCTTCTTGGAGGCACTTCTTGGACATGAAGCAAACCTTAGGGACCGATCATTGGGGCCAGACCCCCTTCCCCTGCCCAAGAGTGTGACTGACCCCCAGGCATGGGCTTGACTCTCAATGTGTGAAGCTGACCTGCTAATCCTCATTGTTTGGACTACCTGAGAAGAACTTTCTGGAAGAGACACCAACTTTGGAGAAGATGCCCAGCTCTTCTTGATGGCACAGTTCTTTGGTGCTTAAAGAATGGCTGTCCGTAGTATGGTCTCTATATTTATGATGATTAATATCGGACAACCATTGTTTTAGTATCCAAATTTGCTTCAGAAGTTTTTGAAAGCACAGTGCTGACTTCAGTGAGGGGACATTGGTGCCTGCCCCACCATGGAGTGTGACTGTGTTGATGATTTATAATGATGAATCCAGTGATCTCAGAATGCAAGCCACCAGTGTGATTTCCTTGGACAAATGCTAGCTTTGGGGTGGAGATGCCATTTAGGGGCTTGGTGCCATATCTTTTTATTGGAAGATGTTCACAATTATTTCATCTCTCTTTCTCTTCTTGTTATTAAATCTTAGCCACGAGGAATTCCTTGGAGAGATGCCGGGGTCAAGCCTCTCTCTAGGTAGATGGTGGACCGGGGAACCTGGGTCCAGCCTCTCCTATCTGTAGCCTTCATTCTGAGTATGAAACACTTCCTGTAGGGAATGCAAACATTAGTAAAAACTCCGTACATTTCCTGTTACTATTACTACTTTTTGGCAGCTCCTAAGCAGCTGCCTGTTGGGTATTTGGATTATTCTTGGTGGACGTGGCATGGCTTCGTGCCTTCCTTGGGAACCACCCCATCTTAGACAGACTCTCATGGAATAAGACGTTGTGGTCGACAGCACCTCTGGGGTGTGTGTGTGTGTGTGTGTGTGTTTGTGTGCGTGTGCATATGAATAGTTGGCTAGAGTAGTGTTTCTCAAACTTTAAAAATGCTCCTAAGATTTTCATCACCTAGGGATCTTGTTAAAAAGCAGATTCTGATTCAGGGACCAAGATTCTGCATTTTTAGCAAGTTCTCAAGTGATGCTAATACCGCCGGTCTGTGGACAACACTCACAGTGGTTTGGGGCTGGAGACCAGGTGCTTTCCCTGTGATATGTGTCGCCTGTCTCCCCACATGCCATATACCGTCCATCGTGGGAGAACGGCCCAGAATCAACGTGCCATGTTTTGGTTTGTGAACAAGGGTTCACTTTCACATGCGTAAATAGCATGAGATTACTTTTCTTTAAAATCAAATCATGCCTCAAAGGGCTTCCCAGATACAAGACCTGCTTCAGGGAGGGGCCGCCGGTGTCAAGCTGCTGCAAGATTGTCGGGTGCAGGTCAACGGCACGCTTATTCATTATTGATGTGCTGGGCCCTGGAATTCTGTGACCCTCCGTTTCCAAGCAGTCATCGGGAGGAAATTCCAGGAACTGAGACCATCTCTGCGGTAGGGACCCTGTCTTCAGGGATCAGTGACACCCCATTTTATCGGAAACAGAATTCTTCATGATGGCTTTGCTTATCTCTGACATGCATTCTGCTGGTTCTCGTCATCAAATCCCGTCTTTCAGGAATCCGTGGAGGAAGCTTTCATATATTTTTAATGGAACCTGCCTTAGAAGTCTTTCTGAGCATGGTTCCAATGTCAGGGTTTTGACTTTGGTGCCAGGGCTGCCTGGGCCCTGAGACTGAGGTACGGGAATGGAAGGTCAATGCCAGTACGTGTGCTTTCTTTGCAGGATGTGAACACCTCCCTGCCCCAACCCTGGGATTCAGCTCATCCCAAGAAGAATCTTCTGGAAGCAAAGACAACGGTGGGGAAGAGGCCATGGTTTTCGTTTCAGAACTATGCAAGGATATTTGAGGAGAGGTTATCCGTGTTATGTTCGCTTCATTCATCATGAATAATACATGGTTAACCTCTTTTTGAATATCAGACTCTGCCTCGGAGGGCCGCCCCCACAGGAGACGTGAGAGTGTGTGCCTTGTGTGAGCTGAGAGCCCCTGCCCCGGCTCCGTGCTGCGTGAGGGAAGCTTCCTGGAAGTGAGGCTGGTGGAGGGAAGAGCCCTGGGTTGCTTTGCTGTGTTTGCTGTGAATGCGATGTGTTTTTGCGAGTTATGTGAGGTTCCCTCCTCTTTGAATGCCAACTTGTGCCTTCCCCCAGTGGCTGGGTCTGTGGCTTAGCCACAGGGCTAGGTCCCTTCCTGGACCCAGTGCTTTTCAGGGTGGGTCCCTGGGGGCAAGGACAAGGTTTACCACTCCACTGGGACACTTGAGGAGAGGTTAACTCCTCCATGCGGACTCCTTTGAGGACAGCCTGTTTTCCTCTCAGGGTGGCTCCCTGGATGAAGTCCAGCACCTCTGTGGGTGTGTGAAGGGCAGGCCGACTTGGGCTGTGTTCCCACTCCTCACCCAGGTCACTGGCCCAGTGCCACTTCCTCCTCAGGTCAGCTTCCCTCTGCCAGCCGACCTGGTGGGGTCTCCTGGTCCATTGCTTGGTGCTCATAGACACTGGCACGGTGCCAGGTTCCCTTCACTCCTTCCCGATGGAGACCATGCAGCTAATGAATCTTCGGCTCTGTGATGCTGCCTTGGAGGGCTTCCTGCACACAGCACCTGGTTTGAGAGGAGAACACGGACTCCAGCGTGTCCCCTGGTTATGGAGAAGGGAGGCTGTCCTTGATCCCCCGTTTGGTGGATGATATAGTTTGGCTGTGTCTCCACTCAAATCTCATTTTGAATTCCTTTGTGTTGTGGGAGGGTCCTGGTGGGAGGTAATTGAATCAGGGGAGTGGGTCTTTCCCTTGCTGTTCTTGTGATAGTGAATGGGTCTCATGAGAGCTGATGGTTTTATAAGGCAGAGTTTCCCTGCACAAGGTCTCTGTTTGCCTGCTGCCATCCACGTAAGACCTGACTTGCTTCTCCTTGCTTTCCACCATGACTGTGAGGCTTACCCAGCCACGTGGAACTGTAAGTCCAATTGAACCTCTTTCTTTTGCAAATTGCCCAGTCTTGGGTATGTCTTTATCAGCAGCCAGAAAATGGACTAACACAGTGGAGGGCAGTGGCACCAAGCCCCGCCCCCTTCAGGATGTGGTCCCTGTGTGGGGCAGCATCCTGGAGTGGCTGCAAAGCCCCACTGCTCTCTGCCTCCGTGGCTTTGTCCTATCTGAGGTGGCCAGTGCGCTGGGGTCCCTGTGTGGAGTCAGTTCTTTATGGGTGCCTGCAGGTGCCGGCTTCACAGTAAGAAAACTGTCAGCTTCGCCTGAGGTATGGGCACAGAGGTGACGCAGGGATATGAACTTTGTTGACGAATGTGTTCTCTGCACAGCTAACCCAGAGAATTCATTCCACCCTCAGGAGAAGCCCTAGAAGTGATACAGGCTCTGGCCGGGGGACCCGATGTGCTCGTGTCGCGGCGTGGGGCTTGGTGAGGAACCACCGGAGTGCTCTTGCATTTTTCATGACAAAGACCACACAGTTGGCCTCATTCCTGCACAGTGGGAGAATGTGTGGAGGTGTCCCGCCACCAGAGAGGAGGTCTATGTCAGCACCATCACCAGGTACCTGGGGGAGGGTCTGCTGACGATGCCCAATGTTCAATGGCCCAAGCAACCCGTCCTTGGGGGACTTCTGGGCAAGACCATTTCGGTGCTCAGCCCCACTCCGTGTCCCAGGCAGAGAGGGGGCTGAATTGATGATACCTATTAAATGGGTCATTAATTCTCATTATCCATGCAGCCTGCCCATGAGGGTCCCCCAGAAGGGAGGGCAACTCCGGGGAAAGGTTCTGGCCATCAGCACGAGGCCACGATCCAGGAGGTGCTGCAGAGCCAGAGGCCACAGGACAGATTATCAAGCCAGGTCACAGGCTTTCTCTGTCCTTGACCCTCAGCATCCAGGCTACCTACAAGAGGAGGCAGGGGGACTCCTCTGACACACCTGGGGAGGTCTCGTCAATGGCAGGTTCCCTCTACAATGCTTTCTCTGCTGCAAATGCAACTCAGCATCACCTCTTTCCTGGATATAATTCCAAGGAATTATTAAAGGAGGCATTGGTGTCAGCACCTCGTGAAATACTCGTAAGGATGACCCATGGCAGAGCCTGTGTCTTCATTGGAGTAAGACTCACATGCTGTGGCCTCCAGGCTCTGGAGGCCTCGGGGGCAGAGCAGGGTTGAGGCTGACCGTGGGGCCTCGCCTGGGTTTGTGGCTTATCATATTGGACCACTGTTTTTCAGGACAAACTCCCCGGAGATGTCCCCTGGCAGGACCCTGACCTGGAGGCAGGGTGCTGTCCATGATAGGGGAATGGATGGTTGATCAGAGAACGTACATTTTATAAATGGTGTATGTCAGTTGATCCACAGTCCCTACCTATCCAGTGACTTCTGGAGGCCACATCAGCTCAGAAGACAAGGTGGTGGTTTCCTAGGCCATGCTATTTTCTGGCACTTGAAAGGACCTTCTCCTTGCCGGGTTTGCTTTCTTTATGCCCAGTCTCATGAGGGAGTGCCTTTTTTGAGTATGGATCTTGCTGGGGAAGCTTTCTGGAAGGAGCTGTTGCCCTTCGTCCCTCTCCAGGGGCAAGAATGCATGGTTGGCTGGAAAGCAAGGGCTTGATTGACATTGTGCACCCCTCAACTCTCCTAACCCTCTGTCCCCAATTCATCCTCAGGCGGACTAGCTGGAAGGAAGGCAGACTCTGGTGAAGACGTGGGCCGTCACCGTCAGCCTTCGGTACTTGAAGAGTGGTTATCCCTGCTGTGTTCGCTTAATTTATGACGAATCATACAGGGACATCCAGTTTTTCAGTATCAAATACTGCTTTGGAAGGCTTCCCGGACAGCGTCCCGCCTTCAGGCAAGGGGTCTTGGCTTCACCTCCCACCCAAGGTATGTATGTGAACGGGCCATCGCAGTGCACTAGCTTCTTCATGTGCCACAGCCATGACCAGAATCGAATCTCTGAGGAAGATGGTTACTTCTAAGGCTGTGATTTTCTGGAAGGGGCTTTGGTGTCTGCACTACATTATTGGGGGAAGTTGACCAGTGAGAGGCCCATTCACACAAGACGTCTGTCACCTGCTCCAAGTGACCCTCACCCTTGGTAAGATGAATCTCTGGAGACATGCTGGCTCGGTAGTGTTACTGTCATCAGCCGGACTGACTGATAGGTAATTGGTCATCATTATTGCTTTTGTTCCAGGGCAGAATTTTTGAGTGCCAAATCTTGCCAGGGAAGGGTTTCTGGAAGCAGCACCGCCCTCTGGGGAGACTTGGCATCCACATCTGTTGGAGTTTGTGGAGAGTTAGTTGAGCAGTCTGAGCTTTGTTTCTGAGGCGTCTCCCTGAGCTCACTCTCCTGCCAGAGCTGTGTCCTGCCCATGGCCATAATGGCTATTGAGAGGGTTGGTGACTTTGGCCACCATGATTTTGTTTCGATAAAGTTCTCTCTTTTTAAAAAAATCAGATTCTTTTGTTTATAGCATAACTACATGGTTCATGAGTTGATCAAATAACAAGGAATGACTTGGTCATTCCATAAATAGTGATGGAGTGCACACTGTGTTCTAGGTGATTCTGGACCTTAGCAGAGAGCAGTGAATGAAATCAAGTTCTTGCTCATGTGGACTTTACATTCTGGTGGAAGAGACGGATGAGAACACATGAATTAGGAAGCGTAATTTTGTCCACTGCTAGGTTTTATGGGGAAAGGGAAAGCGGGTTACAGTGACAGAAAGAGGTAAAAGCAGGTGGACCTTTGTGTTAAATACAGGGGTCTGGAAAGCTCTCTCTGAGGATGTGGGTGGGAATGGAGTGGGGTGGACCAGAGGAAGGTCTGGGGTAGGAGCATTTCAGGAGGAGGGCAAGGCCCATGGAAAGCCCCCTGGCATCTTTAAGAAAAAGCAAGAAGGCCAGTGGGATTGAACCGAGCTGCTGGGAGTCGCTGGGTCTGAGCTGGGAGAGGCAGGACTCCAGGTTTTATTCTGAGTGAGATGGGGGATTTGGAAGGGTTGTGAGCAGGGGGGATGCGTGGTCTGTGTTGGAAAGATCACTCTGACCACAAGGGCATTGATAGAGAATCTACCCAGGGCAGTGATGGGGAACCTACCAGGAGCCTGGCGTGCCTGAGCTGGGCAGTTTCTCTAGGGGCACCTGCAGTGGCAAAAGGGGGCCCCCTCTGGACCTCCCTAGTTCAGTGGGCCCTGCGGGAGCCTGGCTGGCACCTTGATGTGCTTGATGGATAACTCAGTGTGCTCTGTTGAGAAGTCCAAGGCCCTGTTCAGAAACCCTGGGGTCTACACACTGCGGAGTGCTCCTGGCGTGTGACAAGTGGCTTCCCTCTTCTTATTTCTAAACCTTGTGCGTGTGGATTCAGGACCACAATTTCAACTCCAGGGAAGGGGGACTGTGCCAGCACCACTCCAAGGGAGGTGAGTGAAGGGTTGCCCAAACTCCAGTGTGTTCCTAGGACACCCGTAAGCTGCCTCACTAATGCTCGGTGTCCACTCTGTCCACAGGATGGTGGTTGGCAGCCACTCCCCTTGGAGAAGTGGAAGGGGACTCCTTGTCTGTCTTGTCTCTGCTTTTCTGTGGTACTTGAAGAGAAGTTGTTCGTGGTGGATTCGCTTTACTTATGACGAATCATTCACGGACAACACTTTTTTCAGTACCAAATGCTACCTCTAAGGACTTCCTGGACACAATGGCAGCTTCAGGAAAGATAGTCTTTGTGTCAACCATGTGGAAAAGCCAAGAATGGATGGCGGGCCATGGACAATGCGCTGACCTAGCTGTAAGTCACCTGGCCCGATAATCCGAGCCTCCCATGCACCTATAGGAGGTCTTCCCATGGGTCTCACCAACTCTGGGGAATCAGCTGTGGTTCTGTCACCAGCGTCACCTCACAAGACTTTGAAGAGAGGCTCCCTGGGCCCCAGGCCGACTTCCAGAAGAGATGTTGGTGTCAGCACCGTCCAGGGTGTGTGACTGGTTGACCAGAGGGGCATGCACTGTGTTCACCCTGTGGGCCACCTAGTCACCAACCCTCAGCATCACTCCCACTCCAGGAAGACTTTCCAGAGCTCCCACCAACTCTGGGGAAGCGGCCATGGACTTGCTGTGACTGCTTGGTGGACTGCGATGACACGTGCTCTTGGGGGTGTATGTTTACTTAAAATGCAATGAGTCAGCCTTGGCAGCCCCTTCACCACTGTGACAGCCTCCTTGAAGTGTTGACTTCCGATGTGGGACGCCATGTTGTCTTCTGTTGAGGGACCTGATGTGGGCCAGCTTTTCTCCTGGGTGTGTGACTGAATCCTTCTTCCCAGAGCATGTGCTGCCTTTGTTAGGTCTGTCACGTCGTCCTCTAATACCCAGCATCCTGTCTCTCCCTAGGAGGCTCCATGGAGATAATGCGGCTTTGGGAAGCGGCCATGATTCTCCTGTCAGGGACCAGTGAGCTACGCAAAAGCTCCCTGTCTTGTCTGGAAGGACGAACTGCATCCTTGCTGCTGGGGAGAAGGCAGTGCCCTCAGCACTCCCTTAAGGTAAGTGCGCCTCGGGTGAGCATGCACTTAATGTGGGTGTATGTCACTCGGCTCGGCCCACTACCCAATACTATCCCACCCATTCCTAACAGGACTCCCGAGAAGGGCGGCCACCTCTGCCAGAGAGGCAATGGATTTCTCACCAGTGTTCATGTGTGGTACTTGGAGAGAGGCTGGCCGTGATGAATTCGATTCATCAAAGCGAGTCATACACGGCTCTCCTCTCTTTTAGTGTCAAATTCTGCCTCGGAGGGCTTCCTGAGCCAGTGCTGCTTCCAAGGTAGGTTTCTGGATGGCTGACCCCATGGCAAGCATTTTCCTGAGGATGCATGTAACTGACCTACTAACTTTAGAGTCCAAGCTGACCCTAAAACAACTTCCTGGGGCACTACCAACTTTAGGAAAATCGAGAGAGGTTGTTGGGATGCCCTAATTTTTTAAAAGTTAAGATTGAAATACACATGGCTGACTTCTTTTTTTATTCCTATCAAATTCAACCTTGGAGTTGAATCTTGGGCATCTAGAAGCATCTTTTATTAGTCAGCCGTCGGGATACAGAAGAAAACAGGAACAGGACTCTGTGCGACCCCTGGTTTACTAACCCACAGCAGCCTTACACCCTCCAGAGAATTCCTGTAAGGGAATCCCAGGTTTACCAAGGAGGCAGTGCTTAGCCTGCTTTTGCACACACATTTGTGTGTGGTTTGCTTCATATTTAATGACTCCTGTGCCACTGACATCCTTGCATTATTAAATGTTGCCTGCATGGCCAGCTGAGCACAAGAAGTGGTATTTCTGTGCACACTAATCCTGGCTTGGTGAACCTGGGGTTGGCCGGAGAGCATGGGTTTGAGCCACCTGGTCCACTCATCCTCAGGGTCCCATCCACCCTCAGAGGCCACTCCCAAGCTGCCCAGGCTGTGCAGAAGATGCAGGAATGCTGCGAGCAGTGCCACCTCATGGTACTCGGAGGGAGGTTGTCCGTGGTGAGTTCGCATTATTTAATGATGCCCAATACACGGTCGACCTCTTTTCGGTATCAGATCTCACCAGGTGTCTTCTTGGACCTGATGCCGATTTAGGGGACACCATACTCATGTTGGTTCCACACCAGTGCAACTGAACATGTGTGTGGCCCTGGAACCAATGGGTAGGTGCTGCTAGCACTCCTAATCCTCAGCCAGTGCATTCCTGGGGAAGAAGCATGTGATCTGTGCTCAAGACCCCTCTGTGACTGAGGAAGTGGTGGTGCCCATGATGCTTCTGGGGTTTTGTGTTTTTTTTTAAAGAAAAACAATGTATAGTTCTCTTCTCTTTCACTATTAAATCTTACCATGGAGGAAGGACTTCTTAGACATGTTGACAAATTCAGGGAAGGGGCGTTGATTTCAGCATTCTTGGGGACTCACTGGAAGGGTGACTCACCACATCTGTTGATCTGGAGGCCACAGCAAATTTAAGAACAGAAGACAGTTGCATTTTCAATTTCTTGTTTTTCTTTTCAAAAAGGATAATTATTCTACCTTATTACCATATTTATGAAAATGACACATGCTTAATAAAATTCAAGCGATGTGGAAAAATCTAAATGAAAAAGAAGGAAAATTGCCCAATTCTCTGGCACCCAGAAATAACCATTAAGGGCTTTAGAAATTTCATACACCTGTCTGAGCATACATGCAAATAGAAAAACAAGACAGACGCAGGGAAAATATGAGATCACACTGTACCTAATCATTTTATTAAAAATGCTAACTATAATTTTCCTTGAATTTATCATAAAAAACAAGCTAAAGGAGATTGAAATGATTGATAAATGTTTCTCGCTTTACCACCACAGGTAGCAACTCCTAAAAGATCCCTGTAAAATTAAGAAAAATTAGAGTGTAAAAATTAAGTGGTTAGGATTGTTATGGTTTTTAACTATTTCAATTTCACTCCTAGTTCAGAAAGATAAAGAAGTCAGCATTCTTATTCTTCCTTTGCTTACTATCTCCTGCTTTTTCTCAATTATACATTTTAATTTTACATTATAAATATCTGCAATTTGTTCTAGAACTATAATTCTTGCAGGTGTTTTGCCATAGTTCTATATTTAAATGAATTCATTTCTGACCACAAGGTTTGTTTTTTTTTAACTGAGGTTTCTCCGTTCTTTAGTTTTTAAGTTTAATTTATCTCTCAATGGAAATGATCTTATTGTTTCTGTGAGAATAGCTCATAGACACTACCCTTGAGTTCCTGTGCATTTGAGAGTATATATCTCTTTATGCACAAGGGACAGCTTAACTAGGTATAAAAGTCTCAGCCTACTTGTTTTTTCTCAGAAATTTATAGCTATTGTCCACTGTTTTTTGCATTGAGGCTTTCACTAGCTGTCTTAATGTGGCTTCTCCATGTAGCTCTTACTTACCTGGACTATTTTATCTAGCGATCTTCACAAACCTTGTTGGAAAGACTTTGAGGTACTATGTTCTGTGAGGTATTTCGTCTCTGAGAATGTCTGACCATTGCTCTTACACCTTTTCCCATCTGTCCATTTTTTTTTCATTCTGTTCTATTTGGCCTTTATGATTTCAAGTTTTTAAAATTTCTTTAGTCACTTTAAAGATATTTATTGTATAATTTCTTTCAGCTTTAGGGATACAAGCCCCTTTCTTTGTTGAATCTATTGACTCTCATGATGGTGCTTTTCTTCATGGTTTTTGTAGCTTTGTGTTGTGAGGTTATCATCAGTTGAGCACTTAGGTGTTTCTGTTTTGTTTCAATCCCTATGCACATGAGTTTGCATTTGGTTCTGCCTGGTACCCCAAGGAATTTACCAGTTGGTACCAGTTTTTCAACTCATTTTGTTGGCTTAAGGATTCCCAGACATATGGCTGGCAGAAGTCCTCACCATATCTTTGTCCTGAACCTTTGGTATCTCACAGGAGACCTCATTCTATCCACTCCCTAAAAATGACAAATTCTCTTATCCCTGGCCATTATAAAATTTTCTGGTTCCCCTTTCCATTCCCAGATCAACTTCTCCTGGATGCACGGTCATGTCTTTTCATCCTGCTTGTACTTGAACTTGACTGTAGACCCTTGGAGCCTCTAGCCAGCACAGCATCCCTTAGATCCCTTAGTGGCAGGTTGCATGAACTAATTCTTTTCATTAACACCTGAGGGTTTTGCCTTTCAGCTGTATGTTTATTTGGGAATTGATTTTGCCTGCTGTTGCATTTTATCCAACACTTCTCAATGTTTGTGGAGGAGAGGGTTCCCTATCAGTGCTTGTTGCTGGGATGGAGCCTTTGAGCTGAATGATGGGTGAACTTGGCATGACATTCTTGGCTCCCAGTTTCTTCCCTCTGAACTTTGTAAACTTGCCTCCATTGCTTTCTGGTGTTAAACCATTGCTGTGGACAAGCCTGGGGACAGCTGCTTTCCCTTGGATGGATGAACTTTTTTTTTTTCCTGCTTAGATTTCCTGATTCTTTCTTTAGTCTTGAACGTTGGTGACTTTACCGGGTTATGACTCAGTCACTATTTTTATTCATTAGTTTTTCTGAATCATAATATGCCTTCTTGATGAGTAGATTTAATCGTTCCTTTGTTTCAAGGATTTATTCATTTTATGAGCACTTTTCTACTCCAGGTGTTGGTTTTTTCTTTGGTGAAATAATCTGTTTTGTTCATTTCATTGTGTACTGGAGGAGAAGAAAGTCTGTCATCTGGCCCCTTGCTGCCATCTGTCTGCACGTCAGTCTGTTGTCATTTGCACTGTGCATTTGTCTATTTAAAACAATCCTACCCAGATGCCCCCTCCTCAGTGTCACCTTCCACCCTGGCAGGATGCCTTATGGCAATGCCACTTCTGAGATGGTCGTGGGAGTCAGCACCACTGGCCAGGTATGTGAATTTTCTGCTAACAATGGAAGAGTTTGAAAAACCATATATGAAGTACCATTAACCCCAAGCATGCAATCTATCCTTAGGAAGACTTCCTGGAAATTATGCTCACCTTTGGGGATGAGGCCATGATTCTGAGGTCAGTGCCATGCCATGGTCTAATAAAGTTTGCATTCAATGCTGTTTGTTTCTGTATGATCAATATTGTAAAGTCAGTCTCTTTGTCATGGACTCAGCTTTGGAGGGTTCCTGGACACAAGGCCTGTGTAAGGAAAGGATCATTACTGTCAGCCTCGATGCTAATGTGAGATGAGGGAATGTGCCCTGCTCTGATCCAAATGCTGAGTTTCTGTGCACTTGGCCTCTCCACCATCAGGTTCCCTGGCAGTGCTCCTTTAGACATGCACCCACCTTGGCAAAGGCATTGAGGTCTGGATGGCTGCAGGGTCCGGGATGGAATGGTTGAATACAGGGCGTGTGCTTTCTTCTCAACCCTCTTGCAGTCCGTCTGCTAACCGTCAATGTTCACTGTCTCCTAGGGGGACTTCCTGGAGGAGGCCAACTTTGGAGAACAGGCATTGACATTGGGTCTGCGCTAGCGTGTGGTACTTGAAGATAGGTTATCCGTGTTGCCTTCGCTTTATTTGTGACGAATCATACACGGTTGACCTATTTTTCAGTACCAAATCCCGCCTTGGAGGGCTTCCTGGAGCGGAGTCTTACTTCAGGGTGTCAGCTCCTCTCCAGGGTAAGGAAGGGGACCATTGACCATAGCCGACCCAGCAGTGTGCCCTGGCCCTAACCCTGTGTGTGCCCCGTCCTTGGGGAGGTTTCTAGAGATGGTGCCACCTTTGGGGAAGAAGTGGAGCTTTTCCTATCAGAGCTACTCTGTGGTACTGGTGGAGAGGTCTTCCATGATGCATTCGATTTATTTTTTGACCAATCCTACATAGTGGACTCTTTTGAAAGCATTAAATCTAGCCTTAAAGCACCCTCGGGTGGTGCCGAGTTTAGGAACTAGAACTGGTGTCTGAATGCCTGAACGCACGGCGAAGCTGACAGTGTGCACACTCTTCTTGGTGGGTCGTGCACCTGCAGGCGTCCTGCTTGCTTACCATGGCAGTTTCCTCGAAAGAGGCGGCAGTTCCCTCATCGGCTCACTGCATGTTTGACAAGACACCGTCTTGCTGTCTTCCCTGCTGCCCTCTCTTCATGTATCACAGATGGTGCTCTGCAGACCTCTCTGCTGTGGCACTTCCCTCCCTGAATGGCTTCCTGCAAGAGGTGCTAATTGCAAGTAAGGGATGGAGTGCGGCCCGGACCGCAGAGCTTATTTCGTGGGTGGTGTGTTGCCACCTTCCTGACTCTCAGTATCCCGTCCGTCCTCAGGCCTGCTGCTGGGACGCGCTGGAAGCGAGCACCCAAGTCAGGTACTCGAATGGAGGTTGTCCATGGTGTGTTCATTTTATTTATGATGAGTATTACATGGCCAATCTCCTTTCGGTACTCAATTCTTCTTGGGAAACGTCACGAGGGGAAAGCCCAGCCGGCACCTGCGCAGGGTAAGGAAGTGGATCACCTCCGCATGACAGGTGCTCTCTGTGTGACTTACATCACTTGGCTCATATCCCGGCCATCATTAGGAGGAATTCCCCGAAATGATGCTGACGTTTTAGTTGACATGGTGGTCTTCTAGTCGCATCCTTGAAGACTCGTCAGTGAATAAACCACATTTAGTCAACCTTTTTAGGTGTGAAATCATCTTGGCTGTGTGGCACACTTTAGGGAAAGGAACTCCTGGCTGAATGGAAGACATCCACATTACGCCCTCAAATACCTTATCTTCTGGGTGACCTCTGGGAAGCAAGGGGTGAAGGGGGTTTCCTCAGCAGTGAGAATTAATGTTGTTTAAAGACACATTTCCATGGCACGACTCGGTTATTCCTACTGCAAGACGAGAATTGTTAATAGCATTTATTACTACCTTATGTTGCCAGCTGTGTGCCCTTGGAAAATCCCTTCACCTATCAGCTCTCTGGGCCTCAGTCTCTTCCTCTGTAAAGCAGGGTTAACAGCGGAGTGGAAACGTGCTCTTTGTGAAGTGTCTAGACAGCGTCTGGCACGTGGCTGTAGGATAAGCATTGTTTCTGAGGATGGTCATTATATGAATGTTATGTCATCTGCACTCATTGTCCTCTCGCCACTAGAATGGAAGCTCCCTGAGGGCAGAGTCCTTGTCTGTTTTGCCTGGTGCTGTGTCGCCAGATGTGCACAGTAGGTGTGATGCTGAATGAATGAATAGGCAGCGTGACCTGTTTTCTTGGTTGAACTCTCTTTGAGGCCTCCTGGAATGGAGTGCATGGAGTACAGTCACCTGAGCCTGTGCTGTCCCTGTGACGCAGCCCCACCCACCCTCTGAGGATGCTGCGCTGGACGAGGAGTCGCCAGCCTTCAGGTCGGGTCCTCCCTCAAACCCCTGTAGGCTGGACTGAACACGGTCACATGGTTCATTGGCAGCCCCCTTCTCTGTGTGAAATCCTGCTTCAGAGACTTCCAGAGGAGATACCGGCTCTGGAGGTGGACCTTGGTGTTCCAGCCCCTCTAGGGTAGGTGACCAGGGGCTGACTCTAGCTCGGGCTGACCTGTGATGTGTGTGTGCATAGCCTCGCCCCCACTGCCTGCTCCAGGGCTACAGAAGCTGGTCCATGACCAACCATGTTCTGACCACTGCCTGGGGGGCTTCTCGGAGGTAGAGAGAGAGAGAGAGCAAGAGGGGAGAGAGCGAGCCAGCAAGCCAGCGAGCCTGCAGCTGGAGTCAGCAGGGAGGTCCCGCAGGCAATGCCGCCTTTGGTGAAGAGGCATCTCGGTGTGTTCTTGCCCGTGCTGATGTTTGACCCTTGAGCAGAGGTTGCCCTTGGTGAATTCGCTTTATTTATGTTGAATCACACAAAGGCAACTTTTGTTTGAGTATCAAATCCTGCTTGGGATGGCTTCCGGGACCCAGTGGCAAGCTCAGGGGCATCTACACCCCTCCCGTGAGCAAGAATGGACGGGGTAGACGTGGGTGGTCTGCCCTCTGCGGTCCTCTGCGGTGGATGAGAACAGATGTCGCTCAGAGAACACAAGCTTCATTCATGATGGGGGCGGGGCTCGCGGCCCGGGGAGGATGGCGTTGGTGTCGCGTCGGCTTTAGCTCTTACCCTGGACCCTGTCTCTTTACATCACCATTTTGGCTGTGTTGATCCCAAAGACATTTTGACTCCACCATTTTTTTTTCGGAAGGTATTTGACCTCGCGGATACACAAAGAGCTCACACTTGGCAGGGTCTGTGACGAGTCTGCAGCCCCAGACCCCCGTCTAGCTCACAAGCACTGTGCTTCTTTCTGCACCTTTCCTTGTCTCTATCTTTCTCTTTCTATCCCCCAACCAAACATTGTTCCCAATTTTCTCCTGGGTTATGAAACAAATAGAGGCTATCAGTATCTCATCCCATTTGTATTAAATAATACTGATAAAAATAATCAACACAAAATAAAACTAAAAACAGCTGAAACGGCACAGTGCTAAATGTGTTCAGTTGACTACAAATTGGCAGAGGAATCCAATTTTCTTGACAACATTTCAGCTGTGACATTTGACCTGGGGAAATAGCAAGCTGCCGACGTGGCAGCCATGGAAGGAAATTCACGGTGGCGGCGGTGATAAACAGTGATATTTGATGTAGACAAGAACACATTGAGGAATCAAATCTTCATGCAGATTTTTAAATGGAAAAAATTGATCCTAATGAAAATGATTTGGGGAAAATAACAAGGGAAATAAGAGAAATGAAAACAGCTCAACAGCGCGGTCAGGAAAGCTAAACAGGGAATTGGATTAGTATAATGGCATTGGCTCTGAAAAACACGTTTCTATGAATATCAGTGTTGGTACAATTCTTGTGAAGGTGGTTACATTTGTGCGTGTTTACAGTGGAGTTGGTGGGGTCAGTAGGAACCTAGGGTCAAAAAATGGGATACAGTCTCCCCCTTTATGCAGTTGATCTTTTCTTGCTGCCCCAAACCTTCCCGAGAGCTTCCCGGAAAGGTGTGCTGACTTCAGGCGTGACACACTGGTAAGGCGTCCTCCCGGGGATCTGGGTGCATGTTGTCCCCAGAGCATTCATACGTAAGTGACAGGCATCACCTGGTCTCCCTCCATCCCCACGGAGGGTTCTGGGTGAGACGCTGACTCCGGAGGGAAGCAGAAGTTCTACGGTCAGTGGGGTCTGGTCTTTCAGGACAGTTGCTTCTGTGAACTCAGAAAATCTGAGACAGCTCTTAGTTAATTTAGAAAGTTTATTTTGACAAGGTTGAGGATACACCCGTAACACAGCTTCAGGAAGTACTGTGGTCAAGGCACAGCTTGGCTTTATACATTTTAGGGAGACATGAGACATCATTCAGCACATGTAAGAAGTACATTGGTTTTGTCTGCAAAGGTGGGACAACTTGAAGCGAAGGCAGGAAGGAGGGAGCTTCCAGGTCACAGACAGGTGATACACAAATGATTACATTCTTTCGCGTTTCTCATGAGCCTTTCCAAAGGAGGCAAATCAGATACGCATCTGTCTCAGTGAGCAGAGGGATGACTTTGAATGGAATGAGAGGCAGGTTTATCCTGAGCAGCTTCCAGCTTGAGTTTTCCTTAGTGATTTTAGGGGCCCGAGATAACTTTCCTTTCACACTTCCAAGGCTATTGATGAACACACAGGCATCCAGGAACATTCTGGGGTTCAGTCCTTCCTCAGACTCTGCTGTTGATACCTTACATGGTTCCATGCTGGCCCCAAGGACGTGCCCTTCGTTGGTGCCGAATGTCATTTGGTCATAGAGGCTGAAAGTCATTCTGGAGTTGATGTTTCCAAGGTCAAAAACCTTGCTGGGGCTGTGGAAAGAGCTCGTTGTTTGCTGGCCTGCTTTGTTGGTGACCAGCATTGCACATGGCTTTCTTTTCAGATCAAACCCTACCTGGAGAATTTCCAGAAGCAACAGCACCCTCAGGAGGCGGCCTGCAGCCGGAGCCCTCTCCAGGGCAGGTGCCTGAGGGCCGCCCATGGGACAGGCCCGATTGTACCCACGGTGCATGTCATCTGTTCCACTCCTGCTGACTCCGGTGCGTTCCGGGACCACCTTGGGAGGTGATGCCTGCCCCAGGAAGGAGGCTCTGATGCAGGTCAGTGCCCATGGCTCCTGAAGGGAAGTCGTCTGTGACATCTTTTCTTTCTTTACAGCAGGCCTCGCATGGCTGGCCTCTTGCTCCACTTGTAGCAAGGCGCAGAGGGCTCTCTGAGCTCATGCCAACGTCAGGGAAAGGATTCTGCTGTCGGTCCCACTCCAAAGTTCACAGAATGGGTGGTGGGCACAGAATCTGGACTCTGCTTGTGGCATCCATCGTCTGGCCCGATGCTTGCTGGCTGCCCGCTCCAGGAGGCACCTTCTGGGTGTTCTCTGAGTCTGGGGAAGGTTGGGTTCTGAGGTCAGGGCTGCCCTGACCCTTGTGAAGAGAAGACATCTGTGACTCACCTGCTTTCTTCTGCTGCATTTATCCCCCCAGTCCCTTATTTTGAATGTCTCACTTGCTTTATGAGGCTAATCAGATGGTCAGCCAGCTGTTGATAACTGTGAAGTTACTCTTTGAGGGATCCTGGGGTGATGCCTCTGTGGGCTGGAGATGGTGCTGGTGAGACCGCAGGTCTGGGGTCAGCGTTGTGCCCCGTTGAGCTCCCGCCAAAGGAATCCTCTGCTGGGAGGGAGGCTCTGTGCTTGTGCAGGGGTCCCTACAGGGTCACCCCCTCTCAGGGTCTGGGAATGAAAAGCGGGTGCGAGCAGGGTTTCATTTTCATCTTTAGCAAGGTGCCCAAGGAAGGTTGCCGTCTTTTCAGTATAAGATCCTACCTGGGTCTTGCACTCAACTTCTGGGAAGAGTCTCTAGATTCATTCTGGAAGGGGTTGGAATCGTTGGACTTGGTGATTGGGAACGTCCTTGGAGAGTGTGAGGCTCTGGGCTCTGAATGCCCAGACCTTGTGCTGCCCTTGGGGGAGGGTCTTCTGCAAGCACAGCCGCCTGCAAGCATTCACCTTAGTCCGAGCATCTGAGCCTCTCCATGGTACTCGGGGAGAGGTTACCCGAGCAACTTTGCATCTGGACGACGAATGTTGCTCGGTGAACCCCTTTTCGGTATCAAATTCCACCAGGGAGGCCGTCTTGGAGGCTGGGGCACCTCGGGGAAGGACGCCGGCATCAGCACCATTCTGGGGTACGGGGATGGATGGTCGACCAGTTGGAAAGTAATTGTTTCTAATGTACTTCACCTGGTCCACTAGCCGTCCGTATCCGCTGCAGCCTGTGGGGCCTGCGGGCCGGGGAGCCGATCGCGCTTCAGCTCAGCGCCTTTCCTGGTACTTGAAGGGAGATCGACCGTGTTATATTCGCTTTATTGACTTCGAATAATACATGGTTGATCTTTTCTCAGTATCAAATCTCACCTTGGAGGACCCGTTGGAGATGAAGCCCTTTTGAGGGTAGGAGCAGGACGGGTGCTTTGGAGTCGCTGCCTCAGTGGGGCCTGGTCACCGAGAGTGGGCCGGGCAGGGGTCTCTTTCCTGTCTCTGTGTCTTCTCACCTTTGATGTCCCATCCGTCCTCAGGACTGCTTCCCGGGGGCAGCGCTGGCACCACGGGACGCGGCAGCCACGTTCTTGAGCCGATGGCACTCTGGGTACCTGAGAAGAGGTTGTCTGTGATGAGTTCGCTTTTATTAATGACGAATATAACACAGATGGCCTGTTTTCAGTACCGCTACCGCCCGGTGGTGTGCGGGCGCCACGCCTGAGGCGGGACTTTCCAGGGTACGTGAATGCATGGGCTGGTGTGACATTTGTCATCCTTTCCCCTGACCCCCGCCATTGAATCATTTTGGGAGAGCTTTCGGGGGGCCATGTGGACTTTGGGGAAGATGCTAGGGTTGTGCACTGTGGTGGGGGGCGGTCATGAAGCTGATGAGCAATGGTGACGGGGCTCAGTCTGTTTTTCATGGCCAGTGTCATCGAGGCAGAGGACACGGGGGAGCTAGTCCCGCTGGAAGGCATCCTGCTGGAAGGCCACCCACCCCTCGCCAGGATGTTGGGGGCGGCTGCATGCATTCCCTGCACCTGGGCTGCCTTCTGCTCATCTCAGTGCTGTGAGACCCTGGGTGGGAGCTGGTGCCTTGGGTGGCCGTGTGCGTGTGCTGCTCCTTGTGGTGCCTGAGGAGAGGTGGCCTGTGTTGCATTCACAGAAATCATGACACACAAGACACGAGCGGCCTCTCTTCAGTATCAGATCCCACCTGCATGATTCCTGCACCTGCTGATGTCGGGGAGGTCCGGTTGCGCGCCCTGTGGGCCCCCAGAGGCATGGCTGGTGGCCGAGCACGCGCTTGACTTCCACCTGCAGCCCTGTGCTGGCCTCCATCCTGGAGGCGGGTGGGTGGCAGGGCCCTTCCCTGTGGAAGAAGCCTCCTCCCTGGAGTCAGTGCTGCTCAGTGGTACCTGAAATAGGTTGCCTGTGAGGTGTTCACTTTCTATATGATGAATATTATACAGTCAACCTCTTTCCGATATCGAATCCCACCTTGGATGCCTTCCTCTTTGCTGTCAACTCCAGGCAGCAGCTGGCTCTGCGCTGGTTGACCCTGTGGACTTTGTGTAGGACCTGTGTCACTTGGCCTGTTAATTTTCCAGCTCCACTCTGTTCTGGGGGGCTTTGGAAGTGTGACAGAATGGCATCCCCAATTCCAGTGTCAGCGGGAGCACCCGCCATGCCCTTGCTTCCGGTTGGCACATCCCCCAGGCTGGGCTGGCTCTCAGCTACCCGATGCTTATGTCATATTTGCACCCCTGGCCTGCCCAGACTACAGGAAGATGACCAGAGGCCTGTTTGCAGCTGACCTGGAGACTTAGTGACTCCAGAACATGCTGCCCATGCCCAGGGTCCAGGGCTGAAGGCAAGGAGCACCTCAGGAGTGACCCCAAAGAATGAGCTAAGGCTGTCCTTTATCACTCATTGTTGATCAGTGAGCTCCTGGGCTCGGGAGATCTTCCTGAGCTGGGCTCCCGTCATCCCCTAGTTGAGACGTCGCTGCCTTGGAAGTCACAGCCTGTGCCTGCCCTCCCCCTTGTCCTCCTCCTCGGGACCGCTCCTCTCCATGCCTAGCATGGGAGTGGGGATCCCTGGCACCATCCCTCTGGGCTGCCTGCTCCCACTCTCCCTCAGCACCCCTCTTCCCCAGCCCCTGGGCCACAGCCCTGCTGGAGAGGCCGCCCCACAGGCTAGGTCCCTCCAGCCTGTGGCACTTGGGTCTCCCTCCAGTGCCCCTCCCTCTGCCAGGGAGAGCATTTCCAAGTGCAGAGTCCAGCTGTTTAACTCCGCTGCCCAGGGCACCTCTGCAGGCCCCTTCCCTTGGGCTTGGTACCAAAATGATCCGAGGACCCCCCAGGCCCTCAGAGTGGCAGCCCCCCTCTTCTTTTGGAGCCACAGCCTATCCCCCACGTGTTTTCATCCTTCATTCTGGCCTTGCACATGCCCCTCCTTCCGGAGCTGGGTCCTGGGCCGCCCTGCTCTGCCCTCGGCTGCCTCCTGTCCAGGCTCTGGCCCTTCCTTCCTTAAAGGCCCACATCCTTTGCATTTTCCTTTCCCAGGGGTTCACAATTCCCAAGGGGATGGAATGGCTCTTGTTCAGCAAGGTCATCCCTGATAACCCTATAAAAGCAGCTCCCCTTGCCTCTTCCCTATCACATTCTACCAGTTGCCCCGTTACTGTTTTCTTCCTAGCTTACAGTTCTCTGAAATTGCCTAATGTTAATGTCTACCTTCTTTGTGCCCTAGACTGTGAGATTTCTCATTGGCAGAAATTTCTCTCTCTCTCTCTCTCTCTCTCTCTCTCTCTCTCTCTCTCTCATCCCCTGCTGTGTTCAGTAGCAGAACAGTGAGTGTTTGTTGATTGACTAATGGAGTCCCCAAAGGCAGGGACCGGATCAGATGAATTCCCAGGCAGGTGCTGGGCACAAAGCAGGCAGTCAATAAGATGTGGTGATGGAGTACATGAATATGTTAATTGATTTTTAGAAATTCTTCCCATTTGTTCAAAGCTGTTTGGTTTTCTAGCTTTTTCTGCCCTTCCAGGATGAGGCTGAGATTAGCTGCAGGAGGCACGAGTCAGTTGGGTCTGGGTTCTCTCTTCCACTTGTCGGGGGGTGGGGGCACCAAAGCCCCAGAGGAAGTGACAGGCCCTGTGTTCCCCTGCAGATGCCGACTGATCGCGCCCCCGCCCCTCCAGCAAACGCCCCAGCGCTGAGAGCCAAATGCTCTGGGGAACTCCATCTGCAACGGGCTGGAGCGTGGTGTTAGGGCTCATATTTTATGCATGGGGCTGACTAAATGGGAACATTTGGAGATGAAAATTGCTGTTAATGCATCTACACATCTTTGGAATATATTAAATGTGTGTGTGAGGGGAAGAGTGACATTAGCCTTATTTAATAGCTTCAATATAACCATCCCCGCACACCACGGCGTTAACAGGCACGGCCCCCCCGCCGAGTCTCCCAGGCCACCACTCAGGAAGAGTGCTGGGTGCATCACGCGCCACTTGAGAATTAGGGGGTGAGTCCGGCGTCGGCCCGGCATGCAGCAGCGTGCATGTTCCCCGCCGATTTCTAACCCAAACACAGTGACCCTGTGCCACTTGATGCAGAATTTCATTAAAAGCAAAAATGATTGATTTATCTATTGTTTGCGGAGAAGAAAAAATAAACAAAGGGCCTTTCTCATCAGATAAGCCAAATAAGAACGTGTGCCCCACAGGTGGCCAGGATGAAAGTCTCCATGGACCCTTCAACCAGAGGCTCTGTGACTTGTCCCGTCTTCAGTGCGGTGTGTAAACCCTGCCGCCGGTCCAAGTTCACGAGGTGTGCTCCCTTCTCCAGTGCAAGGGCCCGGTTTATCCCCACTATGTCTCCTGGACGTGGTTGGGAAATTGAACAACCTGGACCTCCGTTCCCATTTCCTTGTTGTTTCAGCGGGAGATAAGAGGAGAAGTAATAGCTGTCGTGTTGGGGCGCTTGCCTTGGTCCTGGGCCCCATCAGCTGCTGTGAGGAGACAGTTTCTTTTCCATAGTTGAGGAAATGGAGCGCAGAGAGGTTGAGTGAGTCAACCAAGGTCACCCAGCTGGAGGTGGGGCAGGGTCTGGCTCCAGGCTGTGTGCTCTCACCCACCCTGCTTGCACGGGCTTTAGGAATAGCCCCTGTGTCCTGGAAGACAGATCGCTCACCGAATGGGCCTCTTTTCTTGGTATCATATGATGAGGTAGGCTCACTTTCCCCCAGACTTAGCTTGCCAGAATATTCATGGTTTTTTCTCTGTACTCACCTGTCATCTCTCCAACTTGGTGCCATCACCCATGAAGTGGGATGCTTTGGTGCGTGTCTGGCCTGGGGAGAGGGCTGCTTGCTTTGTCAGAAGACTCAAAGCATGATGGGCATCCAAATACCAAAGACCTATGTTGACCTGTGTTTTTCACTCCGCTTGATGGCAGTTGAGGGCTATATTCACTGCCTCAGTTGCATGGAGTGAACAAGACCTAGTGAAGGTGGTGGGTGCGCTGAGACCATCTGGTTGATCTCTCCTGGGTGGGACCAGGTGCTCCCCTCACCACCCCCACCCTTGTCTGTGTACCACCACTCTGCACAGACACGTTGGCTGGTGCAGTCCTGGAGACCCACGGAGCTCACGGTCGTCAGGGGTCCTCAAGGATTCAGAGAACCCCCAAATGTCAGGGCTGCTCCCTTCTTGTCCTGCCTCTCTGCTCACACCCTTGGACAGGTAAGAAAACTGAGGTCCACAGAGGGCAGGGTGCA
Source organism: Homo sapiens (assembly GCF_000001405.40). Taxonomy (NCBI): domain Eukaryota; kingdom Metazoa; phylum Chordata; class Mammalia; order Primates; family Hominidae; genus Homo; species Homo sapiens. The sequence continues at coordinate 101,070,091 of NC_000014.9, forward strand.
TTGCTGTGGCTTTTGTTCTGAGCACTGTCTCCCCAGCTTTGGGGTTGAGACTCTGGGGTCAAGACCCACCTCTGATGAACGAGCGGCTTCCTTCTTTGTAAAAATTGAGGCGACCCAGACCAAGAAGGGCTGCAAAATCACCAAGCCAGGACCTCAATACCCAAGGGGCTGGGGTTTCGGCCACCCTGTGGCAGAGCTTTTAGAAGCCAGGGCCCTTGGCTCGGCAGTGCTGGCTCATAGTAGGTGCTTAGTTCATGCCTGTCTCCTTGGATGAAATCTGACCATAGACACCAGTGCAAAGCAGGTGTTCAACACAGGAGGGTGTACTGAACCCGATCTCTCTATCACCAGGAGGAAGCACACGGGAGGCACTCAGAGAACGTTTGTGGAATGAATAAATAAAAGCATATTTTGAGGGAATAAAGAAGCAGAAAAACAAAGAAGAATCTGGGGAAGATGGGCATAAATCTCCACCAAGTGCTGCCAAGGCTTCCCAGGCGAGGCTGCTGAAAAGACCCTGTGGAGGTAGAGGGACAATTTGTCATGGATGGGAATGGGCTTGAGGGCCGGGAAGCAGGGCATGATGGGGCCTCATTCATCATTTTCCCGTTATCCCAGCAGCGTGCAGGGGAGCAGGTACAGCACCTGCCTGTGCAGCTGCACTGCCTGCCCGAAGGCCCTAGGCCCTGGGCCAAGTGAGTGACCAGAGGGGGACTGGGAATGGAAAGGACCTCAAGGAAGGACAAGCTGAGCTCTGGGAGGCCACCTCCTCCAGGAAGCCTTCCCTGATTCATCCTTCACAGGCAGTCTCAATTTGCAGTCAGATATCCACTGCTCTGATTCTTAGATCAGCAAGTATCTCCCTACCCAGACTGCAGGCTCTGCTGGGGCCGCGGCTGTTTCTGACTTGTGCACAATGGCATCCCTGTACCTAGCACAGGACTGAGTCCAGAGAAAGTGCTCAGTGATGCTTGTTGGCCTTGTCTCTCCTCTGTGGGCAGCACAGGGCACCCGGCGGGTCCTGAGGGTGTGGACATCCCACGGCAGAGCCTGCGGTTGATCCCGACCATGAACCAAGGCCTGGGGCGGGGGTGGCCACATCAGGCCACTTCTGCCAGGAGAGATGTGGCTGTGAGCTGGGGGTCTGGCCTGTCCCCGGAGGCATTCCTTGGGTTTGCATCCATCAGAAGATCCACTGGTTGCCTCTATTTGGGCCTGGAGCAGGGATGGGATTTTTCCAAGGTACATGGGGTCTAGGGGAGACCCAGGCCCATTATTAGGGTCGGTCTTGAGAAGGCAGAGATCAGGCCACCACTTTATTTGGTGTAGCTCCTCGCTCCATTGGTGTGTGCTGAGTGAATGAATGCATCAGGGACTCCTGCTTCCTGCCCAGAGCCCCCTCCGCACCCCACACAGCCTTGCTCCAAGGAGAAGGGGTCAGAGCCAACTGGACAGTGCTACAGCATGGGGAGCCTCGACCAGGCTCGGCCCTCGACGATGGGATAGGCAGACAGCCCCCTGTGCAAGGCAGCTAGCTTGCAGGGTCCCGAGAGGCCAAAGGCCCTGGTCTTTCCTGGGGCAAGAGGCTGCTGAGAAGGTGCACAGAGCCTGGGTGCAGGAAACCATCCAGAATGCTGCTTCCCGCCATCTGTGAGATCTTCGTTTTCTCTAACACTCAAAAATAGATGTTTCTGTTATGCTCTCTCGTTGGCAGGGGAGCGGCAGGACCTGCCAAGGCCTGGGGGAGCCCGCCAGCCTGCTGAGTTCTACTGTACAAACAGTTGGGGAGGGGGCGCTGTCTCTGTTAACTTGAAATTCCCCGATCAGTAAACATGCCAATTTAAAGTGTAATTAACTCAGGCCGGAAAAAATTCAGATTTGGACTGCTTTTCACAGTTGAGGTTGTTTTTCTTTTATTTATTTATCTCTTTCCGGGTGTGGTGGTATCTGTGGCTGGTTTTAGCCAGGAAAAATAGAAGGGGGACCGGGTGGGGAGGGGGCTGGTTGGGAGAGGAAAGGCTGGAAGGAAAGGAAGAGAAACGGGCGGGTGGCCTGACACCCAGCAGCCAGGTGTCTATAGGTTTTCTGTCCTGGGAGGGGGCTGTCAGGGTGATGCCCGCCTGCAGAGAGGGGGTCATTCTGCGAGGTTGGGCTGCAGACCCCTGTGCCAGCGGGCCTGGTGATTCGGAAATGATGGGGCACTGTGGAGAGACCCCAGGAAAACACCCAGTGCTGCTTTTGACATTCTCTCTCCATCTCCCCTTTCAGCGGCTGCTCTGCCTGGGATAAACACATTTCAAGAGTCTCAGTCCCCGCTTTGCCACCATCTCCTCCTCTGATCTCCTTTCCTGCTTCAAAAGACTCCAGAATCTTCTCGGTTCTCAGAGAAGGCTGAATCCACCTATGACCTAGTGGGAGCACCCTGTGCCGAAACTGTTTACCTTCTGGTCCCCGGAGCCATGGGTCACGACCTGGGCCTCATGTAGGCCCGCTCCTCAGCAGACCCCAATCTGCGGCTTCTCCCACCTCACTGGGGAAGAAGGAGAGCCCTGGGGATGTGGAGAAGCCACCCCCCACCCCGCCACATCCCCCACATCTTACAGAATCTCGATTGAATCCCCGGGGGCACATCCCTCAGCAGGACAGCAACAGTCTTTGCCGCAGCCTGGGGAGGGCTGTGCTGGGGATGAGCGCCGAGTGGCCGTGGACTAAGTGAAGGAAATGACCATGCTCTTCTCCCAGCTGGATGGCGAGGCCGGGCAGGAACCGCGGAATTCCTGCTCTTCGTTTTCAAACACTTTGCTGTCAAGCTATTTGAATAATAAATACACATTATAAAAATGTAAATATGTTTGTGTGTCTGTATGTTCGGAGATGATGTTTGTTAAGCGGGAGGTTTAACAACGGAGGCCATCTGCCTTCAGCAGGGATTCGCACAGAATGTCACTGGCCTTCGCCCAACAAGCACTTTGCAGGGAGCAACCTCCTGAAGTCGGGGCTCACTCCTGGGTCCCCCTCCACTGCATGCGAGCCCCCCGTTCCAAGGCAGGAGCCAGGGTCACGAAAATGCATGCTTCTTCATCAATCCGAGGTCTCAAACGGCTCCCCCAGCCCCACTGCCTGCCCGTTCCAGGCCTGGGGCTGGCAGCCTGGGCCCCACGAGGGGGCAGAGGCCAGAGCCCGGCGGCAGAGCCCGTGCCCACGCCTCGCTGCTGCCAGCCTCCGCTTGGTCACGACACAGCCAGGCTGACTCAGACACAGCCCCAAGCGGGAGCCTCATAAATGACATCATTACCTATGAAACCTGCCGTGTAGTGCGCTAGCAGGGAAGGACACACTCTGGCCGCCCGGTGACTCACACTGTTTTCCCCAGAGCCTTCCTGCTCCACCGCCTGGGTCTGAGCTGGCTGGGCAGGGGGAGGGGGCACTCAGCTTGGCCTCACTCCCCCGCTCTGCTGCAAATGCAAAAGCAATCGGCCAGGCAGCCACCATCCTGCTGAGGGCTGTGTGTGGGGGTGGCGGGGAGGAGGGGGGGCACCATCTCTCCGGCCTCCCTCTGCAGCCCCAGTGGCGCTCCAGAGGGACTGTCAGTTGCCTATGACAGGGGAGGAAACTGAGGCCTAAAGAGGCCCAATGCCTGGCCTCACAGATCCCACAGGGGAGGGTGGCTTCGGCTCATGCTGGGAACCCCCAGGGAGACCCTTCGGCGAACCCAGCCGCTGGGCAAAGCTGCAAAACCTCTGGCTGTTCCTGCTGGGCCTGAGACTCCAGCTTCTCCTGAGCTCCTTTGGTGCAGCCAACTCCTCCTGCTGAAAAACACTTCTACTCTTGAAAGTGGTGGCCTTGCCAACCCAAGATGTCCCCACCAGGTGGGGGGCACTGTAGGGGAATGCTAGTTTTTTTTTCTTCAATTAAAAAAAAGTAAAACAAATAAAATGGGACCTGTTGGGTATGGCCTTCAGAGTCGGAGGACTTGGGTTAAGATCCAGCCTTTGTCATTTACTGGTACTGTGGTTTTCTTGTATCTGGCCTCCACCTCCTAGGCAGGATGAGAGTTAAATGCCTGTTAGGTTCACGTTAAACTGGGGCTCCCCCTCAGTGATCCATGGTTGGGGAGGACCCCCACCAATCCTGAGGTCGCTGTGCACCTGCAGCCCAGACCTCACCCTGGCCCGGGGACCTGGCCTGATGGTCCAGCCCCCCACACACTGCTGGCTCTGGGGCTGTGCCCTCCTGATACGCCCCCAGCACCTGATGGCATCCCCCAAACAGAACAAGAACCGCAAACAGCAACAGCCCGTTTTTGCTCTTAGGAAGCTCAGAGCAGCATCTATGCCAAAATCGTTCACACTCTGGTCCCCGGAGCTACAGGTCACAAGCTGGTCCTCACCCAGACCCGCTCCTCAGCAGCCTCCATCCCTGACCCTGGTTTCCTGGGGACTCTGCTCCGCTGACTTCTGAGCTGTGGGAGCTGTAAGGGAGAGGAGTGGGCCACAGACTTGATGGGAGGATACAGAGGTAGAAATTCAAGTCAGGGCCACAGAGTTGTGTTCAAAACTGGGAACATGACCTGGGCTTGGCACAGAGCCTGGCGCCTGGGATGAGTGGAGAGGGAGAATTGGAGGGCACTGGGATTGGTAATCCTCAATGCATCTTAGGCAAATGAGCTCGGGGTCACAGGGCAGGATACATGGGACCAAGGAACACTGGTCAGCCATCAGTGCTGTGACCCAGGTGGGCTTGAGGTACAGTGGGGGGTCCCAGGACTGGCAGGCCCCACAGAGTAGCCTTCCCTGAGTTTGTCTGAGCCAAAAATCCCAGCAAAGGGCTTTGTGGCCCGTTGCCACTTTCACCCTGGTAGCTCCACCCCATCTCCCCCTTTGCCATGAACTCACAGCTCTCCTGCGAGGCCACAACCCATGCCAAGACTTTCAATGGGTTAAGGAATGTGCACATCTCTAAATGACCACACGTGCCCTGTCATGTACACGTGCACACACACTGACATGCATTTGAGGAATGGGGGCATTCTCTGTGCCTGAGCAGAGGCCAGGGACCCTGGATGGGTAGGAAAGAGTCGAGGGAGTTGGGCAGCAGAAGCACGTGCTGGTAGGGATGGCAAGGAGCCCTGGACGTTGGTGGTGGGTGGGTGCTGTATCAGGACCTGGGCTAGAAGAAAGGCTTGGGATCAGAGTGGACCCAGTTCTCTTTGAAGCATAGCTTTCTTCTGGTTCTTTGTAAGACCAAAGCAACTGACACCTGTGCAGCTGTCCCTGGGTGACTTTGTCTGATATCACACAGCCACAGGACTCTCTCTCTGTCCCAGTCACTACTGAAGCTGACTCTGCGCTCTCTCCCCGGTGATGAGGCCTCTCTTCTCACAGATGGGTGATTTCTCACTCTCATCCAGTTCCCCTCCTGGCCACACTCATTTTCTTATTGAGGCGCAGGGGGTACCACCCCTGGTTTGGGGACTGTTCGGCTGGCCACACCCCCTCTTTGGTGGGTAGCAGAGGAAGTGACACTTCTGACTAAAAAGACTGGGGTCACACTGCCCAAGAATTGAGTGGAGTTTCTTGCACAGAAAGAGTTTGTTTTCCAAAAGACAAAGAAGTTTCTAAGCCTCAGGAAGGGATGCTGAAAAGTCAGTGGACTGAAGCTGGCCAGGTTTCACCCCCAACTTGGGCACTAACCCTGAGGATGGGTGTGGGGGCAAAGGTGGCATCAATGCTGCCAGAGCCTCATGCTCCAACACACCGGAGCCACTAGCCCAGCTCGCCCATGCCTGTGACCTTGGGGCTGTCACTTGAACCCTCTGGGCTTCCGTGTCCTCATAATAGGATCTGGGTTCTTGAGAGAGAGACACCAAAGCATGCCCGGAACAGAGCCCAGCAGCCCACTCCTCCTCCGTCACCCCAGGCCTCTCTGCCAACCTTCTCTGCCTCTCCCATTTCAGCCCCATACCTGGTTTAGACCCTAGGGGGATGCTGGGTGCACAGAACAGACCACCTGCGCTTGGGCCATGGCTGCTGGGTACTGGCCTCTTCCCTAATGAGGGAGGAAGGAGTGAGGAGAGCCCTCAGAGGGGCCATGGGCAGTCCCGGGGTGCAGAGGCTGAGTCCCGAGGAAGTGGGGGCTCCTGCCGCCTCTCCGCAGGGTCCTGGCTGTGTCAGGTGGGGCTGTTGTTTCTCTCGTCTGCTGTCATCTTCCCTTTGCCATTTCCCTCGCGGGGCTGACATTTTCCTGGCAGGTCCAGGAGGAAGGAGGGTGACAGCTGCACAGACAGCCCCGGTGAGGGGGCAAGCCCGGCCTGTACTAAGGCTGTCTCTTCCCCCCGCTTGGGGAAAAGAACGGGTGCAGACCACCCCTTCCATGGAGGGGTAACTTCATGGGTTTCCCCCGAAAACCCCAAAACTTGGAACTGCTGCGGGGTTTCCACCTACCCTGCCTGTGTCCGGCACAGAGCAGCCTCCAACGGTCGCCTAAAAGGCGGGCAGCAGTCCCGTTTGTCTCCAATATCCTCCCTCTCCAGGATTCTCAGAGCACTTGTGATGGCAGCAAACTGAGTCTCAGCGAGGGGTTCACTGGCCCTGCACGGCTCCCGGCACTTTGTAACCTATAACGAGACGAGGACCGTGAGGATGTATTCATATTTCACGCATTCAGCTTCTATTTAACTATGTCTCCGAGCACGCGTGCTCTGAACTATGACCCCACAGAGAGACCACCACCTCCCCGCAACTGCCTGGCAGGGCGCACCAGGCTGCAGAGACAAAGGAATGGGACCTTTAGAAGCCTGGACCAGTTACTGGCACTGGGCGCCCACCTCTGGGTTGGGGAAAATGCCGTGTGCCCAGTGCAGCCCCAAGATGCTTCCTGGCCAAGAGGACCCCGTTCGTCAAGGCCTTTACACCCCTTATCTCCCCCAATGCCCTTTCCTGGCAGCCAGCCAGTGGTTCCACCTTTCCCCTTTTCAGCCAAAAAAAAGTAAACGCAGGCCAGAGAAGCCACCTGCCTGCGGTCCCACAGCCCGAGGTGGAGGCGGAGGGGGTGCTGCCACTCCAAATCTGGGCGCCCCCACCCCAGTGCCCCCCTCCCGAGAATAGAGCCCAGAGCCAGAAGAAATCCGCCCTTGGGGCCAGGCTGGGTGGACATGGAGAGGGGGTAGAGGAATGCCGGCGGGAGGTACTGAAGGCTGCGGGGGTGAGGGGGGTTGAGGGGTCCCCAGGGGTCCCTGCCCTGCAGTTCTTTGGGGTTCACAGATTGGAAAAGCTGGTGCCCTTCTGAGGGTGGGTGGGGGTGGCGGCAGAGGCAGAATAAAACCCCCTCCCCTAGAGCCGGGGTGGCTCAGCGGAATCATCGAGAATGAGACCGCTGGTTGCTAATGGGCTTGGGGAAAATGGGATGCAATTTCCCCGGTGTTTTTCAGGCCCAGAGCTATTGAATAAATGAAGTGCGCGCCGGCGGAGTCAGTAACTCACTGCGCGGCTCCCGGCAGGCGGGGGCGGAGTGGGGGCCGCAGAACCGGACGTGCCTGGCGAGGTTCAGAGGCGCTAGCGGTGTGGTGGGTGGGCAGCGCCGGGATGGCTGGAGGGAGGGGCTACGGGGGGAGGCGCTGCCGATCCCACACTGATCTGGCGGGGAGGAGGGAGGGGCGGATGGGGTTTGCTGGAGAACTTGACCTTGCTTCGCTCCCCTCAAGGGGCAGCTGCTGGGAGACCAAGTGTCACCGGCTGGCAATCAGGGCCCCAAGCCTGGAGACTTCTGGACAAGCGGAGGCAAGCCGACCATGACGGCTTGGGTGCAGGGAGCAGGTGTCTGAGCCTTTGACGTAGACTTCCCGAGCCCCCACTGCACGGTGCAGGGGAGGGGCGGCGCAGGGAGGAGAGCGGGTTTCCGAGAGCCGCACATTTACCAGACATCACAGCCACCCCTCCGCTGAGCTGGGGGCTGCTCTGGGTTCGGGATCTGCAGCTCACAGAGCCCCTGCAACGCTGTCCCACCCCCAGCCTCCAGAAGAGGATGGAGGACTGCCAGACCGGCTCAGGCCTGGGGGGGGGGGGGGGTGAGGGGCTGCCGTGGGCTTCAGGGCCCCCACACCCTGTTGGAGCACCCTAGGGGGACGGCAGACCGCCTCGCTCTCTGCCTGGTTCCTCTGGGTATTTGCTGGGTGACCCTGGGCAGACTCCTGGTTTCTCTGGGCCTCCAGTTTCCAGGTGGAAAATGGACCATGCACCCATTGGGTCCTCCTGGCTCCAGCTGTTCACCTCTGTGCTCATGCAGACACTCACTCCACTCCGTTGGCCCCATAATTTCCAGAGCCCCCAGCATCCACTTTGGACCCTTGTTCAAGAAAGCCCCCAGCTCTGAGTAGCTAGGCTCTTCTCACACCTTCTAGAACACACAGCCAAGCCAATGAGGGGGACAGGTGCTCCCCCAAGATCTTTCTCCCAGCCCCAGTGAGGTCCATGGGAGTCCTCCTCTTTCTCACTCTCAGTACCCCCACTCTTTTGACTCTAGGGGATCTTCCCCTCCTTCCAAAGCCCCAGCCCCCTTCCTCCAGGAAGCTGCCGGAGGGTGCAGGGAGCTGTATAAGCCTGGACCAACAGAAGGGTAAAAATGCTTGAAAAATTTAGATCTCAGGATCCCGGCCTTCTAAAGCCAAAACTTCGTACAAAAGATATCATGGAGTGACAGCAGATCTGAGTTGGTGGCTCAGTGGGGCTTGGCACAGGGTACACTGGGATGAATGCCTGATCCCAAGAGCCACTAAGCCCACCTGCTTGCCCACAGTTCCCGAATGTCTCTGGGGAGACCCCACCTCCCCTGCTGGGCACTGCACCAAACTCTGGGTCCCCAGGGAAAATGCTTCTGAACTGCAGTTTCCACAAATGCAAGAGGACCAAAGGCTGCGTATCTGCTCTGCAGCACGCCTGTGCCTGTGGCTCCTTGGTGGGCAGGGCTCGCTGTACAGGGTGCTCACCCTTGCCTTTCCCGAGAGCAGGGCAGGGCAGAGCACTAGAAGATGGTCTCGCCCAAGGCTCTTCCCCCTGGGAGGACGGCAAGCCCGATGTGTCTCCATTGGTGGGGAGCTTGGGGGTGGGGGTGGGGTGGCGCTTCTGTGCTCCGGTGCCCCACAGGCCTCACCTCATCATTCCCAGGCATCTCATCTCATTTCCAGATAAGCGCAGAGTGATGACACCGTAAGCCCAGAGCCCCACAGCTGGGGTCAAAGCCCTTCAGTCCCATAGAATGAGTTAGGGAAAATTTCTTCCTCTTTGATTTTTTTGAAATAGTTTCAGGAGTATTAGTATTAGTTCTTTGTATGTTTGGTAGGAGTTGACTGTGAATCCATCCAGTCCTAGACTTTTCTTTGTTGGGAGACTTTTTATTACTGATTCAATGTTGCTACTTGTTTTTGGGCTTTTCAGGTTTTCTGTTTCTTCCTGATTCAGTCTTGGTAGGTGGCATATTTCTAGGAATTTATCCATTCCCTCAAGGTTTCCCAGTATTACCCTGATACCAAAACCAGACAAAGACACAACGAAAAATAATAATAAAACTACAGGCCAGTGTTCCTGAAAAACATAGACACCAACATCCTTAACAAGATACTAGCAAATCAAATCCAACAACACATCAGAAAGATAACATACCATGATCACGTGGGATTTATACCTGATGTAAATGCAAGAATGGTTTGACATATGTAATGCATGTGCTACATCACATCAACAGAATGAAGGACAAAAACCGTGTGGTCATCTTAATAGATTCAGGAAAAGCATTTAATAAAATTCAACATCCCTGCATGCTAAAAACTCTCAACAAACTGCACATACAAGGAACATACCTCAAAATAATAAAGGCCATCTACAACAAACCCATAGTTACATCACTCTGAATGGGGAAAAGTTGAAAGCTCTTCCACTAAGCACTGGAGGAAGACAAGGATGCCCACTCTCACCATTCCTCTTCAAGACAGTACTGGAAGTCCTAGCCAGAGCAATCAAGCAAGAGAACCCAATAAAAGGCATCCAGATTAGAAAATAGGACGTCAAATTGTCCCTCTTTGCTTATGATATGACCTTGTATCTAGAAAAATCTAAAGACTCCTCCAAAAAACACAGATTTGATACATGAATTTAGTGAAGTTGCAGGATACAAAATCAATGTACAAAAATCAGTAATGTTTCTATACACCAATGATGATTTAGTTGAGAAAGAAATTAAGAAGGCAATCCCATTTACAAAAGCTACCAAAACAAACAAACAAACAAACAAAAACAAAAAAACCCACCTAGGAATAGCTTTGACCAAGGAGGTGAAAGATCTCTGCAAGCAAAACCAAAAAACACTGATGAAAGAAATTGGAGATTACACAAATAAACAATATGGTCATTAAAATGACCATATTGCTCAAAGCAATCTATACATTCAATGCAATCCTCATCAAAATACTAATGTCATTCTTCACAGAATTAGGAAAAACAATCCTAAAATTCTTATGGAACCAAAAAAAGAGCTCAGATATCCAAAGCAATCCTGAGCAAAAAGAACAAAGCTATAGACGTCCCACTACTTGACTTTAAAATATATTACAGGGCCATAGTAACCAAAACAGCATGATACTGGTATAAAAATAGACACAGTTAGGGCAATGTAACAAAATGCAGAACCCAGAACTAAAGCCACATATTTATAGCCAACTGATCTTTGACAAACTCCACAGGAACTTACATTAGAATGCTTGGAAAATTGCATAGCCACATGCAGAAGAATGAAACTGGACCCCTATCTCTCACCATATACAAAAATCAACTTAAAATGGATTAAAGAATTGAATGTAAGTCCTGAAACTATACAAATACCAGAAGAGAAAATTCTTCTGGACATTGGTCTAAGCAAATAATTTGTGAGTAAAACTCAAAAGCACATGCAACAAAAACAAAAACAGACAAATGGGGCTTAATTAAACTAAAAAGCTTATTCACAGCTAAAGAAACAATCAACAGGGTGAAAAGACAACCTGTTGAATGGGAGAAAATATTTGCAAACTATTCAGCCAAAAGGGGCTAATATTCAGCATATGCAAGGAACTCAAACAGCTTGACAGGAAAAAAATGATAATTCCACTAAAAAGTGGGCAAAGGACACGAATAGACATTTCTCAAAAGAAGACATACAAATGGCCAACAGGTATATGAAAAAATGCTCAGCATCACTAATCATCAGGGAAATGCAAATCAAAACCACAATGAGATATCATCTTACCCCAGTCAGAATGGCTATTAATAAAAAGACAAAAAATAACAGATGTTGGCGAGGATACAGGGAAAAGGGAGCTTGTACACTATTGGTGAGAATGTAAACTAGTGCAGTCACTGTGGAAAACAGTACAGAGATTTCTCAAAAAACTGAAAAGAGAATTGTCATTTGCTCCAACAATCCCACTACTGGGTATCTACCCAAAGGAAGAGAAATCAGTATTTCAAATAGGCACCTGCCCTCACACGTCCATTGCAGCACTGCTCACAATAGCAAAGATATGGAATCAACCTAAGTGTCTATCAGTAGAAGAACAGATAAAGAAAATGTGGTATATATACACAATGGATTACCATCTGGCCATAAAAAAGAATGAAATTATGTCATTTTTAGTAACACGGATGGAACTGGAGGTTATTATGTTAAGTGAAATAAGCCAGGCGCAGAAAAACAAATATCTGTTGTTCTCACTTGTATGTGGGAGCTAAACAGTTTGAACACATGGAGGTAGAGAGTAGAAAAATAGATAACAGAGACTGGGAAGGGGAGTGGGGAAGAAGGGAGAGGATGAAGAGAAGTGAGTTAAAGGTACAAACCTACAGTAAGATAGGAGGAATACATTCGATGTTTGATAGCAGAGTAGGATGACTATACTAAGAAAATGTATTGTACTTGGGTGACGGATACCCTAAATACTCTGACTTGATGACTTTGCATTATATACATATAAAATATTTCTCATGTACTCCATAAATTTGTACAAATAAAACCAAAAGTAAAGCCCTCCAGCCAGAGCCCACTGGGACCCACCTGTAGCTACGCAGTTTGAGCTCATTACATGTTGCAGAGAGAGAGAGCACGCCCTGCAGGGAAGCGCCAGGCATGCATCGGGGAGTTAGAAAGAACTCGTGCACACACAGGGCCAGAGCTGGGGGCTTGGGGGAGGATGTAAAGAAGCAGGAGATCCCTCAAGTGTGGATGCTGTCAGAACTCAGGGTGGTTCTACGATCAAGCATCTCGACAAAGCTCATCTGCTGTGGGCAGAGCAGAATGGAGAACCCGTAAAGCAGCTGCCGCCACTCACTTTTGCCAACAAAGGGACGGGCTGGGATTTTGAGGGTGGCACAGTGACCTTGCTTTTGTCTGTGTTTGGACAAAGAGTGGCCTAGCCTTGGTCTAATTCTGTCACAGTCTCAGAGACACTTGTCTGAGGTTGGTTCCTGCGAGATGGCTCCTGTCCAACAGGAGAATAACTTGGCCCAGATCAGGTTCCAGTGCTTCACGGGAGCAGAGGCCGCTTGGTTTTCTCTTCCTCACTGGTAAAGACTGAGGCCAGGCTTCAACCAGGTAGTGACAACTGTCACTACAGGGCACATCCTGTGCATGGCATCGTTCTAAGCATCTTAGGAACGTAGCTTCATTGAATCCTCATCCCAGCTCCACGGGGACTGTGGGGTGTTATTGCCATCCCCTCTTTACTTATGAGCAGAGGACAGAGGGGTTAAGTAACTTGCCCAGGTCACACAGCTTCCAAGTGGCAAGCTGGGATTTGCACTCAGGCCCTCCGGCTCCACAGTCTCAGCCCACTGAGAGGATGAGAGACCTGGGGGAGTGGCAAGGACCTGGGGGTCCCTCCTCAGCACAGCCCAGGGTAGCTGGAGGTGGAGATGTGAGACTGTGTTTGGAGCACAGGTTAGAGGACCTGAAATCCCAGGTGTGCTTGACCAAATAATAGCCCCAAAGATGTGCACGTCCTAATCCCCAGAAGCTGGGGACAGCCTCAAATATGTCCACATCCTAATCCCCAGAAGCTGGGGACAGCCCCAAAGATGTCCATGTCCTAATCCCCAGAAGCTGGGGACATGCTGCTTTGCTGCTTTACAGGGCTAAAGGGACTTTGCCAATGTGCCTAAGTTAAGGATCTTGTGACTGGCATATGATCCTGGACTACCTGAGTGGGCTCAGTGTAATCACAGCATCCTTATAAGAGGGAGGCAGGAGAGCGAGAGTCACAAAAGGGGAAGGAGATCAGGCAACAGCGGTAGAGGTCAAGAGACAGACTGGACGATGCTATGCTGCTGGCTTTGAAGATGGGGGAAGGGGCCATGAACCAAGGAGTGCAGGTGGCCTCTAGCAGCTGCAATGGTAAGAAAAGGAATTCTATTCTAGGCCTCCAGAAGGAACGCAGCCCTGCCAATGCCTTGGTTTTAACCCGGCGAGAACCATTTTGAACTTCTGACCTCCAGATCTGTAAGATAATAAATTCGTGTTGTTTTAAAGCCACTAAATTTGTGGTAAGTTTTACAGCAGCACAGGGAAAGTTATACACCAGGCTTCAAATCCACAGGACCGAGGACCACTCGGGGCACCCCCTTCCTGCTGGATCTACCACTGCCCAAGGCTAAGTGAAAGGAAGGATTGGGAAGACCCTCCTACCCCACCTCCCGACCGGGGCCACCAGGGTCATAGGATCGGGGCTCCAGGTCCAAGCTTCGGTGCCATCCAGAATGCAATATCAACAATCACATGGGGGTTGGTGGAAGCCGACAGTCACAGAGCGCCTTGTGCTGGGTGCTGCTCACGCAGTCATCCATCCTCCACCCTGCCCTCTGGGGGCGGGAACTGGAATCAAGCCTGTTGTCAGAGGGCTTCCCCGGCGTGCCCAGAGTGGAACGGCTGGTGGCTGGACCTGGCCCCAGACTTGTCTCACTGGCTTGAGCCCATGCTTTTAACCACAGCTCCACATGGGCCCCTCAAGCTGGGTGTTTGCCTTTGTCTGGTGGGGTGGAGGGCTTACCTGCTTACTCCCCAACTCAGCAAATGGTGACTGTCCCCCGTTCCCCTCTGTGCCTGGCTCTAGGCTGGGCCCTAGGCACAAGAACCTTGGCAGGTTGTGCAGGCAGGTGCTGAGAGGGAGGAAGAGTCCACCCCAAACCCAGGAACGGTGCCAGGGGAGGAATGGCTTCACTAGACACCAGGGTGGAGAGGTGACATCCTAGGCAGAAGGAAGAGCACATGCAGAGGGGCTGATCTGTACAATGGCACAGCCTCTGTGAGGAGCTGGGATGTGCCTGGAAGGACTGGGGCTCAGGTTTTAGGGAGGGAGAAGCTTGAAGCTGGACACAAAGCCAGGGCCAGTTGTCATCACAAACATATATGGCCAATGCTGGGCCCAAAGACTGGTAACGTTCCCTTCAGACCATCTGACTTACTCAGAAGCCCCATTTTGTGGAGCCCAGAGAGGTGACCAGGAAAAAAACCTGCTCTCTAGGGGAAGCAACTCCTCACTCTGCCCGGCGACATCCACAAACCAACCCACTTCCACAGAGCTTTCCCGTCCCGACTAGGGCCGGGAGAGATGAGCCTTCTCACTCCTTTGCTTATTTGTTTTTCACTGATAAATAAATACTGGATATATTTATCATGTATAACATATTGCTTGGATATATGTATACATTGTGGAATGGCTAAATCAAGCTAATCCACATATGCATTACCTCACATACTTATATTTTTGTAGTGAGAACACTTAACATCTACTTTCTAAGCAATTGTCAACGACACAATGTGTTGTTGTTAACGATAATCACCATGTTGTATAACAGATCTCTTGAACTTATTCCTACAGTCTGAATGAAATTTCGTGTTTTCTGATCCACATCTTCTAAATGCCTCCACCACCAGCCTCTGGTAACCACCATTTTACCCTCTACTTCTGTGAGTCTGGCTCTTCTTGATTCCACATATAAGTGAGATCAGGCAGTATTTGCCTTTCTGTGCCTGGCTTATTTCACTTCACATGACATCCACCAGCTTCATCCATGTTGTTGACGATGACAGGATCCCTTTCTTTTTTGAGGCTGAATAATACTTCATGGTTTATATATACCACATTGTTTTTATTCGTACACTGATGGATACTTAGGTTGATTCTATAGCTGGGTTATTGTGAATGGTGCTGCAATGCACATGAGAGGCCAGATAACCTCTTTGACATCCTGATTGCATTATATATATATATACACACACACATATGCACACATACACAAAAGTGGGATTGCTGGATCCTGTGGTGCTATGGTTTGAATGTATTCCTTAAAGTTCACATGTTGGAGACTTAGTACCCAATGCAACAATGTTGACAGATA
Source organism: Homo sapiens (assembly GCF_000001405.40). Lineage (NCBI taxonomy): Eukaryota > Metazoa > Chordata > Mammalia > Primates > Hominidae > Homo > Homo sapiens. The sequence continues at coordinate 101,085,507 of NC_000014.9, forward strand.
GGACCTTTAAGAGGTGATCAGGTTGCCGGGTGCAGTGGCTCATGCCTGTAATCCAAGCACTTTGGGAGGCCAAGGTGGGTGGATCACCTGAGGCCAGGAGTTCGAGACCAGCCTGAACAACATGGTGAAACCCCGTCTCTGCTAAAATACAAAATTAGCTGGGCATGGTGGCGGGTGCCTGTAATCCCAGCTACTCATGAGGCTGAGGCATGAGAATTGCTTGAACCCAGGAGTCGGAGGTTGCAGTAAGCAGAGATCACGCCATTGCACTCCAGCCTGGGTGACAGATCGAGACTCTATCTCAAAAAAAAAAAAAAAGAAAAGACGTGATCAGGTCATGAGAGCTCTATCCTTGTAAATGGATGAATGTGGTTATCTCAGGAGTGGGTTTGTTATGAAAGCGAGCTCTGCCCCTTCTTGTTCTCTCATTGGCCCTCTCTTGTGTTCTCTTGCTCTTCCACCTTCCACCTTCCACCATAGGATGGCCCAGCAAGAAGGCCCTTGCCAGATATGGGCCACCGACCTTTAACTTCCCAACATCCAGAACTGTAGGAAATAAATCTTTATTCTTCATCAATTACCCAGGCTCAGGTATTCTGTGATAGCAGCCCCAAACCGACTGAGATATGTGGTAATTCTGTCTGCAGTTTTTGAAGAGTCTCCATATGTTTTCCACAATGGCTGCACCAATCTACATTCCCACCAAGAGTGTGCAAGGGTTTTCTTTTTCCACATCCTCACCGAAACTTGTTATCTTTCATCTTTTTGATAATAATCATTCTAGCAGTTGTGAGGTAGTAGCTCATCATGGTTTTAATTTGTATTCCATTGATGATTAGTGGTGTTAAGCATTTTTTCATATATCTGTTGGCCATTTGTATGTCTTCTTTTGAGAATTATCTATTCTGATCCTTTACCCATCTTTGAATCAGGGTATTTGTTTTCTGGCTGTTGAATTGTTTGAGTTCTTTATATATTTTGGGTATTAACCCTTATAAGTTAGAGGGCTTGCAGATATATTCTTCCATTCCATAGATTGTCTCTTCAATCTGCTGTTTCCTTTGCTGTGCAGAAGCTTTTTAATTTGATACAATCCTATTTGTCTATTTTTATATTTGTTCCTGTTGTTTTGGGGTCATAGCCAAAGAATCATTGCCCAGATCAATGTCATAGAGCTTTTCCCTTATGTTTTCTTCTAGTAGTTTTACAGTTTTGGGTCTTATGTGAAGGTCTTTAACCCATTTTGAGTTGATTTTTGTATATGGTGTGAGATGAGGGTCTAACTTCATTCTTCTGCATATGGATATCCAACTTTCCCAATGCCGTTTTTTGAAGAAACTGTCATTTCCCCATGTGTGTTCATGGCATCTTTGTCAAAATTCAATTGACCGTAAATGAGTGAATTTTTTTCTGGGGTAAACATTCCCATTCTGAGGGTCACACCTGCAAAGGGGCTGCAGGGCAGACACGTACTGGAGCCCTGGGATTCAGGCAGCCCTCTCTTCCCATGTAGGGTCATGGCTGGAGATATCCTGGGCTCCAGAAGACTGTAGAACTAATGGGTCAGCACAGGATGGGTGTGGGCAGTTCCCGGGCTGGTGGATCCATGGCAGGTGCTGAGGGGGAACTTCAGGGACCCTGGCACTCAACTGCCCACTGAGGTGGCCATGCCAAGGAGCTGGGTCAGCTGGGTTGGTAAGCTTTCTTGGTCCAAGGAGGACTGTGAGGCTTTCTGAACTATTTTGGGATGGGGAAACTGTGCTCATAGCAGATGGGGCTGGAGAGGTGGGTAGGGGTCGAGTGTTTCTGGGAACCAAAAAGGACTGTGACATATGCACGCTTTCCCACCCAGGAGTTCACTCCAGATGCTGTTGGGGTATGAGTGTGTGTGTGTGTGTGTGGGGTGTGTGTGTGTGTGTGTGTGTGTGTGTTGCAGGGGTAAGGGTGGGTGAGGGGGCAGCAGAGAGTCCATACAGATGATTCTTCCCCTGTCCAGGTAGAGATGGAGTGACTGGATCCAGGAGACTAAAAGAAGCTGGCGGATCCATGCACTGCTGAGATAAGAGAAATGATCCACTCGAAGTGGATGCTGGGGCCTTAGGGGAGTAACGCAGGCCAGCGGCTGGCTCCTGGCTTGGTCCCTAAGTGCACTCTGGAGCTATTGGTGAGAGGAGGAAGCAGCAGGAGGGACAGGTATGGGGAGCTGACGATTAACTCATGGCCCTCCTTGTTCAGCAGGTAAGTGTGAGAAGGCATCAAGGCCAGGAGCCCCTCCTCTGGGTTTGCTTCTGCAAACCTAGTCCAGTCCCTTGCGATTAGGCCCCCTAGTGCAGAGATGGTGGCAGTGGCCAAGCAGCCTGGACTTGGGCTGGGGGGCAGAGTGGAAAAACTGGGGTGAGTGTCCCCGTTCATTGTCATATCACATCACTGTTAAAGAGTTGTTTGCTCAGATAAACTCTCTAACAGTGGGGGTCCATAAAGCACCACTGCACATGGCTTTGACCCTGGAGCAACGTGCAGGAGGCAGTGTGGACACCAAGTCCTGCTCACAGGCTCAGCCCTGAAGGCAAGAGGCTCAGCCCTGGACACCCGCTGTGTGCTTCCAGCACTACGGCCTTTGGAGACTTGTTTGGCACCCATCAAAAACCACAAGAAGATTGCCAGTGGTAAAACATCACATAAACATTGCTTCTTGCAAAATACTGGAAATAACAATCCCGGCATTACCAAGCAGTGAAACAAGGCCTATGTATGGTGCAGAGCCCAGGGCTCGCCGCATGGCATGTCCTGCCAGCCTTGAGCTCCTGCCCTCTGTGGCCAGATTCCTCAATGGCCACTTGGAGCAGGGAAGGGAAACAGAGACCAGGGAACCCAGGGGACAGGAATCTCTTTCCCTTTCTGCCAGTAGGAAGTGTTTATGGCCCAGAACTGACCTGAGCCTGGCGAGCTCACGAGCTACCGTGGCCAGTAGGCCTTTGCCTTTGGGGTGGAAACCATGCTTGGAATCTGCTGGGTGATCAGGACCAGGTTCAAGGATGGGCCCTTGGCCTTGGTGAGCAGAGGCCCAGAGGCCTGGGCCTGGCAGGGCCTGGCAGGGCCTGGCAGGACACAGAGCCCGCTCCATCTCAGGCATTCTTGGAGCTTTACGCCGGAGAGTGCTCTCACATGCTGTGAGAGGGGAGTCCAGGGGAGTCCAGTGTAGGCATTTCTCTATCTGTTTAGCTCAGGTGCAAATGGCACCCATTCAGAGGTGAAGGTTCTTGCCCAGGGCCACAGAGGAAATGGGGGGCTCCTATCCTGTGCCCATCAGCCCCTCGCTGCACTTTGTGCACTTTAGTGGGCATGACTGGGAGATTCTGGGAAGCCGCATGTGGCAGGAATTCTCTGCCATGAAACAGAACCAAGTGCTAAGTGGTCCTTGCAGAGAAATTAGATGACATGGATAAGGAAAATTAGAAGCACATTGAAGAATTAAATCGTTTTGAAACCTGCCCCTCCCTGTCTGCTTCTTCTTCCCAGCACTCAGCAATATTCTTGGTTAATGTGAAGTTACAGCCACATTTATTTTCTTAACTGACAAGTAATAATTGTATATATTTATGGGGTATGATATGTTAAATTAAAACAGAGACTAGGCCTGAAGAATTCCTGAGCAAACAAAACCACTTAGGTCTCGTAAGTGACCTGAACCTTGCTTGATTTGCAACCATAAGCAAAACTTAAGCTATTTCTTGAAAATACCTGTATTGAAGAACAACAGAGTGGCTCACCCCTGTAATCCCGGCACTTAGGGAGGCCAAGGCGGGTGGATAACCTGAGGTTGGGAGTTCAAGATCAGCCCGGCCAACATGGTGAAACCCTGTCTCTACTAAAAATACAAAAATTAGCCCGATGTGGTGGTGGGTATCTGTAATCCCTGCTACTCAGGAGGCTGAGGCAAGAGAATTGCTTGAACCCAGGGGGGTGGAGGTTGTAGTGAGCCGAGATCACGCCTCTGCACTCCAGCCCGTGTGACAGAGTGAGATTCCATCTCAAAAAAAACAAAAAACAAAAAACAAAAAACAAAATTTAAGCTCAGCCAACTGGAAGTAGCCAATAAACTAATAATTATATAACTAAGGAGTTTCCAACTGGATAAAACAAATATGGCAACAGTTTAACTGTAACCAATCAAATACTTGCTTAACTTCTGTGTCCATCCTTTAAAAGCCCTCCTTTTGCAGTTCCTCAGTGGAGCTCCTAAACCACTCTTGGTTTGGAGCTGCCTGATTCATGAATTGTTGTTTGTTCAAATAAACTCTTTAAAATTTTATTGTGCCTCAGTTTACCATTTTAAAAGTTTGGTGTTCAGAGTGGGAGCTAAAGGAGACCCCTGACAACTCCCAGGAGCAATGAATAACCAGACACAGGCACCTACTGGACCCGCTGTGGCGATCGCAGGGTAAGCCTCTCTTGGATGTTGAGCTTTGCAACTTGTATCCTGAGCTGTTTGACTTCCTTTGAACAACTTTTATTCTGGAGGTCAAACTGGGTCTGATAGGGACTGGACTAGGTCCAGGGTAGTGCTCTGTTTCTGGGATAGGCCTGGAATCCAAGTTGGAATCTGGAGGTCAAACTAAGTGTTCAACAAAAACTGGATTGGATCCAGTTGAAAGCCTCAGGTAAGTAAAGTTTTAGAAAAACAAAGTATTATGGGTTCTTCAGAATCTGAGAGGCCCAGGACTCCTCCATTTAGAACTCCAGCTAATTTTGTGTTTGAAACTATGAAACTATCTAGGGACCCAGCATCTGTGCCTTTCTAGAGAAATGGATGCAACTCAGGAAGATAATTGAAACTTAGAGTGATCATATTGGGGAAACTTTTATTCTAGATGTAATTATTTGTCTATGGGTACATTTTTAAAAAGTGATCCCAAATGCCTCGGAAACAATGAGATACTTTTTTTTTTTTTTTTGAGATGGAGTTTTGCTCTTGTTGCCCAGGCTGTAGTGCAATGGTGTGATCTCGGCTCACTGCAAACTCTGCCTCCTGGGTTCAAGCAATTCTCCTGCCTCAGCCTCGCGAGTAGCTTGGATTACAGGCGTGAGCCACCACACCCGGCTAATTTTGTATTTTTAGTAGAGATGGGGTTTCTCCATATTGGTCAGGCTGGTCTGAAACTCCCGACCTCAGGTGATCCGCCCGCCTCGGCTTCCCAAAGTGCTGGGATTATAGGTGTGAGCCACCGTGCCTGGCCGAGATACATTTTTGATTGGTATACAGAGGTTTCCAAAAGACAGAATGACTCAAAAAATAATCTCTCTAAAGGAATCTCTACAGCACACTAATAAAAAATTATTCTGAATCTACTAACCTCTTTAATAGTCTTTAGTCTTGCTTCTTCCATCTGAATCTCCTCAACACTAACTTCCTTAAAAAATTAGATCCTTAAATGAACCAGTTGTACCTGCAACAACTAAATTTAATTCTTGGTCTTGCACACAACTCTGAGCTATTATAAAAGCAACCACCTAAGGCTAAAACAGATAAAGACTCACTGGAAATAGACTGGGTATCTCCTCCGTTACTCACCTATAATTCAGTCTACAGTCTTATTAAGACTGACTCCTGATAAGAGAGGAATATGCCCCAAAATTCCTTATGAGAGAAAACTTCACGTCCTTTTCCTCTGCCTTTGAGATGTCTAAATCTTTGAAATGCAGACTTCAGGGAAATGACTCATCAGAAGGAAAGCATAAAGAGAAACTTTTTAGAAATAAATGGTAAATGAAAAATCTTAAAAGTCCTTTTCACAAATATTAATAAAAGGCTTTAGCCATCTGAGCAGGTAACTTTAACTGCCAGAGACAAAATTTGGATCCAACTAGTGAGTTTTATATTATTATACCTGAAATGTGGCTAAAATGACAGAACAGACTCCATGAATCTCTGTTTGCATCTGCCTGTATCTTTATGTATGGCTATATATATACATATATACAAAATATATGCATATATATATGAAAATCAGTAGTATTTTTATTTTTTAAAGATTAAAGTCATTAGGAACTTGAAAACCATTGGGGTTAATTCCTTTCTCTTCTGAGAAAATACTATTTTATTCATGCACTTATTTTTTCTTTAAACAAATTAGATCTCTTTCAATATTATTTCTAACAATACCATCCAGATATATCATTTCTAATAATAACATCCACATATGTAGAATAATATTACATATAAATTATTTGTATGTCTGGCCATATACATATAGACAAACATACATATAAATAATTTATATGTATATATACATATAAATGTATATAGGCATATATCTAATTTATATGTATGTATACACATATATAGCCGTACATATATGTATATAATTTTATGTAATATTATTCTGCATATAATGATATTATATATGGATGTTATTATTAGAAATGATATATCTGGATGGTATTCCTAGAAATAATATTGAAAGAAGTCTGTTTAGTTTGTCTAAAGGAAAAGTAAATTCATGTATAAAATAAGTATTTTCTCAGAAGAGAAAGGAACTAACCCCACTGATTTTCAAGTTTCTAATGACTTTAATCTTTAATAAATAAAAGTATTTGTGATTTAGTTAAAAAAGTATATTCCATCTAGCTTTACTAGTTGAATAAGCTTATGTCATCTTTGTTACAAAATTTGTCAACAAGAAAAATAACATGAGATGACAGCTACTTTTATTTAGTGTTATAATATGTCTGTCTAAAAACAATTTCCAACATCTTCTTGATAACTTGAAACCTTAAAACTATACTAAGTTAAATTAAGTGGTAGGTATTCATTAAATATCTAGACCATTTCCAAATAATACAAACTGCTAAAACATTAATTCCTGAACATAAGTTTAAGCTTACATATCTTTTGCTTCTTATTAGGAGGAATTAGAGGTATCTGGGTTTACTGGCAGGCATGTCCAGTGCTATGAAGAAACATATGCTATTTAAAAATTATGAAATTGTGCACTGTCTGATTTTCACTGGATATAAAGTTTAGTAAGTGTTAAGGATCTTAATTAATATACGTAATTAAAACTACTATAAATAATAAGGATGAAGAAAACAAGTGTATATGAAAAATATACACACAAAATGGATACTTTAATAATATGTTAAAAATACCTTAATAAGGAAAAGTATACAAGGTATGTGTTTTCATTAGGGGAAAAATAATAATTTTGTCTTAAAGCAAGGTGGCTGACTGTTCCAGAAGGAAAAGGAAGAAAATGAGTGAGACAAAAACTAAATGATATAGAAAGTTGTAGGTCTGTGAAAAGGGAGTTTTATTAAGATTAGATAAATTTTATTTCTAACGGTTAAAAAATAAGCTAAGTAAATACTAATACAAAGCTAGAATTGGGTTCTCTCTGTGCTAAAAGGATGAAGTTTTCTTGCAATATTGGTCTGTTGTTGATTATAAAATGTTTTTTCTTTACCCTTTAAGTAATTGGCCCAGAAAACAAACATCTTGTGTTTTATCAAATAATTTCTTATGCCACATGTAGTCTTTTATTAGGTCTTAGATTGTTTCAGAAAAGTGAGTCTTTTTAAGACTGAAAGAGCTAAGTGTTTTGTTTTTTTTTTTTACAACTATGTAGTTTTCTGCATTTGCCTTCAAAATCGTTTGTCATTTTGGTATTGTTTCGCAGTGACCTATGATCCTATTTAATCAAATGTTTGAAACTTTCTGACATTTTTGATAGCTTCCTAAATCAAATTCTGAATTAAGTCTTTTTGACCTTGAATTAGCTTTGGGAGTTTCCAGAAGGGTCCCTAGAATATCTCAGAAGAATTTTTCGGCTAAGCATGGTGACTCACGCTTGTAGTCCCAGCACTTTGGGAGGCTGAAGTGGGCAGATCGCCTTAGCCCAGGAGTTCAAGACTAGCCTGGGCAACATGAAGAAAACCAGTCACTACAAAAAATACTAAAATTAGTCAGGCGTGGTGGCATGTGCCTGTAGTTCTAACTGAGATGGGAGAATTGCTTGAGCTTGGGAGGTCAAGGCTGTAGTGGGCAGTGATCGCACCAGCGCACTCCAACCTGGGTGACAGAGTGAAATCCTGTCTCAAAAAAAAAAAAAGAATTTTTCTCCTTTATAAAAATAAATATTAAACTAATTAGGCTTATTAACTGTAAGAGAGGCATTGCTAAGTAATAAGCGATGCTAAACCTTCTTAAATTTATATTTTAATTTATACCAATTTGTTGATATGAGTATTACAGAAATTGTATGAAATTGCTAAAAATCTGATATGTCCTAATATAGTGTTATCTATTATAATTGTGATTATTGTCATAAAATATTAGATGTCACCAAAATAACCAAATTTTCTTATCAGTTGCATGATAGGAAATTTCAAGAGAGTCATGAAAAAGACTGACAAGTACAGGTTTCTGATAATGTTAAGATCATACTATAGGACTGGGTGAGAATTTCCGGAACTGTAATGAAAAACTGATGGATTCATAAAGCTGCTAACCCAATATCAAACAGAACAAAAATTAATTACATGGGATCAAGTTAACTGAAGATAATTATAATCTCTATGACTGTTTGTTGGAAACATTGCTTGTTCTTCAATGCCTTTGTATTTTAGATTTAATAAACTCCTTTTCTCTTTTCTCTTAAGCTGTCTATAAGTTATAGCGGTGATAAAATATACTTTTGTAAACAAAAATGGAGCATTTATTTTTTTCTCCATACCTGATTCCTCCAGAATTTGGGGAACTCATATTAAATATTTTTATTTTCATGGCAATATGGGTGTTTGCTTAGGTTCAATAAGAATCTGTGCTCCTTGAGGCTGGGCACAGTGGCTCACACCTCTAATCCCAGCACTCTGGGAGGCCGAGGCAGGTGGATCACCTGAGGCCAGGAGTTCAAGACCAGCCTGGCCAACATGGTAAAACCCGGTCTTTACTAGAAATACAAAAATTAGCCAGGGGTGGTGGTGCATGCCTGTAATCCCAGCTACTCAGGAGGGTGAGGCACTAGAATCTCTCGAACCCAGGAGGCGGAGGCCGCAGTGAGCCGAGATTGCACCATTGCACTCCAGCCTGGGTGACAGGGTGAGACTCCATCTCGGAGTGGGGCAGAGGGGAGAATCTGTACTTCTTGTAACAGGCCATAATTGGGAAAGTCTTTGGCTTGGCTTCTTAGCTTAGAGAGGTTTGTAGAGGTCTAATATGACATTTCTCCTCACCAGATAGTTTTAAAAAAACTAAAGTTGACTGATAGAAAATCAATAAAGTTCCTTGAATATGTAAAGGAAAATGAAATTCTCAGTCCCCCGACCCACTGAATGGATGCCCCCGTTGGCCAAGGGGAACACAAAGAAACCTTAAAAACGAGTTCAGGCCCTGGTGTAATGCCCAACCTTGTTTTTACTAACCCTGTTCTTAGACTCTCCCTTCCCTTTAATCACCTAGCCTTGTTTCCACCTGAATTGACTCTCAGCTAAGAGAGCCAGACAGACTCCATCTTGGCTCTTTCACTGGCAGCCCCTTCCTCAAGGACTTAACCTTTGCAAGCTGACTCCCAGCACATCCAAGAGTGATAAGATACTGTGGCGAGCAATATCCGCAGTTCCCAGGAATTCATCCGATTGATAACGCCCAAAGCCCCCCGCGTCTATCACCTTGTAATAGTCTTAAAGCCCCTGCACCTGGAACTGTTTACTTTCCTGTAACCATTTATCCTTTTAACTTTTTTGCCTACTTTACTTCTGTAAAATTGTTTTAACTAGAACTCCCTCCCCTTTCTAAACCAAAGTATAAAAGAAAATCTAGCCCCTTCTTCGGGGCCAAGAGAACTTTGAGCGTTAGCTGTCTCTTGGCCGCCGGCTAAATAAACGGACTCTTAATTCGTCTCAAAGTGTGGCGTTTTCTCTAACTTGCTCAGGTACAACAATGGTGGGAAGCTGGGGGGGTCAGACCTGCCTTGTCATGCAGGTTCAGCCCATGGTGGGAAGCTGGGGGGTCAGACCTGCCTTATCATGTGAGTTCAAGCCATGATGGGAAGTTGGGGGGTCAGACCTGCTTTGTCATGCCCTCCTCCCTTTGGGGTTCAGGCACAACTGACCAGCATTAACATTGAAATTGAGAACATAAGACTGACAAAACAGACTCTTTGTAGCAATAGAATATCTAACTCCAACCTGGCTCTGCTGTAGTGTTGTATGACAGATAGCAGGCTCTGTAGAGAATCAGAGTATTTACCGCCCAAAGATATTTTCTTTGAAATATTTTGAAGTGGCCCTGTGAAGCATCTTTTGTGGGGGGAAATTTGCATTCTGTAGAGAATCTTTTTCCCCTTCTAGGTCTTTTTCAGAGAGGCTGACACCTTTTAAGGTCATTTAAGGTAGGTTTTAAGGTAAACGTCATAAGAGGCATTTACTGTCTATTCTCTCTGAAGCCTGTTACTTAGTGGCTTCATCTACATGACGAGAACCTTGGCTTTCACAACCCTCCTTATCTTAAATTAAGCATTTCTTTATGCTGACTTCAACTTTTCAGGCAAATAGGTTAACTCTTTTAACTAACTACCAGTCAGAAAACCTCTGATTCCACCTATGATCTGGAAGCCCCTCTCCCTACTTCAAGATGTCCCATGTTTACCAGCTGAACCACTGATATGTGTTGGTTTATGTCTTTGCCTGTAACTTCTGTCTCTCTAAAATGTATACAATCAAGTTGTAAGCCAACTACTCTGGGGACGTGTTCTCAGGACCTCCTGAGGCTGTGTTGCTGGCCATGGTCACTCATATTTGGCTCAGAATAAGTCTCTACATATTTTACAGTGTTTGGCTTTTTTCATCAACAGATACTACCAAAGCACCGACTAAAATATTATATTTTTAAAAATACACAGAATTACTATTCTTGTTACACTTACATAAATAATGAGGCCAAGTTAATTGAAACTGGACTTATTAAAAAAATCTTACTGTAATTACCTTTGGTAAAAATGGGAGTGTCTGTTAAAAAGATTCTATTTTAATAGAAACCTATGGAGCATCTGTGGTCAAATTCTAGTCCTGTTCATTTTCTTTGAGGTTTTATTACCCATCTGTAAACGGGAGTGAATTCCGATTTCTTCTAGTTTAGTAAAAAGCTAAAAGTTCCTTTGTCCTAAGCTCTGCAAGCTGAAACTGGAGGACTTTAAACTTCAGAAAAATCACTATAGCAGACCATCTATGGGCAATGTTCATGCCTGCTGCTATATGGGTCACTTGGAGAGTTCACCAGAGGAGTATCTGATGACATAAGCAGAGATATTCTAACTGCAAATCAGGAAAATCCATTAGATTACAGCTGCCATGCTCATCCCCCCTCTAAAGATGTTTCAAACTCAAATCTAGAAATCTCAACTAGCTGTCCTTCTGACTCAAACTCTAAGATCACAGTATACTCCAAATATTAATCTTTGTTTTTAGTTTACTCTCATAGGATGACAGCTTGAATTTCCTTCAAGCAATACAATCTGAAATGAACAATTTAGCTTCCATAGGCTAACTTCCATAGAAGTTCTTGATCTGGTAAGAAGAAGTAGTTTATGCTCGTTTTAATAAAAAATGTTGCTTCTATGTCCATAAATTAGAAATCGTTGCCCCAAATTAAAAGGCTTTTCATTAACAAATACATTTCTCATCAAATAGGTACTGCTTCCTCGTTGGATTTATTCAGTTGGTTAAATCTTGACTCCTGGGATCTCTGCTCCAGGGAATTTTTCAGCCAATAGTTCTTGGCTATTATCCTCCTTAGTCATTGTATTCATTCTCCTTAGTCATTGTATTCACTTCCCTGTAGTCCTTGTATCCTTGTGAGGATTTTAAATACTTTCCAGTAGCCACTCACACCTCAAATGATTGCCATCAGGATTAGACAATTTAGAGACCTGAACCACCTGACCACTCAAGTCTTACAATGAATGTTCAATTTTGGATAATAATGATAACGTGACCTTACATCCCAATGCAGCTGTTGATAATGATAATGCCTACAAGACTGCTCCAGTGACTATATCAATAGTGGCAGCTGAGAGTAAGCTATGCTGTCTGGTCACACCCTCAGCATGCTGAGAGGGTGAACAAAGGGGAGTGAGGTGTGGGGTTGTTAAAGTAAGTGAAGATGGAGATTGGGCCTGATGAATTCCTGAGAGGACAAAACCAGTTAGGTCTCATAAGTGACCTCAACCTTGCTTTATTTGCAAACATAAGCAAAACTTAAGCTATTTCTTTTAAATACCTACTTTTTTTTTTTTAAAAAAAGAGCTTAAGCTCAACCAATTAGAAGTATCCAACAAACTTATAATTATATAACTAGTGACTTTCCAACAGGATAGACCAAAAAATGCAACGGCATAGCTGTGTTTAAATCAAATATTTTCTTTGCTTTTCTTCTATGTTTGTTCTGTAAAAGCCTCACTCTTGCATTCCCTTGGAGGAGGTCCCGAACTCCTTCTGGTTTGGAGCTGCCCAATCCATGAATCATTGCTTGCTCAAATAAACTCTTCAAAATTTTATGTGCCTCAGTTTACTTTTTAGAAAACTGCAATGTTTTCATACACGCATACACATGAAATAATTAAATCAAGCTAATTAACAAATCCATCACCTCACATACTTATATTTTATGGTAAGGCCATTTAAAATAAACCCTTCTAGCAATTTTGAAATATACAATACATTATTATTAACTATAGTCAAAATGCTGTGCAATAGATCTCTAAAACGTATTCCTTACATCTCACTGAAACTTTGCACCTTTGGCCCAACATCTCCACATTCCCCAGTTCCAACGCTCCAGCCCCTGGCAATCACCACCCTACTCTCTGGTGCTGTGAGTTCCTCTTTTCTAGATTCCACATATAAGTGAGAACATGAAGTCTTTGTCTTTCTGTGCCTGGCTTATTTCACTTAACATAATGTCCTCCAGGCTCATCCATTTCATAAATGACAGGATTTCCTTCTTTTATAAGCTAAATAGTATTCCACTTTGTATATGTTGTTGTCAGTGGCGATGTGGGTGGTGATTGGGGCTGGCGTTGCGGGCAGTGAAATAATTTACTGAAACAGCAGTAAGTTAAAGAAAACAAGTTTATTAGAGAGAAAGTATGTTTCAAGGGAGCAACAGGCAGCACAGCAGAGAAGGGGCTTGTCTACCAAGAAGCAGAGGCTGGAGGGAAGTTTTATAAGGTGGTGCTGCTGGGGCTATGTGCAGAATGAGGTATTCGGGAACAGGATGCTGTGCCAGTGGGTTGTCTGTGATTAGCCATTTCCCAGAACAATTGTTCTCTCCCTCTCCTGGGGCCTCTTCCTCACTGTTGCTTACTTATCTTATCAGGACTCCACATATTTGTCAGATTTCGTTTATCCATTATCCACTGATGCATACTTAGGTTGATTTCATATCTTGGCTAATGTGGATAGTGCTGTAATGTATTTCTTTGACATATTATTTTGTATCCTTTGGATGTATACTCAGAAGTGATGTTCCTGGATCATATGGTAGTTCTATTTTTAGTTTTTTGAAGAATCATAGTGTGTTCCAAAAGGCTGTACTAAGTTACAATCCCACCAACAGTGTGCAAGGGTTTCCTTTTCCTGACATCCTCATCAACACTTTTGGTAAGTGTTTCATCATCTTTTTGATAATAGCCATTTTAACAGGTGTGAGGTAATATCTCACTGTGGTTTTAATTTGCATTTCCTTGATGATTTAGTGACAATGAGCATTGCTTTATATACCTGCTGACCATTCGTATGTCTTCTTTTGAGAAATGTTTCTTCAAGTCCTTTGTCCAATTTTAATCAGGTTGATTTCTTGCTGTTGGGCTGAGTTTCTTATATATTAACCTCTTATGAGATGTATGGTTTGCAAATATGTTCTCCCATTTCTTAGGTTGCTTTCACCCTTTTGATTGTTTCCTTTGCTGTGCAGAAGCTTTGTAGTTTGGTGTAATCTCACTTGTCTGTTTTTGCTTTTCTTACCTGTGGTTTTGGGGTCACATCCAAAAACATCATTGCCTAGACGAATGTCGTGAAACTTTTTTCTTATGTTTATTTCTAGTAGTTTTAGTTTTAGGTCTTATATTGAAGTCTTTAACCCGTTTTGAGTAGATCTTTGTAATAATATATGATATGAGATGAGGGTCTAATTTAATTCTTCTGTATGTGGATATCCAGCTTTCCTAAGATCATTTACTAAAGAGACTGTCATTTTCCCATTATGTGTTCTTGACATCTTTGTTGAAAATGAATTGACCGTAAATGCATGGCTCTGCATGGCTATTTCTAGGCTCTCTATTCTGTTCCATTAATCTATGTGTCTTTTTTTTTGTGCCAGTACCATGCTGTTTTGATTACTGTAGCTTTGTAGTAGATTTTGAAATTAGATAGTGCGATGCCTTTGAGTTTGTTCCTTTTGGTCAAGGTTACTTTGGCTATTTGAGGTCTTCTGTGGTTCCACGTAAATTTTAGGATTATTTTTTCTGTTTCTGTGAAAAATGATATTGGAATTTTGATATGGGATACACTGAATCTGTGGATCATTTTGAGTCATATGGGCATTTTAATAATATTGATTTTCAATCAATGAACACAGGATTTAAAAAAAATTTTTTTATCTTCTTCAATTGCATTCATCAATATTTTCTAGTTTTTACTCTTAAATATTTTATTTTATAGCTATTGTAAATGAAATTGTTTTCTTAATTTTTTTCCAGATCATTTGTTATTAGTGTATAGAAACACTACTAAGTTTTGCATCTTGTATCCTACAACTTTACTGAATTTGTTTATTAGTTCTAACAGCTTTTGATGAAGTGTTCAAGGTAATCAGTATATAAGGTAATTTAATCAGCAAATATTTTCACTTCTTCCTTTCCTATTTGTATGCCTTCTATTTCTTTTTCTTGCTTAATTGCTCTGGCTAGGACTTCTAGTACTCATTGAATAGGAGTGGGCAGCCCCATTTCTAACTCAGTGATTTAAAGGGGCTATCCAGGGCCTGACACTGCACTGAAGAAACCCAGGCTGGCTCTCCTGTCCAGACTTGGTTCTGAGTTCCCTGTCAAGAGCCAAGTGTTTGCCATGCACTGTGAGCTGTGGTTACCATCCCATTTCTCTGATCTGCAAACTGAACTTGAGCTGTTAAAGGCCTGACATCTCAGAGGGCAGATACTGCAGAGCTGAGACTCCACCCCAGGTAGGTCTGACCCCCCAACCTGGGCTAACCTCTTGCCATGTTGCCCCAACTTAGGTCATTCCACATTCATGAAACCGAGTTCTGCACTGGCCCTTCCTGGCTCTTCTGACAACCTTCCTGTTGAGGGCATCCCTGCCTCACAGCCTTGCTCTGCCCTTCTGCTCCCACTCTCTCTGCTGTCCATGGGCTCATCATGCCTTCCCTTTACACACCTGTGGTCACCCGGGCACCCCCCCCCCCCCACCAAGGCCAATGAGTCTGTTGAGAAATGTCATGGACTAGCCTGTGCCCTCCAAATTCATATGTTGAAGTCCTAAGCCCTAGTATCTTGGAATGTGACCTCATTTGGAATTGGGAGATGGGGTCTTTACAGAGATAATCAAATTAACATGAGGCCATTAGGGTGGGCCCTAGTCCCATGTGTCTGGTGTTCTTACAAGAAGGGGTAATTTCAAAGGGGTAAGCTCTGGTATTTGACAGTACAGTAGGGAAATTATAGTTAACAATAATTTTTGTGTATATTATTCAAGATAACTAGAAGAGAAGATTTGTAATATTCCCAACATAAAAAAAAGATAAATATTTGAGATGATGGATATCTTAATAATCCTGATTTACTCATTATTTTCTATAAAAGTATCAAAATACCACGTGTACCCTCAAAATATGTACAACTGTGATATACTCATAAAAATACATGGATAATTGTCACCAAAGGCCAAGAAAAAAAGAAGGGGAAAGGAGAAATTTGGACACAGTTACACACACATGTGGGGAATGCCAAAGATTGCCAGTGTACCACCAGAAGCTGGAGAGAAGCCTGGCACAAGTTCTAACTCACAGCCCACAGAAAGAGCCCAGCCTGCTAACACCTTGGTCTCAGACTCCCAACTTCCAAAACTGTGAGGCAATCCATTCCTGCTGCCTAAGTCATTCAGGGTGTGATACTTGGTCATGGTTGCCTGAGCAAACAGATCCCAGGAGACAGGTCTGAGAGCCAGTCCTCTCCATGGGCCACCTGCCTACCTGCCCACATCCAAGGGCATGCCAACTTTCCCATCTTTGCCCATACAGTGCCTCTCCCCGGCTTGCCATTCTCACCATCCATGAGGGGCCTCCCTGGCCAGTCATGGATAGCTGGAGAACTGCTGATGTGAGGGACGGTGGCCGTGACTTGGGACAGGAGGCTCCCAGTGGACCAGGAGCCTGGTTGTGTTGGAGTCTGTGGCTGTCATGCTGTCTCTCTGCCCATGCCCAGGCCCCATCCGAAGAGGAGCTTCCTGCCATCCTGGGAGTGTCCCTAAAGGGAGGCGAGACTGTGCCTTGGACATTTGCAACCTTGGGTATTTGCAGCCTGGAGTGTTTGGACCCAGCTATCTCTTGTAGAACAGCCATTCACAAATTAACTGTAAATGAATCAGAAACACAAATTCAATTTTTCTTGACATGTAAATGGGGGTTTATAAATGTTAGAGGGGAGTTTGGCTTTTTTTTTTTTTTTTTTTTTTGAGACAAAGTCTTACTCTGTGGCCCAGGCTGGAGTGCAGTGGCGCGATCTCGGCTCACTGCAACCTCCGCCTCCCAACTTCAAGTGATTCTCGTCCCTCAGCCTCCAGAATAGCTGGGATTACAGGCATGCACTATCACGCCCAGCTAATTTTTGTATTTGTAGTAGAGACAGGGTTTCACCATGTTGGCCAGGCTGGTCTCAAACTCCTGACCTCAGGTGATCCACCCGCCTCGGCCTCCCAAAGTGCTGGGATCACAGGCGTGAGCCACCTTGCCTGGCCTTGGCTATTTTTAAGGGAGTCTGGACACTGGCCTGTGCTGGCTACCAGGGACCTGGAGACAAATGGAGATGGTCCCCCAGACTGGGTCAGTTCAGGTTTCTGAATCCTATGTGGCTGTTGACTGGGAGCTAAGACTGCTGTCCACATTCCCTCCAGAGCCCTCCCACAGCCCCATGATGGACCCAGCCCACTTTACAGATGGAAAAACTAAGATACAGATTGGACAAGGCCCTGGCCTGGAAAGAGGCACAGCCAGGGTCCAGCCTTGCTTTCCCTGACTCCAGGCCCTGAAGGCCCTGAACCATTTTTATAGCAGGAGGGTTTCGGGAGCCCCAGGGAGCCCTGGGGGGATCGGGGCAGCTCCAGAGAGGAGGCAGCGCTTGAGCAGTGTCTCAGGCAGGGACTGGAGCTCGGAGGCCAGCATGGGGCAGCCCTGCTGGTGGCGTGAGGAATGCCGAGTCCCTGTCTGGGGATGTGCTCCAGGGGGTTCCAGGGCACCAGATGGGCTGCAGGTGGCAAGCAGGCACACAGTGTCTCGGCTGTGGTCTGGACACACTGGAACGTGGGTGGTGAGAACCTGGGCCAGGGCCAGGCCTGCTGTCCGGTGGTGACTCTCCCTGGAGTCCTGGCTGCTAGTGGGCCTTGCTGTGGGTCATTTGAGGCCAATTCCTCTAAATGGGGAAGGTAGGATGTGGGGGAGGGCAGGGAAGGCTGTGTCTCGGGACAAGAGTTATGGGGTCTGAGTCTTACCAGGTGAGTTGAGCTGGGACAGAGTCAGGTGAAACGTTGGGGGAACACCCTCACCGATGTTGGCTAGGAGGGGCCGAGGCTGCAGGCCCAGGCTGCTGGTGCAGGCTCAGTGGGGCCCTCCCTGCAGAAACTTCAAATACATCGCTAACGCGTCCCCCGCACTGCAGCTGGCTCCCTCAGCACTCCAGCCTCTCTGCCTGGGCCGGCCACTCCCTTCCAACCAGGCGTCCTTCCACTTCGCTGCCCCGCTCAGCTATCACCCTCACCACAGAGCCTGTCCAGCCCACCCGAGGCGCTCCCTGCCTCTGGCCAGCTCAGGCTGTGTGTGGGGCATGTGGAAGGCACCATCTTCCCACTCAGGGGTTGCACCGCGGGGGCTCTGGTTGTAGGGATGACATCATCATTCTCCTCCCCAGCTCACTGCCGCTTGAAACCAGTCGGCCCTGACCTTTCTTACCCCGACACCCCGCAGGACCCGCGGCAGCTGGGCGCCACGTTACTGATGTCCCTCCGCCTCCCCCAGAGGCAGCAGAGCGACTTGCAGAGGGCCATTGGCCGATCTGTGGCCTGGCTCCCCTTGCTGTCTGCACCATCTCCAGCAGGCCCTGAGTCTCGTGCCTCAGTCTCCTCCATACGAGGGGAGAGTCAGCTACAGACACACAGGAGTGGATCATTCTAAAAGAGTGCCTGGTGGAAAGCAAATGCCTAGTAAAATTCACCATTATGATTGGCTGTCATCCCAGCCCCACACTAGGTCATGCCTCCTCCTCTCCCATGGGCAGAAGGCTAAGCAGGAGCCAGGCCCAGAGGTAGGATGGCTATGGGCCTGTGTGGACGGCCCGTCCATCCCAGACAGGGTGTGGGCTGTGTGGGGGCCCCAACAGGCAGGGCTTTGCAGTAACTGAGGAGCTCAGAATTTCATCTGGGGGTGAAAGGAGCAGGTGAGAGCTTGAATCAGGGCTTTCAAAGCCTGGGGTGAAGGAACAACTGCAGGTGCGGGAAGCATCAGATGCTCCAGGGCGAGCCTGCCAAGTGGGCTAGGTCACTGCTCTCAGGGCCTGGGACCCTGAACTCCAGGCCTCTACAAGGCAGATTTCTTAGGGATAGAAGGGTAAGCAGTGGGGTGAAGAACACTCACAGTTCAGAAGCTAAGAAACAGGCAGGCCCTTTGAGACCCTTCCCAGGTTTCTCACCTGACAGGTGGGGAAACAGAGCAGAGTCAAACTTAGGGGCAGGGCGGTGTCTCAAGCCCTTCACTATGGGCAAGTGGAGAGCCCCGGGCCCCCACAGAGCCCACCTATGCATGGAAGACTCAGACCCCCACTCTGACCCTGCTGCTCTCAAGTCTGTTTGATTCACAAATGCCATGGGGCCTCTGAGAATGTGGGGGGTTAGTGGTCCTGGGGGTGAGTGATTTGCTCGGTGGGGACAGCTGGGGCTGAGCCTTGTCTCTTGGGACAGCAGGAAAACCCGTCTTTTACCTGCTGCCACTGACCTTCTGAGAGTCTTTGGTCAAACCCTCATTCTCTCCAGGCACAGATTCCTGCCCTGAACCAAGGGCTGGGGGCCAAATCCCTGAGGTCACTGCCAGCTCAGAATCCTGTGGGCAGGAGTCAGGTCACCAAGATGGCAGAGTAGAAGGTAACAGCCTTCTCGTCCCCACAAAAACACAAATATAGAAAGCTGTGCATGAACCAAAATGGTCCCAGAAGGGCTCAGGGACCCATTGAAAAATCTGCAGCAACCCAGCGGAGAAAAAAAAAAAAAGGAGAATATTACACAGAAAGGATCACCAGTGAGACTGGCACATCTGAGATGCCAGGAGAAGGCTAGGAACAAAGAAGAAAGATGAGGCCATTGGTATGAGCCACAGAGTGGGTGCCACCATGGTCTCCAGTGGTCTGCTCCACAGAGGATACTGCCATCTCTTGCTACGGAGGTTACCAGCAGCTGTTCCTGCCGGGGAACCCCAGAGAGGGAGATGCAGCTGTAAACCTCCTCCCCGCACCCAAAGAGCAGCCACTGGTGTGCTGCTTCAGGCAAGGAGCTACCACCTCTCCCAACTTTGCGTGTGCCTCTTACCCACAAGCTGCAGCCACTCCATGAGTGCACATACTCCAGACTCAGCTCTGTGGCTGCACTGCACTCACTTAGAACTCAGACTGCCTAGCCATTGCCATAGTGAGCTATTTCACACACTAGGCCCTGGAGACAAGGTCTCTCCCCATGTGCTTGCACTGTGGTCACCACTCAGCAAAGAAAAGCCCGAGATCTGATGGCTTCACTGCTGAATTCTGCCAAATATGTAAAGAACAATGAATACTAATCCTTCTCAAACTCTTCAAAAAAATAGAAGGGAAGGGAATATCTCTACACACATTTTATGAGGTCAGCATTACTCTGATATCAAAGCCAGAGAAGGGCACTACAAGAAAATAAATTTACAGGCTAATATCTCTGATAAACATTCTAAAAAAAATACTGAAAAATCTAATTCAACAGCAGATTAAAAGGATCACCCACCATGAGCAAGTGGGATTTATCCCTGGGATGCAAGGATAGTTTAGCATTTATAAATCAATAAATATAATATATCACATTAACAGAATGAAGAACAAAAACCATATCTCAACAGATGCATAAAAGACACTCAACAAAATCCAACATCCTTTCATGATAAAAAAAAAAAAAAACCTCTCAACATATTGGGTATAGAAGGTGATATGGTTTGGCTGTGTCCCCACCCAAATCTCATCTTGAACTGTAGCTCCCATAATTCCCTCATGTTGTGGGAGGGACCCAGTGGAAGGTAACTGAATCATGGGGGTGGTATCCCGCATACTGTTCTTGTGGTAGTGGATAAGTCCCACAAGACCTGATGGTTTTATAAGGGGAAACCCTTTTCACTTGGCTCTCTCATTCTCTCTCTTGCTGCTGCCATGTAAGATGTGCCTTTCACCTTCTGCCATGATTTTGAGGCCTTCCCAGCCACGTGGAACTGTGAGTCCATTAAACCTCATTTTCTTTATAAATTACCCAGTCTCGGGTGTGTCTTTATTAGAAGCATGAAAACAAACTCATACAGAAGGTACGTACCTCAACACAATAAAGGCCATACACAACAATCCCAAAGCTAATATTATATGCAACTGTGAAAAGTTGAAATATTTTCCTTTGTAATCAGGAACAAGAAAGGGATGCCCACTCTCACCACTTCTATTCAACGTAATACTAGAAGTCCTAGTCAGAGCAATAAGGAAAGAGAGAGAAATAAAAGACATCCAAGATGGAAGGGAAGAAGTAAAATTGTCTCTGCAGACATGTTCTTCTATATAGAAAACCTTCAAGAATTCACCAAAAAAGTCACTAAACCAATACACAAATTCAGTAAAGTGGCAGGAGGCAACAATCAACATATAAAAATCAGTAGTATTTCCATACACTGGTAACAAACCATCTGGAAAAAATCAAGAAAATAATCCCATTTACAATAGCTACAAAAATACTAAAATACTTAGAAATAAACTTAAGCAGGTGAATGATCTGTGTACTAGTCCGTTTTCACACTGCTGTAAATAAATGCCCAAGACTGGGTAATCTATAAACAAAAGAGGTATAATTGGCTCATAGTTCCACAGGGATGGGCAGGCCTCAGGAAACTTACAATCATAGTGGAAGGCGAAGTGGAAGCAGGCACCTTCTTCACAGCACGACAGGAGAGAGGAGAGCAGGAGAAACTGCTACTTATAAAACCATCAGGTCTCATGAGAACTCACTCACTCTCATGATGACAGCATGGGTGAAACCACCCCCATGATCCAATCATCTCCCACCAGGTTCCTCCCTCAACACTGGGAGATTACAATTTGGATTACAATTCAAGATGAGATTTGAGTGGAGACACAGGGCCAAGCCATATCACTCTGTACACTGAAAACTATACAATATTGATGAAGGAAATTGAAGAAGACACAAAGAAAAGGAATGATAGCTCTTGTTCATAAATTGGAAGACTTAATCCCATTAAAATGTTTATACTATCCAAAGCAATCTGCAGGTTCAATGCCTTGCCATATTAAAATTCCAATGTCATTTTTCACACAAAGAGAAAAAATAATCCTAAAATCTGTATGGAACCACAGAAAAAAACCAAATGGCCAAAGTAAGCTTGACCAAAAAGAGCAAACACAGAGGCATTGCACTACCTCATTTTAAAATCTACTACAAAGCTATAGTAATTAAAACAGCATAGTACTGGCACACACAAAAAGATACATAGACGAGTGGAACAAAATGAAGAGCCTAGAAATAAATCCACATAGTTACAGTCAATTCATTTTCAGCAAAGATGTTAAGAATCACAATGGGGAAATAACAGTCTCTTCAACAAAGGGTGTTGGGAAGACTGGATATCCACATGCAGAAGAAGGAAATTAGAGCCTCATCTCCCAGCATATCTAAAAATTTTCTGAATTAGTGATATGCAGTATGATACTCCCTCATGACACAGGCCAGTGACAGAGAGCTGTAGCTTCCAGTCAGCTACGCAATCGCGAGGTTAAATAACCAATACTCTACTGGGTACTGTGTTGCCAGCATTTGGAGGGTAATAATGAAAAGAGGAAACAAACCGTGCTGTCAGAATTTGGTGTCTTCCAGTGGAACACTTGTGCCTGCTAATCCATTGACAAGTGTGGTGTGGATGCCCCAGTACCTTCCCCCAGCTTGTCTCGAGCCCCAACAGGAGAGAGAGAAATGGATGATCCTGTGGCTGTAGCATCCCTACCATGCAGCAATTGATTGTAGTTCCACGCTTCCCATACTCTTCAGGCCCACTGCGCTTGCAACTGTGAACATTCATTGAGGAGCCATACAACCATTCTGTTTGTCACTTTCAGCACAGCCTTCAATAAATTACATGAGATGTGGAATGCTTTCCTATAAAATGGGCTATGGGCCAATGTGAGTGTTTGGAATGTGTTTAAGGCAGACTAGGCTAACCTGTGAGGTTTGGTAGGTTAGGTGTATTAAATGCATTTTTTATTTATGGCATTTTCAACTTATAATATTTTCAACTCTCAACTTACAACCAGGATGTAGTCCCATTGTAAGCCAAAGAGCATCCGTATAGCAAAACATCATGTTGAACACCATAAACATGCAATTTGTATCAGGCAATCAAAAATAATACATAAATAAATAAACAAATAAGGGAATCCTCCAGGAGGCCGATGACTCCTGGCAGTAAGGGACCTTGGGCAGGCTGCCCTCCTCTTTAGGCCTCAGTCTACCCACCCTTGGGTGAATTAGTCTAGTTCCCCCTGGCTGATGGGTTGGTCCCTGCCATGGCTGGAAGGAGATGGTAAGAAGTCCCTGGACGAGGCAGATGCTTGCCTCAAATTCACTCTCTGGCCAACTGCCAAACAGAGCTGCTGGGGGACCCACCCAGGGCCTGTTCCCACCTCCAAATAACTGCAAACCTAGCTTGCCTGGCCCGCAGTGGGGTGGGGTGGCCAGACACTAGGATGGGATTCTTGCTTCTCAAGAGACTCGGTGCCTTACCCCTCAGTTTCCTCATCTGTACAATGGGTTGACACTGGGATTTCAGCATCACCGTGAGCATGGTATGCAAGCACCATCCGCGGGCTGGACACCCACCCAGGGCGCCCCTAGGGCTCCCAGGAAACAAACAAAGGAATGCAAGCACCAGCTCAACACCCACGTGCAGCTGGCACCCAAAGGTTACTGACTCCATCCTCACCCTGGTCAGCCAGTCGGAGCTCAGGGCTGGGTAGGACAGCCTCACTCCCGGAGCACGGGGCCCCCTGGCCTGGGCCAGGCCTCATCCATTCCAGCAGCCACCTGGCCTCAAGGTTGCCCAGCCTCCAGAGTGCCGTCTCTCCACTTTCTCTGAGTCATTGTGTGATTTTGGTAGTTGCTTCTCCCAGAGCTGATGGTGGAGCTGCTGATTCCCCATGGCGGCCGCATGCCTGTCCAGACCATCTCCTCTGTGAGAAAGCGGAGAGGGTTGTTTCTCTGGTCCTGGGCCACATGCCCCGGAATTGACAGTGTCATAGCCTCCCACCTGCTCTGCCATTCCCCCGGCCTTTCTCAGGTCTTGGAGATAGGCCGGTGTGCCCAGAGAGGCCCATGCACTCAGGACCTGCCAGGCTGTCCCGCCAGGGTCAGTGTCACATTTGCCCGGCCCAGTGGGGAAAGGTACATTGGTCTTCCAGAAATAAAGAATCCTGGAAAACCAGAGATTCGCAGGTGCGTGCTGGGTGCTCTTGAGGCTGAGGAATGAGACGCTTCGGAACAAATGTTCTTCCAAAGGCTCCTCTCCTACTTTGCTGAGATCCTCATGACGGATTTGAGGATCAGGGAAGGGGACGAGGGAATGGTGTGCACTGGGCCCCCACTCCTGTTGGGAATGTCACCTGCACTTAGTCCTTGCCAAGTAGGAGGAGGGTCGATGCTACAGCCCATTTTACAGATGAAGAAATGGAGGCTCACAGATGGGAAGTGAATGGCAGCTGGTCTGAGAGAGAGCCAGGCATCACCTAATATGAGCTTGGGAGGTGAGGCTGATTCCCTGCTTGGGGCCAGGGGCTGGGAACCACCCTTTTTTGACCTAAGAACCCTGCAGGACCTCAGGCCATGATAAATTCTCTTGCTGTGCTCATCCCACACCTGAAGAGCGGCTTGAGCAAAGACTTGGAGGTGGGAAGGACCCTGTTTGTTCTGGGACTAGCATAGAGATGAGATCAGCTGGAGTGGCGGGGAGGATCCTAAGCGCTGGGAGCCTGTGTAGCCATGGGAATCGGGATGTTTGCAGAAGCCACCTGGCTGTGCAAGAGGAAGGTGACAAGGCAGGTCAGAAGAGAAGCTGCAGCAGCGGGGACAGAGCTCTGGATGGGAGGAGGGGCCTGGGTGTGCCGCAGAGAAAATGGCTCCTGTAGGTGGGGGACCAAGGGTCTCCAGTGCGGCCGTGACCAGTAAGAGGAGGCCAGGGAAGGTGCTGGTGGGGACCTTGATGACAGTGGTGTCGGCAGAGTGCAGGGGGTGACAATGGCCTGGTGGGCAGACAGGGGACCAGAGACCTAAGCCCTCCTCCAGAGGCGGCAGGAGGAGGACCCGGGGTCAGTGGCGGGCTTAGGGGACAGGGGCTGAGTGTACTCAGGGCTGTGAGGGAGACTCCAGCCCCAGTTCCCATTTCTCAGATAAGGACAATGAGGCCCAAACCCAGGGCCAGAGAGGAGGCCGTGCACCCTCAGGTGTCAGACCTGTGGCTGAGGCCCTTTTCCGGACCCTTTCGCAGGAAGGCAGGGGCTGCTGCCTTTCCCTCTGCTCCAGCAGGTCTGGAGTGGGGCCTGGAATGAGCGTTTCTAAGAAGTTCCCAGCAGGCAACCACTTTGGGTAGAACACACACACACACACACACACACACACACACACACACACACGGAGACAGAGAGGTGGAGAAAGAGAGGAACAGGCACAGAGGGAGACAGAGGGCACCTCGATGAACATTGCCCCGCTGGTGCCTCTGCTGGTACCTGTTTTTGGCCTGGCTGTGAATCAGGGGAGTGACGGGAAGCAGGAGGGCTGGGGACACCAGGTGCCGCCGTGTCAGGGCCTGGGACTGGTGTGGAGAGCAGGCACCCCCATGCTACATCCCAGGGCCTAGTTTTCCTGACCCAGGATGGTCGGGTGCAGGTGCCCAGGCCTCCATGGCTGCAGGGGACATTGGCTGGTGGGGGACAAGCAGGGATGCTCCGTGCCACCTGCAGTGCTCGGGCCAGATGCTGGGTGGCCGAGGACATGCTCTTGGCAGGCCCAGAAAGGGCGTTTTGTGGCACGGGCTCACTCTGCTCCCATGAGAGACCCCGTTGGGCCCAGCAGCCTCATGACCACCAGGGCAGGGCAGTTTTCCCAGAGGAGCCGGTTACACCGCCCTCCCACCTCTGTCACCAGGTCTGTGGATGCACGGTGGACAGGTGCCCAGCAGAGCAGGGGGAGCTCTGCCCCAGGGCTTCTGGGCCTCAGCCTGGGGACACTTTCCCAGGCTGACCCTGGTGGCCCAGGGCCCTGTGTGTGGGCAGCAGAGACCCCAGCCCACCCTGGGGAAGGGCGCAGTCATGTCTCCCGTGTGGCCCAGTGGTCCCCCTTGGTGCCTATCATTGGCAGGGCCACAAAGAGGGTTTTGTTGACCCCTCGACGAGGGCAGGCACATGGAGGGTGGGGGCGGCGGCCCCTTTCATCTTCCAGGCCCCTAATTACCCCTTTCTCTGGCCTGGACCAAGATGCCTTTAAATAGCAACAGTCATGGGGCCAAGGGGGACTGACGGGAGCTGAGGGGCGCGGGGCCTCTGAGGCTGCTCACAAAGGAGTGAACATTCGCTCTTGGGGATGAAAGAGCTGGGACCCAAAAATAGACTGAGAGGTTCCGGCCTCACCTCGTGGCCCAGGACACCCTGAGCCTCCTCTCTGAGTGCGAGGCCCCTCCGCGCCCCCACCCTTCCTCAGGCAGGCGTCGACCTGGGGACATTCTAGAAAAGCCTGCTTGGCCCCAGGGCAGTGGCAGCTGTGCAGTGGGCGTCAGCCAGCGAGGCCCCCGCTCCTTGTCCTTGCCCTTGCCCTTGCCTCTGCCGTTTCCTAGGCCTGAACCGCCTCCTTCCTTCCCCTTCCTCCTTCGCCGAGGAGCCCGTCTTTGTCTTTCCGGGGCTGGCTCTGATGCCACCTGCCCCAGCCTTCCCTCACCACCCAGGCTGAGCTGGGGCTGGGGCCTCTCCTTCCCCCTGCCCGGGGGCCATGCCCTGATGTCTGTCACTGTCTCCCACCAGCCCAGCACTCCTGGATGGCAGGGCTGTTGTCTGAGCTCTTGGCCCCAGAACGGTGCCTGGCACTCAGAGAGGGAAGAAGGGAATGAAGGAAACCCCAACTCTAAACCCACCCCCCACGCCCCAGCCTCACTTTTCTCTTTCTCTCTATGCCAGGCCCTCCCCAGGTCTGCCCCCTCTTCCTCGGCCCTGTCTGTGCCCTGCGCCCCAGCCTCACCCTTCTCTTTCTCTGTATGCCAGCCCCTCCCCAGGTCTGCCCCCTTTTCCTCGGCCCTGTCTGTGCCCCCCACCTTCAATACGTGCTCTGGAGTCCCCACCCTTGGGGATGCGGACACTTCAAGGGCTCGTGGGGGCCCATTCTGGAGCTTGCCATAGTGTCCACTGTGGCCGTGACGGAGGTGGCCTCCAGGGAAACCCACCCCTACAGGCCTGTGCCCCTCACAATGCTTCCGCAGGGATGGCAGGCTGCGGCCGAGTCCCCTCAGGCTCCTCTTCAGGGAGCAGGGAGAGCACGTGGACAGGGACAGGGCCTTTCAGGACTGTAGGGGCCCCAGGAACTGCCTGGGAACACGGCCTGGAGGGAGGGCCCCCGGGCGTTTGTGCCTTGAAGTGGCGCAGTCCCTGTGGCCCATGCACACCCGCATGCTTAGAGGATGTGCAGGCACCGGACATGCCCCACGCTGGGTTCTGAGGCCGCAACAGTAAAGCGGGCACCGTCCCTGCCTTGGTGGGCTCTGGGGCTAGTGGATCCGGCTGACAGTGCAGGCAGCTGTGGCCCCCTCAGGGTGGCGCAGGGACCTGGCGATAGGGTAAGGAAAGTTCTGAGGCCCTGGAGGGACAGGCCAGGAAGCAAGAAGGATGTGGAGCATGCAGGGGCCTGCTGGGGCCTGCGGGCCCAGGCGGGTGGGCAAGGGGGCAGCTCCACTTGCTCATGAGGATGGTGTGTTGACAGAGATGAGGTGGGTGGGGCTGCAGGCCCCTGAAAGCAGGCATTGAGCCAAGTAGAGGTGGTAGCTATCCACTGACACCCTCCAGCCCCCTTGGGACAGACTTCTGCCAGGAGCTGGATTTGGGGAGGTGGGAGCAGGGCCGTGCCTCAGCCTCCTGCGGGCTTCAGTGGTCCTGGAGATTGATCTGATGGGAACAGATAAATCCAGGGCAGAAGCTCAGAGCTGGGAGGATGGGGCCACCATCTCCTCCATCTTTGGCATCACTGGTGGCGGCAGAATAAACGCCCCCCAACCATGTCCACACCCTAGTCCCCGGGACCTGGGCATGTGCCACCTCATGTGTGAAAAGAGACTCTCCAGATGGGGCTCACAGTCAAGACCCTGAGATGGGAGGTCATCCTGGGTCATCCGGGTGGGCCGCATGTAATCACCAGGGTCCTTATGAGAGAGACAGAGGTCAGAGGAGGAGACATGACGGGGGAGGCAGAGGTCTGAGGGATGAGACCACTGGCCAAGGAGCACAGGCGGCCTCTAGAAGCTGAAGAAGGCAAGGAAAGGGATTCTCCCCTGCGGCCTCCGGGAGGAACCAGCCCTGCCCGCACCTGGAACGTAGCCCCAGGAGAGCCATTTTGGACATCCTACCTCAGAAGTGTAAGATAATAAATCTGTGTTGTTTTAAGTCACTAAGTTTGTGGCAATTTGTTACGGCAGCCACAGGAAAGTCACCAATCATCCCTCAGACCCACCCACGCCTTTCCAGGACACCAGACTCCCTGTGCTGGTCCCCAGGTGAAGCCACCTGCACAGCCACTCTCGAAGGCCAGAGCTTTAGTCTCCCCATGGCCAGGCCCAAACTCCCTGCTTCTGATGATGGGGCCATTATCCCCTGCAGGACAGCTCTGGAAGAGCCTTCGGCACCTCTCCTGGCAGCTCCTGGCAGGGCTCCGCCCGCGGGGGCTGGAGGGTGTCGGTGGATGACTGAGGTCTCCAGCGCAGCAACAGCGCCTGTGCCTGCAGACCGTATTCTTAAGGCCATCAATCACAGGAGAGGTGCTGACAGTGTTTTGGGCCCCTTTCAAGCCCTAAACCACCAAAACCCAAACAACACTGGCCTCCAGATTCCACCTTGAGGTCAGGCTGCCACTGCTGCCTGGAGCCCCCAGGTCCCGGAGGCCAGCTCCACCAGGAACCTCGGTGAGAGCCTTCCCAGGCAGACCCAGACACGTTCTGGGTCTGGCCACTGTGCTTTCCAGGAGGACTGGAGCCTGGCCATTGGCTTCCTTCTGGAGCTCTGGCCTCCAGCTGTAATACTCAAGGGAAATTCAAAGAGAATCCCCCAGAGAGGTCCTTGGGGAATAAACTTGGCCCCAATTGCATTTGGGGCAGAGCAGCAAATTTGGGAGGAGACAGTCGGGATCCAGGAAGGCCCCGCTTCAATTGGCCTCCTAAGAGAACAGAGCCTCTGACTGGACCCCGGCATCTGTTTCTGCAGGTAAGACATCTGCCAGGTTGTAGGAGGCTTCATCCTGGGGTGTGGAGTCTGGGAGCAGTGCCAGACTGGGGAGCTGCAGGCCACGTCACCCAGCACCCCCTGGGCAGTTCCCAGGGTGGTCTGGGAGTGGCCTCTGCCTCAGCCCTCCTGACTACTGGGCAGGGCCATGCACCTCCTTCTCCATCTCTCCACGGTTTGGGGCTCAGTGGAGAAAGCGTGGTTGGGGTGGGGAGGTCGGACAGGCTGTGTTCCAGTCCTGGTTCCCCCATGCCCAGGAGCTCATCATCCACCTCTCTCACAACATCCTTCCCAAACACCAGGCTGCAGCCAACATCCAGCTTTGCTGCCCGGAGCCCCTGGTCCCCCTTCAGGGCCCCGGACACACTTGTTATGCCTCGTCCCCCATCCATCGTCCCCACTGGATTGTGTTCCCATGGCTGGGCATGGCTCACAGTCCCTGCTGAATAGTCAGGGTCCAGCATCAGCTTCCACACTGGGTCCCTTCCCTTTCCTGCTCAATCTGTCCTCATTTCCTTCTGCATTCAGGATAAACCCAGATCTGGTGTCCAGGCCCACCCAAGCACCCTGCAGCTGCTCCATCCCACACCTCCTCCTGTTGTCATCCTGTGGCCACCCGGCCTCCCATCCAGTCCAGAGCCAGCCGCCTCCCAGTCTCAGGCCTTTGTCCCCGCTGTCCCTCCTGCTGGAACTGCGTTCCCCAAGTTCTCCTTCCAAGGCGGCTCCCGTCTCCTTCTGCATCTCGTTCTGACTCAGCTGAAGCACAGCTCCTGCAGGAGGCTCTGCCCACAGTGTGCTTGCGCAGGTGCGCTGCTGGCTTCGCTCATAGCACACTGACATCTTTTGCAACAACATGGATGGAACTGGAAGCCATTATCTTAAGTGAAATATAGCAGACGCAGAGGGTCAAAGACCGCATGTTCTCACTTATAAGTGGGAGCTAAACAATGCATACGCATGGATGCCGGGTGTGGAGTGAGAGGCACTGGAGACTTGGAAGGGTGGGAGGGGGATGCGGGACGAGAAACTGCTTAATGGGTACAAATGTATACTGCTTAGGTGATGGCTACACTAACGGCACAGACCTCACCACCATGCAACGTTAATGGAATGCCCTGGACCCCTAAATCTATTTTTTGAAGTGTAATGGCCTTTTGTGTCTTCTGGTTCCCCTATGTGGTCCCTCCCTGGAGAGAATATCACTCTCAAGGGAAGAAATGTCCCAGTTTGCTCCCGCCCATCTCCTCGGTGCCCGGTGCCCCTGGGTGGAAGGCAGGTGCCCAGGCAGCATTAGCGGAATGGGGGACCAAGGAGGAAGAGCCAGTGAGTGGGTGGACATGGAGTCCCCCAGCTAGGGACCCTACAAACACCTTTGGGGAAAATCACTGACCGACCTCGGCTGCAGGCAGCCAGGGTCTTTCAGCAAACTAAAATAGTTACCAAATTCACTCAACTCAGGACCTGAGCTGTCTAGAATAGAGTATAGATAATTCGGTGGACAGGCGGGAAAATCTAAGGTCATTTCCCTGATGTAGCAACAGTCCCTAGGGGAGAGGAGGGGGCCAGCCTCTGCCTCCAGGGCCTGTTTCACTGTTAGGGCGCTGTCCCCTCTCATCCCAGGGCTGCAGGAGGCCATGAAGGAGGTGAGAGAGGCAGAGGTGTGGTCATGGTTTCCCTCCTTGCTCTCAGCACCCAGTGGCTCCTTAAGCTGTTGTTGGGGGTGGGGGTGTCTGGAGGTTTTGTTTATTGCACAGCAGGCGGTCACCTCCAGAGTTCTATGGAATGGATTTCAGAGCTGCTTCCTGGGATCACAAACTCTTTGGAGTTCAAGGGTGCAGAGGCATCTAACATGTGGGAACCCTATGGACTTGCAAGACCTTCTTTTCTCAGCAAAGGAGCACAGCAGCGGAAGACACGGGTGGGATGAGAAATTGCAGCAGTTGAGCACACGCTCACAGTGGCCCTGCCGGTCTGCACAGGCAGCTCAGCTGCTCCAGGACCCAGTTCTATCTACCACTCATGGACACTGAGTGACCCTCAAGCCCCCCTCCCTTCCCACTCCAAGCACTCCAAGCTCAGTGCTCTTGCAGCGCTGGTGGAATTGAAGTCACATTTTCAGAAGAGTCACGGATTCTGATGCTGAGGACTGGGGCTTTACGTCTGTGCTGCTGCCACCATTGTGCACAAACCTCCGGATCCCAAATCTCTCAGGACAGGCTTGCGGCACCGTCTGACCTGACCGTGAACAGCATCAGCTCCTCTCCCACCTGCCCTCCAGGAGCAGGGAATTCACAGGCCTGGAACGCTCCAGAGCTCTGCGTCTCAGGCAAGACTTCCGATACTCTCCAGCTTTGTCGGGCTCCTTTTTTCCCACCAGACTGCACAAAAGGAAGCTGAATCTGGCATGCCACCCACCACCCTGGGCCTCCAGCAAGCTCGGCCTCCTGAGGCCAGAGATGGGACTTGTTGGGGGAGAGGGGCCAGAAGGCTCGACTCTCCAGGATCCAGTTCTGTCTGTCACTTGCAATCTGACTTTGGGCAAACCCCTGCTCTCTGAGTCCCGGTTCCGCTGTCAGATAAGCTGGGATGATGTTCATCTCCAAGTGGTTGTAAGGGTTAAATGAGGGCATGGACATGTTTTACAAATTGGGAAGGAATAGAAAAATGATTATTATGGTTGTCCTTGTAAGTGACTGCTTCTCAAAAGCACACAGAGGCTACCTTAAGAGATTTATTTTCCTTCCCTTTTATTTTGAGCTTGACTTTGGAGGACTGAAAATATTCAGAGCCAGAAGGATCTGGGGAGGTTATTAAGCCTGAACTAAAGCCTTGACAGGTTGTGGTTCTAAAATTGCCAGCCAGTGAACAGGCCTGCTCTCCCACCCTCCCCCTTTCTCCCTATCTTCATGCATACCTCCCTGCATTCATATAATCACCCATCCATTCGTTCATCCACCCATGTGTCCATCATCCATCCATCTGTCCATCATCCATCCATCCAACTCTCCATGTGTCCATCCATCCACTCACCCATTCATCTGCTTCTCTCTCCCTTCCATCATTCCATTCATCCATTTTCCTTCCATATATCTACGTATTCTTCCATCCATCCATCCATCCATCCATCCAACCATCCATCCATCCATCCATCCACTTTTCCACCCATCCATCCATTCATTCATCCACCCATCCATGCATCCATCCATCCATCCATCCATGCACCTATCCATCCATCTCTCCATGTGTCCATCCATCCACCCACCCATTCATTTGCTTCTTTCTCCCTCCATCATTCCATTCATCCATTTTCCTTCCATATATCTGTATATTCTCCCATCCTTCCATCCACTTTTCTATTCGTCCATCCATCCATCCATCCATCCATCCATCCATCCACCCATCCATCCATCTCTCCATGTGTCCATCCATCCACCCACCCATTCATCTGCTTCTTTCTCCCTCTGTCATTCCATTCATCCTTTTCTCCTTCCATATATCTATATATTCCTCCATCTGTCAATCCACTTTTCCATACATCCTTATGCCCATCCATCCATCCATTCATCTCCCCATTTATCCACCTCCCTCCATCTCTCCTTCCAGCACTCACAAACACTGCCTTCATGTTTGGCACAGGGAACCCAGACTTAGATCCATCCCCCACTGGAGCCTGGACAGCCATAGGACATAGGCCTCAACTAAATGTGAAACTTCAGAATGGGGAGTGGGTGTGGGGGAACCCACAGGGGTTCAGAGAGGAACTTTAGCACTAGCCAGGGAAGGGCTATGGTCCTAGAAGAGTTAACTCCACTCTTCTGGCAGCTACCCAAAGAGCTAGAGAATCTGAGCATGTCCCTCCTCCCCCATCCCTGGCCCACCTTGGCATCTTTCTGCTCTGCTGAGGCGAAAGCCGCCTTCACTCTGCAATTTAATCCCAGTTCCCATAGCTCTGCAAGTTTCCTAGACTCGAAGACAAAGATAAAAACATCATAATAACCACAGTGAGACAAAAAATAATAATCCCAGTGCTGAAAAAAATGAGATGCTGTCGCTTACATCTTGATAAACTGTAAAATTTATCTTTTTGTGCCGATCTTCCCTTCTCTATTTCATTTACAGTGGATTTTTAATAAAAAAAAGTTGATAAAAATCAAAGCAACATAATCAAAATAGAAAAGTTTGACATTTATAGATGTTGTTTATTACTATAGTGTTTTAAGGTATTAAAAAGGCACACCAAAATTAGTTTCTTATCAAATGTCAAATTTTCATCAAGTTCTCGCCTACAAACTATTTCAACTTTGTTCTTTGGAACAGAGTTGAGTGTCTCCATGAGCACGTGGGGGAGAGTCCCTGAGGACTTGCAGTGTTGTTTCTCCCCGCATCATCACTCCACTAAAAGAATTAACATGACGTGTTGTCTTCCTAATAAGCTTTAAGAAGGAGTTTGCTTTTCTTGTTCTTTTTCCCCTGCTTTAGAGGCAGATGTGTTGCTGTTTGTGTATCTTATACACTAGAAGGAAACTGCAATGGTGGAAAGGTCTCCTGACCTTGGCCCAGTCCAGAACTGTCCCAAATGACCCCATCTTGACTCCGAACGAGCCCATCCCTTCCGCATGTACAGCTGTGCAAAGAAAGACGCTGTCTCCGTGGAGCCAACAGCAGCCCTGGGCGGTACCAGGGGCAGGGTCTCAGGTTGGAGTTTAATTGCTTGGAACAGAGATCAGCTTTAATCAGCTTGAGCAAGGAGGGAGGAGGCCCTAGACAAAGACCAGGCCCGGGGGGCACAGTGAACATGGGGTGTCTGGGAGCCAAGAGCGAGCCCCAGGAGCGTGAAGACAGTCGGGCGTGGCCAGGATGTGACGGGGCTGGGCTTTCCCTTCTTAGAGATGAGGGCTGGATCGCCGGGAGGGGCCAGCTCCAAGGCAGGAGGCCAGGGCTGCCATCCTTCTCGAACATATCCATGGACACCATGAAGGTGTGGTCAGGGGCAGAGCTGGGCAGTCGGAGGAGCTAGGGTTTGCATCCATCGTGTACCACTCCACGTGTGTCCTGACCAGATCACTTTCCCGGCTGAGTCTTAGTTTCCCAATTACCTGAACTCCCTCGGCCTCAGTTTTCTCATCTGTCAAATGAACAGAATGATTCTTTTGCCTGAAAGGGGAGCAAGCACTGGGTATTCATTCTTCCTGCACCTCGGATCTCCTCTAGTTTGGGGATCTGCGAGCCCGTGGTTGAGCGGGATATGAACTCAGGCTCCTGCCCCCAAAGGAGTCTTTCTCCTCCTCCCCCCACCTCCTGCTTTCCTGTCCTGCTCGGCAGGCAGCCTCGGGTTGCAGAGGTGAGTCCTGCTTTTCTCCCTCCCACACCGTGCTTTCCCTTAACTCCCCAGCCCCAGGGAGAGGCAGCATTCTACATTTCAGAACCTTCTGAAGGGGGTTGTGTCCTTCTTCCAGAGCTAACTCTCTTGAGAGTGCTCTGAGCTGGACAGCTGGTGGGTGGAAGACAGGCAAGACAGCGATGCCAAGAGACACAGCATTTCCAGATGATTAGAGGAAAAGAAGCAAAGGATGTTGCTCGTCTCAGAAAAATCAGTGCAAACAGCCGTCAGGGAAATAGCTTCCCATGAAAGTCCCACGAATGAAAAACAAGAGGAACGAGGCGTCCACTGATCCCAGAACAGACAGGAGGAGCATGGCAGAGACAATTAGGATCTATTAGCCCTGCCCCTCTTCTAAACAGCCACCGGGGGACAGCCTGTGCTGGGCCCAAGAACACAGCGATGGCCAGACGGGCCCTGACCCTGCGTGACCATCCCGTGCGGCTCAGGGAGACAGTACTCAAAGCTCAGGGGACCGGCAGGTGCGTGACATCCAGGAGGGAAAGCCATGCACTGCGGAGGTTTAAAGAAGGCGGGAATAAACTCTGCGACTTTTGGTTTAGAAAACACACTGTATTCAGAGGCAGCCAGAGATGATTTATAACATGCCATATTAGGGAACTTATAATAGCATCTAACAAGCAAAACCTCCGCATTTCAGTGGCTTCATGTAACACCGTTAATTCTTGCTTCCTGAACAGCTCCATGTGGTGCTTCTGGTGGGCAGGTGGCCCTCTTCCTGGCTGACTCAGGGACCCCTGTGGCTCTGCTGTTCAGGGAGAGTCAGAGCCCTCTGTGTGCAGCTGGCAAAGAAGGAAAGTGGCCAGGGGGATGGCCCAGCCCTATCTCAGAAACCTCAGCCCGGAAGTGGCCCACTTCCCTTCCACTCACAGTCTTTTTGAGAAGAAGCTTGTGCCTGTGCCTGGAAGCAAGGAGGGCTGGAACTGGGGCCCTGCTGGGAAGCCCTGTATCTGCAGAACTGTGTCCCGTGGGGGCCAGGGGACACAGATTTTTGCAGCCCTCTGATGCTGAAGCCTTTCTGGGGCTGGGATGACCCAATGCCCACCTGGACCGTGCACTTCCTGGTGACCCTCTGAGACAACTTCCTGGGCAGAGTTGATCATCATGGAGTCAGTGCAAGTCTGGGAACAGTGGCCTGAAACTGCGCAGCTCCAGTGTGTCGGTGAGCGCCGTCCTCCCAGGGCTCAGGGGAGGGCAGATGAGAAACCAGAAGATCCGCAGAGCAGGAGGCTCCACCGGAGGCCCGAGCCAGGGCCACCCAGAGGAACGGGCCCTGGCTGGGGACAGAAGCCTGCTGGTGTGCTCACTGCGTTTCCTTCCCCTTTGTCCCCCAGCTTTTAAACGGGTTTGAGGAAGTCTCAGGGCTACGTCAGCTGTGCTAGGGGAGCCAACGAGGGCAACTGGGCTGAAGCGAGCAGTGAATCCGAGAGGAAGTTCAGGACAAGGGGCCCTCCGTGTGGCTGAACAGGGATCCCTCCCTGGCTGCCCTTCAGTTGGGCCCTTCTCTCTGAGCTCTTCTCCACGAGACTCCACCACGGCCTGCTGAACTCAATTTTAGCAGAGAATCCTAAGTGAGCTGATTGAGAATCCCCTCCCCTTGACAAATGATTGAATTCCACGTCATCATTTTCCATCCACAGCCCCTCCCTTTGCCCATGGGCTGTCAATCCCCAGGTGTCCCCACTGTGTTCAGAACTGAGTCCATCTCTGTCCCTGCTGTAATACTCTTGAGTCAAGTCTTCCTCACCATTTGTAGCTGGTCCGGGGCACCCCACCGAGAGTAGGAGACAATTCTTCCCATCTAGAACATTCCTTCCAGGCTCAGGACCACTCTTGCCTGCTGGGGGATAGGGGCTGCCAAGAGGGGCTTTTCCAACATGGGCAGTGGTATGGGAGCTTGGGCCGACCGTGGCGGACTGGAGGGCAGGCATTTTGGGTGGGAACGGTGCTCACCTAAGGCTCCTTCTGCCAAGCCCCTTCTGGCCTCTGCCAGGACGGGATGTGACAGAGTGCATCTGTGCCCGGCTGCTCAGGGCAGAGTGGGGCAGGGCAGCGTCCCTGGGGAGCAGAACCCCAGGCCTCCGCATGAGAGTGCTTCAGGGGCACCCGGGCACCCTTCTTTGAAGGTTCTTTCTGTTTTTAAGCCTCTTTTAAGCTGCCCAAGTGCCAGCTGAGGCTATTTTGGGATCAGCCATTCATCCCAGGGCTGTCTGGCCCTTCTGAAAACTCTCATTAAATTGTTCATCGACAGGAACCAAATACTTGGCCCCAGGGCCTCCAGGCCTCCCCCGATGTGTGGCCTCCTGGGGTCCTTGCCCGAGAGGCTGAGGGGGAACCTGGCTGGCCACCAAGGCCTTGTAAGTATCTTCTCCCTCAGAAATCCAAGTCTGTCTTCCAAAACACCCCCACCCCCGCCACTGAGTTCATGAATATTCCCTCTGTGGACACACAATTCGAACTTGCGCGCACACGGCCCACCCACCACCTGAGGGAGGGACGGCTTCCAGTAAGTAATTACTCAACACAGCGATCCCAGGACACGACCTCGGAATGGGAGAGCGGAGGCCTTTGTTGGTTCAGAGCGAAGTGGGGTGTTCCCAGGACTGGAGAACTCAGGTGGCCCCTCTAGCAGCTCTGCCTCCTTGGGATCCCATGAGCTCGGCCTCTCAAGCACAAGTGTTATCCAGAAATCTCTGGAATAGGATGAGAGATGATGAGAGGTCATTCCAGGGCTTTCCTCCCCGAGACCCTGGAAGGGCCCAAGGGAGCCTGCGGTGGGACTGGGCCCTAGATAGATCAAGGCCAGCACTGGGACGGGGTGGGCCTGTCCTCAGGAGGCCTCCAGGGCTGCTCACCTGTCAGCACCCCTGGCCTCTCTCTGAAGCTCTCATGCCCTGATCTTCCAGGTGGAGGCCCTTCAGTGAGGAGTCCCCCAGTCTGGGTGGAGAGCCAGCCCGATCGGCTTGATTCCTCCACTCTTGACACCGTGAGCCTCAGATTCTGAGAGCTTGGGAGGATGGACAGAGACTGCGGTCAGCAGGAGAATGGGAAGCAGATGGGAGAGGAAGAAGCTTGCCTTTGGTGGGGACCAGGAGGCTGGGAGCCCAGGCCCATTCACTGTAACATGTGCAGTAAATCCCATTATATTCATGCAAAGAATTCTACACAGCAAGGAAAAGGAAAGAGCTGTTGGCATGCCACAACACAGGTGGATCTCACAGACCTACTGCTGAGCTAAAGAAGGCAACCACGCACATGTACATGCTGCATGGGGCCGTTTCTATCTGCCCAGAACCAGGCAAGAACCATCTATGCCAACAGCTTCATTGCTGCTGTTTCTGGGGTTGTTGACTGGAGGGGCGAGGGGACCCTCTCGGATGTGGAAATGTTCTGTGATGAGATAGAGGTTTCCTGCATGTCTGTGCCTGTGAGATGCATCCAGCTGCACACTTCAGATGCGTGCATTTTATTGCATATGTTATGCCTTGATTTTTAAAAGTCTTTAAATATTTAATCCTGAACATCCCTACGAAACAAATAATAAAACAGCCCTAGGCTCCTGATGTCTTGCCCAGGTCACCTACCACCCTCAGGCCTCTCTAGGAGTCAACATCTGGATGCTGATGCCTGCTTCCCCCTCCATACCTCACAGCCATCACCCAAGAGGGGGCTGTAAGACGTCTCTCTGGCCGGCACTGGAGCCAGCTTTGAGCTGCCCGAGCCTGCTTCCTACGCAGGGTGCTTTAAATCTTCCGGATCACTGAGCCTTCATTTCAGAATGCTTTATTGCTCATCTTCCTACCACGCAGGGCTGCTGCCTGTGTCAGCTCGCACCGAGGGAGGAAAATAATTATACCCCACAGCGTCAGTTACATCGAAGGGTAGAGAGGCACCAGGCGCCTTCCCCTTCAGGATGCGCAGAGCCAAGGGGGTTTCCAATCCTGCTCCTTGCTGACCAGGGCCTCTGCATCATGACACTGACCGTCCCACACATCTGGCTGCCGCCTCCTCGCTATTACCTCATGTCTTCCTCTGCAGGCTCCCAGACTGGGGTCCTAAGATCTGGAGATGCTGCCTGCAGGTCAGGATCCAAGGGGAGTTTGGATATGACTGTGGCCCAGACAGAGCTCAGAGTCTACAAAAGCCCCACAGAGCCCACCTGTGACTTGTGACTAGGCAATGAGGTTATGCCGGCCTCACGTCCTCTGAATGCTATTGTGCCTGAGCCCCTGGGCTGCCTCCTATCCTCCTGCTCTGGACTTTGCCTCCCGATGCCCTGCCCTAGATGTTTCTGTTGGGGGACTCCAGAGGGCTGGTGAGAACTGGGGGGTCCCTGTAGGGTGGAGAGGGTCAGAAGTCACCTATCAGTGTGGCAGACATGGCTGGTCCCAGAGCCCGGGGCTCCTGCTCTAATGGGAGGACCCCAGTGAAAGCACCCACCTGCTTCTGGCAGGGTAGCTTAACCCCCATTCCAATAGAACCTCTAGAGAATCTAATAGCCCCATCCCTATGGGCCTCTGCACAGCTCCCAATCCAGCCCCAGTCCCCTTTATGTCCCCACCACAGCCTCGTCCTGGATGACAGACGGTGGGAAGGGTTGTTACTGTCAGGACAGATGCAGTCACCATTTTCTGCAGCAAGGATCCTTAGTCATAAGTAATATTGTGCGTGGGACACCAACAGCCCAGCCCAAGAAGCATTGGTCAAACTGGGCCCAGGGAAAACCTTCCAGGATGAGCTGAAGAGAAGGTCAGCCTGCTCATCTGGATGGACATGCTGCAGCCTCAGCCCCTGGCCACCTGGGGAAGTCATGGGACTGACACCCCCCTTCCCAGCACACACAGACACACCCGCAGGCACGCACGCAGGCAACACACACTTACACACTCACACATGCTCGTATACATACATTCACAGACAGAAACACACACCCTTACATACAGGCACTCAGACACACACTCAGAGCCATGCACACATGCACTCATATGGGTACAAGTACTCATGTGCTCACCCACACCCACATACGCACTCCCCTTGGTGCACACACGTACATACACACATGTACAGCCATGCAGTGCACGCACTGGTTTTTGGGTACAGGCCAGCTTCTGTAACCTGGATCTAGGGACAACCTCCTGTAAGTCTGCAGAGGCGAAGTCTGGCCAACACACGCAGCTGCCCTCCTGAACAGAATATCGTCAGCCTCAACATCAGCATCGGGGTTCCCTCCTTACACAGGGGTCCCCCCTTATCGGGGGGGGTGCATTCCAAGACCCCCAGTGGAAGCCTGAAACTTGGGTAGGACTGGACCTTATTCTACTGTGTTTTTTCCTGTATATGCATACCTATGATGAAGTTTATCAGGCACGGGAAGAGATTAACCACAATAGTTAATAACCCAGATAGAACAATGATAACAATATGCCAGCACTGCTTCTCCACACTTTGTGGCCATGATGAGATAAAATAAGGGTGACTTGACCACCAGCACTATGACATCATGACGGTAGACCTGGTCATCGAGAGGGCTCCTAGGTGACTAAGAGGTAGGAAGGGCGCCTACAGTGTGGAGACGCTGGACAAAGGGGGACGCGTGTCCAGGGTGGGAAGGTGAGAGATTTCATCCAGCCGTGCAGAACGACATGCAATTGAAAACTTAGGGATTGTTTCTTTCTGGGATTTCTGTTTAATATTTTTGGACCTCAGTGGACCACGGGTAAGGGACTCATATGCCCTGGCGTGGGAGGAGGTTCCCGTCTAGGGGGTGGCATGGCCTGAGGGGTGGGTCAGGCAAGTGTGACCCTGCTGCGCGTCCCCTCTGCCCACCCTCCTCCTGCCTCCGGCCCAGTCGCTGGTTCCCAAGGAAACCTCTCTAAAGTCGTGGCCAGTGAAACCACAGCGCCCTACCAGGCCCCATCCCTGGACCCATCCTGCCATCTCCCCGCCGTCTGCCCAGGGACCCATGGCTCCTCCCCAGCTGCTCCTCAGCACCCGGGTCTGGGGCACGTCGGCACTCCTGGAGGCCTCTTGTGACTGGTGTCTCCTCCGTCACCCTCCTAGACCATGAGGAAGAAATGAGACCCAGGTGTCTGCAGCGTCTCGGAACCCGGTTCTGTTGCTCACCATAAAGCTCTGCCGAGCGCCCTCAGGTGAGCAGAGGCGGCCCTGGCCTATCACTGTGTGCCGAGGACCAACCCCAGGGCAGAGATGGAGGCTGTGCTGGTGCCCTCGGGGGGCCAGATCCTGCCTAGGAGAGACCCTGCCTTTGGCCCCAAAGCGGGAGCTTCCTCCCAGCACTTGGCTGGGGGCCGTACAGCGATGGACAGCCCCACAGGAAGATGGTTCCAGACAGCTGAAGTCATGTTTATTGTATACATGCCATAGATACTGTCCTGTGGTCAATTAGCCACCAATGCGATGAGGAGAATGAGAAGAGACAGGGCCTCCTCGGTTTCCAGCTTGGCCCTGAGCCCTGGGATTTCTGCTCTGGAAAGCGAAGGCCACTCGTGATCCTTGCGGGCCGGTCTCCGAGCCCTCTTGCTCCCGCGCGTGGTGCAGAGACAGCCAAAGCTATGTGTTCTCAGGACCCCTTGGTTCTCAGTTTGACGAGATGAGGCAGGCTGGCCACCAATGTTCCAAACTATTCCTTGACCACTACGGGCTTGAGAGAGCCTTGTTGTTCTGTGGAATTTGGGCATCAGAGAATGAAGAGGACCTGGGAGCTTCTCGTGC